>NC_000015.10:40246570-40549601 GCF_000001405.40 Homo sapiens | reverse complement strand
AGAATGATGGAGGGGGGAGTAGAGCCTACCTCATTAATTCTGTGGAAGTTGTAAGCACAAGGTGCTTTGAGAGCACATGGGAAGGAGATATGAGAGCCCTAGACCAGTTGGAGTGGGGTAGGAGAGAGGCCGTGTTAGGGGAGCTGAGTCCATAGAAATGAATAGGAGTGAGAGGAAATAGAAGAGTAAGAGCATGGGGACCAAGAGGAGTCCTGGAAGAGGAAAACAGCATGTGCAAAGCCCTAAAAGCAAAAGGGAACTTGGAGGATGGAAGGTAGTTCAGTGTAGCTGGAGCACAAAGAACAAAGGAGGGACAGACGAGAGGTGAGGGTGGAAATTACTAAACAAGGCCAGGTGTGAAGGATTTTATAAACCATGTTAAGGAGTTTGGAGTTTATTGTGGGAGAACAGGGAGCTAATGGCTGATTTTAAGAGGGGCAGTGACAAGATGAGATTTACATCTAGAAGGTTATGGCTGCCATGGGTTTGCCATAATTAAAGTGATTGAGGGTGGACAAGTTATTCACACTTGGCAGCGATACATGTCTATGTGAAATGGTTTTTCTTTGTTTTTATTTTCTACTTCAATTTTTCTTGTTATTTTTTCACTATTACAGAACAAGTAGAATCATGTATGGCAGATTGTATTTTCCAAAGATGGCCAAATCAGTGTATCCCATCCCACTCATTCATGTTCCAGTGTGATGTGGACACTCCTCCCCTGAGATCTTCAGTCAATATTCCCTCCCTTTGAACCTGGGCAGACCTATGTAACTGCCTTGCTAATAGAGTACAGCATAAATAATGGGACTTCTGAGGCAAGGTCATGAAAGCACTCCACCTGGGGTCTCTCTCTCTCTCTCTCAGCATGCTCCTTGGTAGTTCTGAGCCGGCATGTAAGAAGTCGGCCACAGAGAGGTAGAGAAGCCCAGGGAGTCCCAGCTGTTTGAGTCTTCCCACCCCAGGCATCAGACATATAAGTAAGTAATTCAAATGATTTCATCCCCCAGTTTTTAAGCTGTCCCAGGTGACACCAAGTGGTACAGAGACAAGCTGTCCCTGCAAAGCCCTACAGATTCAATAAATGTCATGGTTTAAACCACTAAGTTTTGGGTTGATTTGTTACTCAGCAATAGATAACCAATGCACCATAAGCTAAGCTTCAGGTTTTAAGTAGCTAATTTTTAAGTATTTTATTTTGCAGCCCCCTCTAGTCTGCGATGGTTGCAGAATTTAATACTTATGCTGGCTACAGTAGGGAGAGGGGCAAAATTGGACACAGGAGACCAGCTGTGAGGTGGTTGCAGTTGTCTAAGAAAGAGATGATAGTACTTGAGGACTTTTTCCACTTAGGATGTAGAATACTGCAAGAAAATGTCCCTTCCGTCCTAACAATGTGAAAAAGCAGGTACAAAATCATAACTTTTCTTGAGCCCATCAGAAAGCCAAGGCCACAAGGCAACCAAATAAAGGAGAGATAGTGTTAGGGGAGCTGAGTTCATAGAAATGAATAGGAGTGAGAGGAAATAGAAGGAGAGATAGTGACCCATCAACTGTTTCAACTTTGGCAAAGATGTGGCTGTCTTACAAGTGGGTAAGAAAAAGACAATAAAAATGTTAACAAATTTGTAAAGTCCACATGTGGCCTAGCATATCAGTTTAGAATAGCTGAATAGGATTCTAGACACGAGAGTGCGTGCAAAGGCAACCTTTTTTGTACAGGCCTCCCCTGGGGTTCATGGAGAAAAGTGGGAACAGGTCAGGAAAGGGAGGGACTGTTCTTCCTTGGTGATGCATGCATGCAGAGGTTGATCAAGGCGGCTGCTGGTGGAAGGCAAAAAGCCTCAACTTCCACAATCCTCTCCTTTAAGCAAAAGCCTTAAGCCATGGCGGGAGGGGTAACAAACTTTTGCTTCAGTGGGAGGAATAAAAGCAAAACTTATCTGCTTCTGGTGAGGTGTCAAAACCTTCTTGCCCTTCTTGAACAGGCAAAGACCCATTGCTCCTGGGACTAGAAGCAGAAACCCCCTACCCAGGGGCAGAAGCAGGAAACTGTCCTGGGCTGAAGATTCAAGCGAAGGTCCACTCTGTTGTGGGGAGGGCAAGAACTTTGGCTAATCCCAGATGAACCACATATAAGGCAGAGTTTGGCTTCCATAGGGAAGAGGGACAGAAACACTGAGAAAGTCCCACTGCTGAAGCTCGGGTGCCTAGGACCTATTTAAGACTGAAGCCGGGCCAGGGTAACAGAATCAACCCTGCCCTGCCCTGCCTGAGCCTGGCACCAGATCACAAGCAACAGAAGTCTTCTGCCAGCTGAAAAGCTGAGTGTGGGACAGCAGCACTGAGGAAGCCCTGACACCCCAGTCCCCACTCTAAGCAGCCCACCACTAGAGGAATTTGAAACCTGGGGTGCACTGAAGGTAATGAGAGCACAACCAAACCCAAACCCTGTCCAATTCCTAACAAGACTGACTCAACCCCCCAGACCAACAGGCTGACAGAAGAGGCAGCCCCACTCCCAGATACAGATACTATTTACCTCAGTCTCTGCTGTTTTATACACCATGGGCATTCAGTTAAAAAACTGCAAAACATAGGTCAGGCGCTATGGCTCACACTTGTAATCCTAGCACTTTGGGAGGCCGAGACAGGTGTATCACCTGAGGTCAGGAGTTTCAGACCAGCCTGGTCAACATGGCGAAACCCCATCTCTACTAAAAATACAAAAATTAGCCAGGTGTTGGTGGTGTGTGCCTGTAGTCCCAGCTACTCCACAGGCTGAGGCAGGAGAATCACTTGAACCTGGGAGGGTGAGGTTGCAGTGAGCTGAGATGGCCCCACTACACTCCAGCCTGGGCAACAGAGCAAGACTGTCTCAAAAAAAAAAAAATTGCAAAACACACAAAAAGACAAGAAGAAAACAACCCAATCCATTATCAGAAGATGAATCAACAGAACCAGACTCACAAATGACACAGATGTTGGAACTATCACAGAGGGACTTAAAATAATTATAATTACTATGGGGTCTGGTGGGGAAGGGTGGGCAACTTGCATGAACAGATAGGGAATTTTGGCAGAGACATGGAAACTAAGAGAAAGTGAAATGGGGCTGGACGTGGTGGCTCATGCCTGTAATACCAGCACTTTGGGAGGCCAAGGCAGGAGGAGCACATGAGCACAGGAGTTTGAGACCAGCCTGGGCAACATGAGACCTCATCTCACCAAAAAATACAGAAATTAGCCAGGCATGGTGGCTCGTGCCTGTGGTCCCAGCTACTTGGGAGGCTGAGGCAAGAGAATCACTTGAACCCAGAAGGCGGAGGTTGCAGTGAGCCAAGATCATGCCACTGCCCTCCAGCCTGGGTGACAGGGTGAGACCCTATCTCAGAAAAAAAAAAAAAAGGAAAGAAAAAGAAAAAATAAAGTCAAATGGAAATGCTAGAAATAAACATGATATTAGAGATGAATTGCTTCCACAGGCTTTTCAGTAGGTAGGCATAGGTGAAGAACCAGTGAACTTGAACTGGTCAATAAAAATTCTCTGAACTAAAACACAAAGAGAAACTGGGATGGGGGAAAAGCAAAACAAAGCAAAACCTATAAGAGCTGTGGGACAATAACAGTCTAATATACATGTGATTCCAGCCTCAGAAGGTGAAGAGAGAGAGAATGAGGCAGAATAAATCTTTGAAGAGATGATAGTTACATGAATGAGGTGTGGCGGCAAGGCTAGAGAGAAGTGGATATGGGAGCATTTGCAAGGAGAACCACTGAGGCTTGGTCACTGAGTGGAGGGAAGTGTGGCACCTGAGTGTCTGTCTTGGGAGCTGCAGGCTCTCAGCAGGTAGTAGTGGGTGGTTAGCAGGTGGTGGTGCCAGGATGGAGAGCCAAGCCTAGCTCTCCAGTGCCTGTGCTCTCTGCTGGTACCCCACACCACCTCCTACAGGCCAAAGTGGAACAGTAGTGGGCCTTTGCTCCTCGATTCCCTAGCCTCCAGCCCCAGCCTTTCCTAAGCCCTCAATGTACTATTCCTATTAGTCAATGTGTGGCAGAGAGATGTTCATCTCCCCCCATTCTCTCCACCTCCTCTGTCCCAAGTGTTGTGTCACACATTGCTCTAAAGGTTTTCTTTTCCCAAACAAACTGACTCTCTCCTCCCTTCATTTTGACGTAATCCACTTTTAAAAATTACTTCTTTAGCAGATAAGTAGAAAGGGAGGAGGCAAAGGTGAGAGGGATTGTGTGTGTGTGTGTGTGTATGTGTGCAGAAGAAAGCAGATAGGTTACTGAGAGTTTATGAGCATTTTAAAGAACAGATATTTCCAGGACCAGTTTTGGCTCTTTAATCTTACATCCTTTGGGGATGAGACCATCAAATATTGGCTTAGCAGAATGCCAAGGTGCAGTGTGGTCTTCAGCATGGTGCCTGATCAAGGCAGACAGGATGCGGAGTGTACATTGGGTAAGAGTATGGTAGAGGAGACCCACAGTTGTTAGAACAATCATCCCAAAGGTAAACTCTTGGATTGATAAACTGACATGTTGTTGGTTTCTTTTTCCTCTGTTCAGCTCAACATCTTTATCAATGATTTGGTTGAGTGAATAGAAGGTAACCTTATCAAAAGTGAGAGGAGTAGGTAATTGAATAAAAGAATAACAATTCTAAAATTTTTCTATAGACTAGAGTGATGGGACAAAGTATGAAACATGATACAGATAAATGTGAAATCTTTCATTTGGGATCAGAAATTAACTACACAACTAGAGGACAGAGAAGAACAGAGTATTTATTAGTTTGTTCTAGTGACAGAAGCCAAGAAGCCAGACTCTGGAAAGTTTTCCAAGGCTGTTGAAAAAAAAAAATCCAAGCCGGACTCAATTCTAGTCTAAGACATATAGAGCTGGCTTCAGTTAGCTGGACCTCAGGACTCCAGCAGTATCTTTAGCCTCTCTTCCTCCCACTGTTGACTCTCTCTGTGTGTTGGTATAGCACAGGGAGCTCTGGGCTGACATGATTCCAGTTTAGGAAGTCCAGAGGAAAGATAACACTTTCCAACCCCATATAATAGATGCCAGGGGGCTCCGCACAGTGGTTTAGGCTTAACAATCCCAGCACTTTGGGAGGCCAAGGTGGGAGGATCACTTGAGCCCAGGAGTTTGAGACCAGCCTGGGCAACAGAAAGAGACCCCGTCTCTACAAAAAAAAAATTTAAAAATTAGCCTGGCGTGGTACTGCATGCCTGTAGTCCAGCTACTCGGGATGCTGAGGTGGGAGGATTGCTTGAGCCCAGGAGGTTGAGGCTGCAGTGAGCTATGATTGCCCTACCGCACCCTATCCTGGGCGACAGAGCAAGATCCTGTCTCAAATAAATAAATACATTCCAGGGGAGGGACTCAGATTGGCTTGGCCTGGGTCACATGCTCATCATTGGAGCACTGACTATGACAAGGGCAAGATCTATGGTTAGGGGTACAGGATACTGTGGTAAACAGTCCCACCAGAACCATATGAGAATGGGAAGTGAAAGAGGATTGCTGTTGGCTGAAGAAAGGGGAAAGTGGTATGGAAAACCCCAAACAGGTGTTCAGTGTCTTAACAGTTCAATGGAGTCAGCAGTGTTATGTGCTGCTAAAAAAAAGTTATAATTCTAGGAATCAATAGTGGAAATGTACCTGTGTACCTGGGACATAGTAGTGTAAAAATATATTCTGCAGTGGTCATGCCTCTCTGAAAGCATCGTCTGGGCACCACATTGCAAGAGGATGTTCTGCAGTGAGCAGGTCTATGCAAACCTACCCCTAAAGGCCAAGAGAGCTGAGGGGCCAAAGAAACAGGCTGACAAGCCCGGGTGCAGTGGCTCATACCTGTAATCCCAGCACTTTGGGAGGCTGAGGTGGGTGGATCACGAGGTTAGGAGTTTGAGACCAGCCTGGCCAATATGGGGAAACTCCATTTCTACTAAAAATACAAAAATTAGCTGGGCACGGTGGCGTGCGCCTGTACTCCCAGCTACTTAGGAGGCTGAGGCAGAAGAATCTCTTGAACCTGGGAGGCAGAGGTTGCAGTGAGCCAAGATCATGCCACTGCATTCCAGCCTGGGCGACAGAGTGGGACTCTGTCTCAAAAAAACAACAACAACAACAACAAAAACAAAACAGAGAGAGAGGCTGACGAATCTAGTTTCTCAGAGATAAATGCTTAATAGAAACTTATGCACAGAAGCCATACCTTGGTTGGTCACGAGATGGTGGTTTCCATGCCCGCCCTCCAGAAAGTATCCTTTGTATAACAAGTTTTTAGGGGAAAACATGTGCAGCTGGTCACACCTCAGACTTTATTGCAAGTTTCATGACCACTGGGGAGGTTAGATAAGCATCTTTATGAGGGGTTATTTATGCTACAGGCATTCTTTCTTTTCTTTTTTCTCTTTCTTTTCCATTTTGTTTTTTTTTTTAGACAGAGTCTGGCTCTGTCACCCAGGCTAGAGTGTAGTGGCATTATCACAGCTTATTGCAGCCTCAACCTCCCGGGCTCAAGCTGTCCTCCCTCCTCAGCCTCCTGAGTTTGCTGTGACTATACCCCTGGCTAATTTTTTTTTTTTTTTAAGAAAAGTCTCAGTATGTTGCCCAGGCTGGTCTCATACTCCTGGGCTCAAACAATCCTCCTACCTTGGCCTTCCAAAGTGTTGGGATTATAGGCATGAGCCACCCCACCTGGCCAGGCATCTTTTTTTTTTTTTTCTTTTGAGACAAAGTCTCGCTCTGTCCCCCAGGCTGGAGTGCAGTGGCAACCTCTGCTCCCGGGTTCACACCATTCTCCTGCCTCAACCTCCTGAGTAGCTGGGACTACAGGTGCCTGCCACCATGCCCGGCTAATTTTTTGTATTTTTTAGTAGAGACGGGGTTTCACCGTATTAGCCAGGATGGTCTCAATCTCCTGACCTCGTGATCCTCCCGCCTCAGCCTCCCAAAGTGCTGGGATTACAGGCATGAGCCACTGCGCCCGGCCCAGGCATTGTTTCTTGACCTTGCCACAGGAATGCCTTGGTATGCAGGAGTCAAACATCAGTCATTATGGCAGTTTTGCTTCAAGGTGGTGCCATTCTTGCAACAGGGTCTTTTCCTACAGAGGAACATCGACAAACTGCAATGCTCCCTAGAGGAGGGGTCCAGGGTGAGCAGGCTCAGATCGAGTTATTTGAAGACAGGACAAGACAATAAGATTGTTTTCCATAGAAAAGAGATTTAAGAGAGACCCGGTTGGCTTTAAAATATTTGAAGGAGTATTGGGTAGAAAGCTGAGACACACTGAAGTACAAAGGACAAACTAGGACCAATGGCAGGGAGTTTCAGGAAGACCAATTACCATTCAGTGTTAAGAACTTTCTAATAGCTGTTCAACAATAGGGTGGCCTTGTAGAAGATAGTAATTCCCTGTCACTGGAGGTGTGTCAGCAGATGTCAGAAAGGTTGTAAAGGGGATTCCTGCATTGTGTAGAAAGTTGGATCAGGTCACCCCTAAGGTCCTTTCCAATTATGAAAATCTGTGGTTGGCTACTGGAGACCTATGGGGGCTTGCTGCTGTTAAGTCAGCCCTGGTCTCCCCAGCATTTGGGAGGGAGAGCTGGTGAGTTCTTCTTTCTCCTCCCTAGATAATAATGACAAACACCTGATCACCTACCAGTCAGTGGTCAGAGGCAGAGCCCTCCAACAGTTCTTATCTTAGCTCAACCCTGAGGGACAGACTCTTGGGTTGGAAGATCACAAAAAGGTCGCTCTTGTGCTGTTTTATGTTCTCTGAACGTGTACCTTGAGACAAGGACCTGTATGTAGGTGGCTGATTTTAGGGGGTGAGCAGGAGTGAGGGAGGGAGGAGAATGAGACAGCTCCCTGTGTTGAGTAGGTCCACTGTGGGTAGTTAGGGCTGTCGCCCTGGGATCACTCTGAGGAGACATAAAGATTATGGCTTAGGCTAAGCGCGGTGGCCTGTAATCCCAACACTGTGGGAGGCTGAGGCGGGTGGATCACCTGAGGTCAGGAGTTCGAGACCAGCCTGGCCAACATGGCAAAACCATGTCTCTACTAAAAATACAAAAATTAGCCGGGTTGGTGGTGTGTGCCCATAGTCCCAGCTACTTGGGAGGATGAGACAGGAGAATTGCTTGAACCCGGGAGGCGGAGGTTGCAGTGAGCCGAGATGGAGCCACTGCACTCCAGCCTGGGTGACAGAGCGAGACTCCGTCTCAAAAAAAAAAAAAAAAATATTACAGCTCAGAATTTTGCCACTGACTGACGGGGCACATCTGGGCTGCAGTTCCACCAGTGCCCATCCTTCATTGGTTGAGGTTTGCTCTTTGGAGGTATTAAGCCCCTGCCACTTTCAGGCAGCCCTGCAGGGGCTAAGAAAAGCCTCACGCAGAGGAGAGAGGAGGGAAACTGAGCATGTACCAGAAGCATCCGCTGCAGCTGCGGCTGGTCACAGAAATGGGCTGGAGGGATGTGAGGCAGCGCGTGAGCATCTGGCACAGTCTCTTTCCCGCCCAGGCCAGGATCCGCCTTCCAGGGCTGTGCGGGACCTTTGGTTTTGACATTTTGGTCTCTGTGGCCCAGTGTGGGAAGTGGTTCTCCCCGGGGGTGAGTTCAGCCCAGCCTAGTCTGAATGTCCACACACTGCTCTCTTGGGTTCAAGTCTTCCTTCTTGGCCCAGCTTCTCACTGGGCTCTCTGGACTGAGGGCACCAGGGCAATGGACGCTCCAGGCTGGCACCTGTTCAACACTCATATGTGAGCTTGGAACATGGTGACATTAGGGGCACTGACTCTACTGTCCTTTCACACTGTGGTCAAGGTTAGGATAGATGAGAGACTGGCCCGGCCCCAGAGTTTCCTGTATTGACAGCCTAATCATTTTCTAAGAAGAAAATGCTGGGCTGGGTGCAGTGGCTCACACCTGTAATCCCAGCACTTTGGGAGGCCAAGGCAGGCAGATCACCTGAGGCCAGGAGTTGGAGACCAGCCTGGCCAGCATGGTGAAACCCTGTTTCTACTAAAAATACAAAAAATTACCCAGGCATGGTGGCAGGCGCCTGTAATCCCAGCTACTCGGGAGGCTGAAGAAGGAGAATAGCTTGAACCCAGGAGGCGGAGGTTGCAGTGAGCCGATATCACGCCATTGCTCTCCAGCCTGCACAACAGAGCGAGACGCCACCTCAAAAAAAAAAAAAAAGAAAAAGAAAAAGAAAAAAATGCTAAGAAGAACGACAAAGAATTCAAAGACCCTGAGAAGCCTCCCTCAAAGCCTTGGAGACACTTCAAAGATGGGAAATCATGGCACTGATGTTAGAGGCAGTGTTCCCTGCCAGGCACTAAAGGCCAATCCAGTTGGCCCAGCCCTCCTGTTACCACTCCTCTGGATTGCCCTAGTCAGAGCTCTGAGCCTGTCTCTCTCTTCCCTGATCCCTTCTCCCACCCTCTGGGCCCCACACTCTTGTCTGGTACTCACTGTTCAGTCTGTCTTTTCCCTCCTCTTGCCCATTCATTACCTCCAGGGGCATCATCATCTCTGAGGTTCACACTTATTCCCTAGATTTTGCCGCAATTTGAAAATCAACCCTTCACACTGTTCCAATGCCCATTTCACCACCTGGGCGAAGTGAGGCTGAGTAGGTATTTATGATGAGTTTGGGGTGACATGGAATCAAGGGCAAGGAGCGGGGTGTGTGTGTGTGTGTGTGTGTGTGTGTGTGTGTGTGTGTGGCAACAGTTTGATCACTCTTATTAGGGGAGGGCCCCTCTTAAGGTGGCAAATGTTGTCCAGCCAGAGGAACAGCCTGGCCAACAAATCAACTCAGACAGACCCTGCCTGACATCTCAGAGAGCAGGAGGCCAAGAGAGACCTATTGGGCAAGGAAATTTCCTGGGATGGGAGCAGGGGCAGCGGAGAGCTGACTGCCTTGGTCTCTGCTTTTCCTCTCTTCCTCTGCCTGGCCTCTTGCTGTGGTGCCACGGGCCCCCGTGTCCCCTGTGCCTCCGTTTGTCTCTTGTCTCTGTCTCAGGCTCCACTTTGCTTTATTTTTCCTGCAGTCCTGCACGGCTGAGGCTGTGTCGACACCTCACTTCCTCGCACCTTCGCACTCTCGGTGCTCCTATGTATGCCTGTCTCTCTTTGACTCTGTTAGTGTGTGCCTCTGACTGTATCTGTCTATCTTCCTCGTCTCTGTCGGTCTGTCTTATTCCCATAGGCCCTGTAACTCCAGAACCCCTGGCAGCAGCAGCTTTTCTGAGGATGGAGCGTGGGACAGCCACCAGTGTGCTGAGCAGAGGTGGCGAAGGACATTTCCAGCCCAGCAGTCGTCATGGTAACAGCCAGGGCGGGCCAGGCAGGGATGTGCAGAACCATGTGGGATTGACCTTTCTGTGGTGTCAGGTTTGAGCGGGAGCTGGGGAGAAACAGCAACAACTACTTCCCTCTGGCCCAGCCCTCAGGGCTTCTGGGCTGGGCTGAATGAAGAAAGGGAGAAGCTGAGAAGTGGGACAGCTGGCGAGAGAGCCAAGAGAGAGACAGGGCTTTAGTCAGAGCCAGCTAGAGAACCCATGGGAAGAGGGACAGGCTGGTCACCAGCAGGCTCCTGCGGTGAGCCCACCTGTGGCAAGCACTAGACCTCAGGCCCCCAGTTGGCAGCGCTCATGGGTGGGTACTAAAGGTCAGTTCCCTATACTCAGAGCTCCCCCAGACTCCTTCAGATCAAATGTCACCTTTTCCATATTGCAAAAGCCTTTATTGCTCTAAGGAAAACATGCTAAATTAAAAAGAACCAAATTATTCTTTTAAAAATAGAAATATTTTAAATGGAAAAGTTCAAAGAAAATAAAAGGCTTTCCAATCCTCCCTCTGCTTCTCCCAGCTCTAAAATTCCTCCACAGTTGCTTCCCATGCCTGCCAGGTTGGAGGAAAGGGACAGGCCTGGGCCCAGCGGCCTCTTCTCTGACAAGGGCACAGAAAGGGAAGCCGGATTGGTCGTTGCCTGAATTTGAGGGGGGCTTGGACTCACAGGCTTCCCGCTAATTCGAACCAGTGAAGGAGACTCATTTCCCTCTATGCCCCCTCTTTCTCCTATTGGGGCGGACATACAGGCAGCAGAAAGAGGTGCCCACAGGTGCCCTGTGACCCCTTGAGGGAGAGGCGAGGGGTGCAGGGCAGCCTCAGGTGAGCTCCATGGAGAACATAGCTTACCAGTGGATCCCATTTCCAGACTTTCAAATCATGGCCATGCAAGAGATCTCGAGCTTTCTGGGACACACTGCTATGGAAAACAAGACCATAGCCTCAGAATAAAAAATGTGGTCTTCTTATTTACTGAAAATCTACCTTCAGGAAAGACATGAAGGGGGCACTCACCAGCCAATAGGTGGGTAACTTAACACAGCAGCACCACAGGCTTTCTTTTATACAGGAGTACAGTCCCCAAATCCCCTTGGAGAACTGCCTCTGGGCCACTTGTACAGGGGAAGGGGACACTTGGCAGGAGAGGGGACCGCAGACCTTGTAGTCATAAGTTAGCATGCTGCTAAAAGACTATTTGAAATGAGTGCTGATTACATATATTTAAAAGTGGTCAGCATTACTGAAGCTCCAGCTTTTTTTTCTGAGGCGGAGTCTTACTCTATCACCCAGGCTGGAATGCAGTGGCACCATCTCGGCTCACTGCAACCTCCACCTCCCAGGTTCAAGCAATTCTCCTGCCTCAGCCTCCCCAGTAGCTGAGATTACAGGTGCCCACTGCCATGCCTGGCTAATTTTTCTATTTTTAGTAGAGACGGGGTTTCACCATGTTGGCCAGGTTGGTCTTGAACTCCTGACCTCAAGTGATCCGCCCACCTCAGCCTCCCAAAGTGCTGGGATTACAGGCATGAGCCAACGCGTCTGGCCAAGAGCCAGCATTTTTGAGACTCGAACCTTTCTCTGACTGACATGTATTGTGGAGCTCAAAATAAACATTCTGTATTTTGGGAGTTGGTCATCACTCTCTAGTTATGCTCCTGTAGAGCTATTACTGAACCTCTGGCCTCTTCCCTGGGTTCTGGAAACCTTCATGTACCCGTGGCCCCCAGAGCAAGGGGTAGGAGACAGGAAGGCTGCTAGTGCCCCGATGGTCCCACACGAGGCTGGGACCTTGGGACACAGGCACTGCATCATTCACTGTTCCCTGCATGGGCTTCAGGAGTGGATGAGAGCCCAGGGCCAAGCCCCTTCCTCTTTCGTTCTGCCCAAGCCCCTTCCCTCCAGCTGCCTTCCCTCCTTGAGTCCCTTGATTCCTCTGTGATCCCCCCTCCAGCTCAGCACCTGGGGCTGGCACCACTCCCCAGGGATACTGATAAAGTCACAGAGCATCTGCCCAGCGCCTGAGGTGGTGTAAGTTGGGGAAGGTGGGTCATCCTGTTAGTTGCTCCTGCCAGGCCTGGAGCCCCTGGTGGTCCTTTAGAATTCTAGATTCTCTTGGTTCCTTTCTCCAGAATCCTTCCCTTCTCGCTCCACTCATGCTCTGGGCCAGGCCCACCACGTCTCCTGGCAGCTGACTATCTCATGCCACCTGCCTTTGTTCTCTATTCCCTTTGCCAAAACCATATTTTCTGGTGAATCCCTCTTCTACTTCAAGGTTCAGTTCAAGTGCCACCATATAAGTGAAGCTGTCCTCAGTCGACCCTAGGTGACTCTGTGGCCCCATGGAACTTTTTCTCATCACCATCGTAGCAGTCATGACTCTGTTTTGACCTCCACTTCTCCACTGGAGAGTGTGTTCCGTGGAATGAACTGGCTTGTAGTGTGACCTGTGAACCTCCAGAGCTTGGCTCTGTGTTGCTCATTGAGTACTTGTTCTTGCAGTGGGCCCTTGCCAAGAGAGGCCCCTGTTCTGGGATGTGAGCCAGAGAAGGTCCGAGACTCATAATTTCATGTGTCATACTCGTCCTCCACCCAGCTCCCCCTGGCCAGATCACAGCCCCCTCCTGCTGCAGGGCCTGTAGTGCCAGGCTGGTTGCAAGACAGGGGTCCTCACCTCTGAGAAAATCATGGCTTGGCCCATTGGCACCCCACCTGGGATGCAGAATGGAGCAGCAACAGCTGGCTGGTGTCTGAACGCTATTTCCCCAGCCCTGGGCAGCCATCTCCTGTAGCTGTTCCCTCATCCCATGGCTTTACCAACCCCTCCTTGCTGCACTGGAGAGCCTGAGAGCAAGTAGGTTCAGAGTGGGAAGACAGGGCTAAAGGCATCTTCCCGGTCTTCTCTCCTTCCCCTTCCTCCCAGCAGTTGCAGCTGTGCTGCGTGATGATGTGGAACAGAGCACAGTCTTAATTACTGCTCAGCCCTGCTCATTAGTGCTTCTGGAAGCCCAAGAAGCCAGAGTTAGGAAGCCTCAATCACAGTGGAGACCCAGGCTGCAGGCCTCCTGGGTGATCGCTAGTCCTGTGTCTCCTGGTGACTTGGGACCCCTTTGGGGGACTCCAGCAAAAGACACTCCCTCCAACCCTGAGACTGGGGAAGGGCTGAAGCTGGAGGGAGTCACTGCTGGATTAAGGGAGTCGCTGCTGGATTAACCTTCCTCATGGGCAGCTCTGATCAAATACCTATGTTTCTCTTGCTGACAGCATAGAGTCTGGAGTCCTTGGCTTAGCAGTCAAGCTCCTCCACAATTTGGTCCCACAGGACTTTCCCAACCTGATTTCCTCCTTCAATCCTGGCAGACAAGGAGGGAAGGCAAAGGCTAGGCCCCCTCATGGGCTCTCACTAGTGTGTGCAGAGCATTTCAGGGACAGCATATGGTGGAACGTGTGAAACTCCACTGCAATCAGAGAAAGATGAACGAATGATTAAATAAACCACATGTGCTCAAATCCCGCACACTGATGACTTCCCTGCTTTTGGAGAGACTTAGCAAGGAGCCTGGTGTGTTGTTCAGCATGCACTATTTTTTTTCTTTTTTTTTTTTGGTTGTGAAAAGGAATAAAGAACCATGAAGTGCCTGAAGACTGAACGAAAGGAAGCTGAGTGGAGGAGGAGAGAAGGGGCGGGCCCTGAAAACTATAAATCTATAGGCCCAATTTCAATATGTGGAAAAACTCCTTCAAAATATAAATTTGTAAACACCCTAGATCAAATGAGAGAATGCTCATGAAAGCACTTTTTGAACTGCAAAGGGTTAGAAATATAAAGCATTATTCTGTAATATTTCTGTTCAGTGCAGACTTTAAAACAGATGCTATGGAGAGGCTGGAGATCTATGATAATGGCTCATCACCTACAAGGTGCTCATACAGTTTGGGCTGTTTCATTTAATTAGTCATTGCCTCTCATGTAGACTACTGCAGAAGTCTCCTAAGTGGCCTCCCCACCTCTGCATTCTCCCCCATTCCATTCATCTTATATGCCACCGTCACGTTAATCTTCCTGATGCACAGCTCTGATCAAATACCTGTAATGATTCTCCTGCTGACTGCACAGAGCCTGGAGTCGCTGGCTTAGCAGTCAAGACCCTCCACAGTCTGGTCCCCCAGGACTTTCCCAAACTGATTTCCTTCCATCACGGCAGGCATGGGCTCGGGAAGATCAAGTCACTAAACCCAAGACCACACAGATACCAAGTGGCAGATCATACAGCCAAGCCTTCAGACCCTGACATCTGACTCCAAGACCATTCTGAGCCCATCACTTCCTCACTTTGATGGTGCAATGGACTGTGTGTTTGTGTCCCTCTAAAATATACATGTTGAAACACTAATCCTGATGTGATGGTATATGGAGATGGAACTTTGGGGAGGTAATTAGGTCATGAGAGTGGACCCTTTATCAATGGGATTAGTGCCCTTACAAAAAGGGGCCAGAGACCTAGCTAGTTCTCTTCTGCCATGTGAGGATACAATGAGAAGTAGACAGTTGGTGATATGGTTTGGCTGTGTCCCAATCCAAGTCTCATCTTGAATTGTAGTTCCCACAATCCCCACGTGTGGTGGGAAGGACCCAGCGGGAGGTAACTGAATCAAGGGGGCAGTTTCCCTCATGCTATTCTTGTGATAGTAAGTTCTCACGAGATCTGATGGTTTTAGAAGGGGCTTCCCCCTTCAGTCGGCTCTCATTCTCCTTCCTGCTGCCCTGTGAAGAAGAACATATTTGCTTCCCCTTCTGCCATGAATGTAAGTTTCTTGAGGCGTCCCCAGCCATGCCAAACTGTGAGCCAATTAAACCTCTTTCCTGTACAAATTACCCAGTCTCCAGTATGTTCTTATAGCAGTGTGAGAATGGATTAATACAGCTGGAGACCCAGAAGAGGGCTTTCTCCCAGAACTGGACCCTGCTGGCCCCCAATTCTCAGACTCCAACCTCGGAACTGTGAGAAATAAACCTGACTAAGGTTAGACCTGACTAAGACAAATGGATACTGCTGCAGTGATCTTTCCACATAGAGCTTTTTCTCTTCTTTGCAAAAATTTCCTTAGGACAAATTCCCAGGAGTGGGATTACCAGGTCAAAAGTCATTAATATTTTAAATGGCTGTGTGAATTGACATAATGCTTCACAAAAGAACTGGGCTGATTTATATTTTAGCCAATGATGTAGATATATACAAGTTTCACCAGCCCCTCTTGGGATCTTAGCCCTTCTAATGCCTGCTTTCTAACGGCATAGCGAGAACATATTGTAAAAGTAATTTGATTTCTTCATGTGTTATTCAGGGATTGCTCTCATCTCCTCCAAGTCTTTGCTCAAATGTTCTCGGTGTGGTCTACCCCAATTACTCTATTTCAAATGAAAACACTCCCTCCTCCTAAACCCATTACTCTCCTTACTCTGCTATTTTTACACATTATTTGGCATCTTATAATACATACTTTTCTTATTTATTATGTGTATCCTTTTTTAAAAAACGTGCTGAAAACTCTTTATAACAATGCAGGACAATGGCCAGGCATGGTGGCTCATGCCTGTAATCCCAGCACTTTGGGAGCTGAGGTGGGTGGATTACAAGGTCAGCAGTTCGAGACCAGCTTGGCCAATATGGTGAAACTCCGTCTCTACTAAAATACAAAAATTAGCCGGGCGTGGTGGTGCGCACTTGTAGTCCCAGCTACTCCTTCTGAGGCAGGAGAATCGCTTGAACCCAGGAGGCAGAGGTTGCAGTGAGCTGAGATCACGCCACTGCACTCCAGCCTGGGCAACAGAGGGAAACTCCATCTCAAAATAAATAAATAAAATAATAATAATGCAGGACAATTATGTATAGCAAACACTTTCAAAATTTAAACTCCTTCAACATTTAATTCTTCAGCATTATGTATACTTTTAATTGCACATCTGCCCCCGACCCTGACACCAACTAGAATGTAAGTTCCATTTTGTCTATTTAATTTGCTGATGTGTTCCCAAGACTAGAACAGAGCCTGGGGCATAGCAGGATCATGAGGGTCAAACAAGATAATGCCTGTATGTAGCCTGTGGTGGGCAGCACCTGGTACAGAGCTCATGATGAACCATTATCCTCTTCCTCTTACATGTCCACCAACAGGAGAATAGAAATTATGATATATAATATTGTAAATTGGCCAGGTGCAATGGCTCATGCCTGTAATCCCAACACTTTGAGAAGCTGAGGCAGGAGGATTGCTTGAGCACAGGAGTTTGAGACCAGCCTGGGCAACATGGTGAAACCCCCTACCTCTACAAAAAATAAAAAAAATTAGCCAGGTCTGGTGGCACGCGCCAGCCTGAAGTGGGAGGATCAACTGAACCCGGGAAGTCGAGGCTGCAGTGATCTGTGATCATGCCACTGCATTCCAGCCTGGGTGACAGAGTGAGATTCTCTCTCAAAAAAAAAAAAAAAAAAAAAAAAAGAAAGAAAACAAATTCAAGTAAAACAATTAAATTATAAATCATTAAAATTATAATTACAAAGAATATGCAGCAGTATGGAACAGTTTATAACTAATGTTAAGTGAAAAAAAGCAGACTACAAATTTGTCCATGATTACAACTGGGTAAAAATAATTTAAGATCTATGCAAAAATAAGGAGACAAGATGATGGGCTCATGGTGAACAGCTGTGAAGCAGGGATGAAAATTAATGTGCCCAGAAGCAGATTCTCTTTGAAGCATCTTTTTTCATACTACCTGATAAGTGTCTTGCTACATGGCAGTAGCAGCAGTAAGACGGGTGATATCAAAGAGAACTATCTGGAAACATTTATCTTCAATCCAAAATGGAGCCTTATGTTTGTCATAAATCTACGTACTCTTCTTTTCCAGGTGACTACAATTGCAAAGTAGAATTTGCTTTGACACCTGATGCCAGGACAATAGTATGTTACCATCCTTCTATAGACATTCCATATGAACGCACAAAACCTATCCCTTGACCAGATCCTGTGTATAATAATGAAGAAACACATGGTCAAGTGCTGAAAACTAGAGAAGAAAAAAGTGAACACCTTGAGCGAGAACCCATAATAGAACAACTTAGCAAAATGTTCTTTATGCTAAGTACGGTTGGCATCTTCGTGGACATTAGCACAGATGTCAGAAGAAACCGGAACCTCCAGAAGACAGATGATATTGAGGTTCTTGGGGAATTAAAGAGAAATATTACCCTCTGCCTCATTTGCCATTGGAGACAGTGCAATCTGGTGTATGCACTAATAATAATAATAACATGTCTTTTCATATTTAAAAAAAAAACACAAAATCTTTAGGAAGCCGAGGTGGGTGGATCGCTTGAGTCAGGAGTTTGAGAGCAGCCTGAGCAACATAGACCCCATCTCTAAAAAAAATTAGCCAAGTGTGGTGATGTGTGTCTGTGGTGCCAGCTACTTGGAAGGCTGAGGTAGGAGGATTGCTTGAGCTCAGGAGGTTGAGGCTGCAGAGAGTGGTGATCATGCCTCTGCATTCCAGCCTTGGTGACAGAGCAAGACCCTGTCTCAAACAACAACAACAACAAAAATCAAAATCTATGCAAAATTTAAACCCAATCTTGCGCTAGTCTTGTGGGAATGAAGATTAATTTACCTAAAAATGCTCCTCTGGTTTTTGTAATTCTTTTTGTTACTTTTTAAAAATATAAATTTGGCCAGGCACGGTGGCTCACACCTGTAATATCAGCTACTCGGGAAGCTGAGGCAGGAGAATCGCTTGAACCTGGGAGGCGGAGGTTGCAGTGAGCCGAGGTCCCGCCACTGCACTCCAGCCTGGGTGACAGAGTGAGACTCTGTCTCAAAAAAAAAATAAAAAAAAAGAAATATAAATTTAAGGGGTATAGGTGAAGTTTTGTTACATAGATATATTACACAGTGTTGAAGTCTGGGCTTTTAGTGTAACCATCATCTAAATAATGCACATTGTACCCCCTGATTTCCTATCCTTCACCCACCTCCCACCCTCCTACCCTCCCAAGTCTCCAGTGTCTACTATTCCACACTCTGTGTTCATGTGTACACATTTAGCTCCCACTTATAAATGAGAACATGCAGTAAAAAATATGGAACACTTCACAAATTTGCATGTCATCTGTATCAGTCCACTTTGCATTGCTCTAAAGGAATATCTGGCCAGGTGCGGTGGCCCATGCCTGTAAACCCAGCACTTTTGAAGGCTGAGATGGGTGGATTGCTTGAGCTCAGGAGTTCAAGACCAGCCTGGGCAACATGGCAAAACCCTGTTTCTACAAAAAATACAAAAATTAGCCGGGTGGTGGCGCACGCCTATAATCCCAGCTACCCAGGAAGCTAACTAAGGTGGGAGTATCACTTGAGCCCGGGAGTCAGTTCCAAGATTGTGCCACTGCACTCCAGCCTGGGTGACAGAGTGAGATCCTGTCTCAAAAAAAAAAAAAAGGAATACCTGAGACTGGGTAATTTATAAAGAAAAGTGGTTTATTTGGCTTACGGTTCTACAGGCTGTATGAGAAGCATGGCACCAGCATCTGCTGCTGGTGAGGCCTCAGGAAGCTTACAATCATGGTGGAAGGCAAAGCGGACCTAGTGTGTCACATGGCAAGAGAGGGACCAAGCAAGAGAGAGAGAGAGGAGGTGCCAGGCTCTTTTAAACAACCAGAGAGAGAGAGAGAGGGAGAGAGAGAGAAAAAGAGAGAGGAGGTGCCAGGCTCTTTTAAACAACCAGATCTCACGTGAACTCAGAGTGAGAGCTCACTCACTACCATAAGGACAGTACCAAGCCATTCATGAGGCATCTGCTCCCATGACCCAAACATCTCCCATTAGGCCCACCTCCAACATTGGAGGTCACTTTTTTTTTTTTTTTTTTTGAGATGTAGTTTCGCTCGTTGCCCAGGCTGGAGTGCAATGGCACAATCTTGGCTCACTGCGACCTCTACCTCCCAGGTTCAAGTAGTTCTCCTGCCTCAGCCTCCCAAGTAGCTGGGATTACAGGCATGTGCCACCACGCCTGGCTCACTTTTTGTATTTTTAGTAGAGATGGGGTTTCACCATGTTGGCCAGGCTGGTCTCGAACTCCTGACCTCAGGTGATCCACCCACCTTGGTCTCCCAAAACGCTGGGATTGCAGGTGTGAGCCATCACGCCCGGCCTGAGGTCACATTTTAACACGAGATTTGGAAGGGACAAAGCATCCCAACCGGCTGGGCGCAGTGGCTCACACCTGTAATCCCAGCACTTTGGGAGGCCGAGGCAGGCAGATCACAAGGTCAGGAGATCGAGACCATCCTGGCTAACACACTGAAACCCCGTCTCTACTAAAAACACAAAAAATTAGCCAGGCGCAGTGGCGGGTGCCTGTAGTCCCAGCTACTCAGGAGGCTGAGGCAGAAGAATGGTGTGAACCCGGGAGGCGGAGTTTGCAGTGAGCCGAGATCGCGCCACTGCACTCCAGCCTGGGCGATAGAGCGAGACTCCGTCTCAAAAAAAAAAAAAAAAAAAACCATCCAAACCATCTGATCATCCTTGCGCAGGGGCCATGCTAATCTCTGTATGTTCCAATTTTAGTATATGCACTGCGGGAAGAGAGTACTCACTTTTTATTTTGATACAATTTCAAACTTACAGAAAAGTTGAATGTACAAGGAATTTCCAAATACCTTTTCCCCAGATTCACTGACGTTACCACATTATGTGCATGTGCTTGCTCTCTCTCCCTCTGCTTTTTCTCTCTGCATATAAACGCATTTCCTAAGAATAAACACATAACCAACCAAAGAATAGAGTTTCTATTATTTGTACTATTTTCACAAATAAAAAGACTGAGGAAAGGTGTGCTCTTTTCCTGTGATCCTGGGCCACAATTTCACCAGGTTCAGGATGCAAGGCCCTTTTCTGTATTCTTCGGACCTCTGTCATCTGAAAACACCGGCAAACCACCACTCCAGTGATGCTGCCATGTGTTAAGCTTCCCCTTAAGACCCCTGGCAGAGAGTAGCATATTGTGCACCAAGGTTGTGTGGGAAAAGGGGCTGAGATGAAGCCACCCCTGCAGAGCGGCAGCTTCTAGTGTACGTGTGGGTCCACAGAGGTTTCTGTGACCCTGGAAGCCTGTCCAGCTGAGCTGACCTTCACCAGGGAAGAGAATCTCCAGACAAAGGCACTTAGCTGCCTACTGGGTCCCCACCGAAAGACTGCTGAAAATATTTCTTCAGAATGCTGAGCGCTGAATACCACTCAGCACGTGCTGGAGCCAGAGGTGGTTAGACACGAGTCTGTCCTTGGAAATCCCAGGCTCAGAGCCACCATTATGCAAAGAGGACTGTTGAGGGGTTTTCTTTTACTTTTCTTTTCTTCTCTTTTTTTTAATAGTTTTTTGAGAAATGGGATCTGTGCTAAGGGCTTTGGGCAGGCCAGCTAGGAGGACGGAAGAAGTTTCCCATTCGCTTGTGGACAAGGCCTGCACCCATATAATCAACTCCAACCCACCTCCGTCATCACCAGGGTAACATCCCTGCCCAATCTCTCCTCAGGCCTTCTGCATTACCAGACCTGGTGTCTTCCCCTCCCTGGATTTGAGGGCCCTGGACTCTTTGCAGCCTCTACCTCATGCCCAACCAGGACAAGCCTTGAGCACAGGCAAAACAGATTCCACAGTCTGCATCCCATGGCAAAGAATTTCATGTCATTCCCTCCTCCACTCCTCCCTTGGTCTGGCCTTGCCTTGAGACCCAGTCCTGGCTCCACGCAAGCTCCAGGGTTAATGATGGCCTTGCCTCTGCTACTCTTCCCTTCACTCTCAGACTCCCCCACCCCCTGGGCTGTTACTTCTTAACTTTTTGATTTAGAGAAGTTAGTCTCTCTGGGCCTGTTTCCTCATCTGAAAAAATGAGATAATGACATTTACCTTAGAGGGTGGTGGTGAGGGAGAAAGAAGACCAAGTGTGTGAACGTACATGACTGACCGTGCAAGTGTTAGCCAAATCCGAATCTTCCCCATGAGAGCGGCCAGAGCTTCGCCTCTCTCAGTTTACACTTTAGAAGTGCCCTGTGCTGAAGGTTGTAAACTGCTCAGTCAGTATCGACCGCTGAGGCTGATTTCTGTTGAAAAGATTATTGCCCATTTTTATCTATCAAATTGACAAAATTACTGAAGATAGGCCACAGGGAGTAGGGGAAAGGGCCTTCTTGTACACTAGTAGTAGCGGAATGAATGGGTACAATCTTGATACCTGGTATCTTAGTCTGTTTTCTGTTGCTTATAACAGAATATCTAAAACTGAGCAATTTATAAAGAAAAGAAGTGTATTTCTTACTCTTATGGAGGCTGAGAAGTCCAAGGTCAAGGGGCTGTATCTGGTGAGAGCCTTCTTGCTGGTGGGAACTCTCTTCAGCGTCCCAAGGCAGAGCACAGCACCACATGGTGAGGGGGCTGAACGTGCTAATGTGCTAGCTCAGGTCTCTCTTCCTCTTCTTATAAAGCCACCAGCTCCCCTCCCACAGTAACCCATTAATCCACGAATTTATGAATGAAAGAACCCATCTGTGAGAAAGCAGAGCCCTCATTATCCAATCACCTCTTAAAGACCCCACTTCCCAATACTGCCACACTGGGAATTAAGTTTCAACAAGAGTTTTGGAGGGTACAAATATTCAAACCATAGCACCTATGTACAACAATTAAGAACATTCGGTGGGGTGCGGTGGCTCTCGCCTGTAATCCCAGCACCTTGGGAGGCCGAGGCAGGTGGATCGCTTGAGATCAGGAGTTCGAGATCAGCCTGGGCAACATGGTGAAACCCTATCTCTACTAAAAATACAAAAATTAGATAGGCATGGTGGCCCACATCTGTAGTCCCAGCTACTCGGAAGGCTGAGGCAGGAGAAATGCTTGAACCCGGGAGGCAGAGGTTGCAGTGAGCTGAGATCGTGCCACTGCACTCTAGCCTAGGTGACAGAGTGAGACAGTGTTACAAAAAAAAAAAGCAGTTCGAGACCAGCCTAGGCAACACAGTGAAAGCCTGTCTCTACTAAAAATACAAAAATCGGCCCAGCATGGTGGCCTGCACCTATAATCCCAGCTACTTGGAAGGCTGAGACGGGAGGATCATTTGAACCTGGGAGGCAGAGGTTGCAGTGAGCTGAGATCACATAACTGTACTCCTGTATCGGTGTACTGCTGCTCTGGCAAGACCCTGTCTCAAAAAAGAAAGTAAAATAAAAAATTCAGTATATTTACTTTATTATTATTATTTTTATGAGTCAGAGTCTCGCTTTATCACCCAGGCTGGAGTGCAGTGACGCTCACTGCAACCTCCACCTCCCAGGTTCAAGCGATTCTCCTGCCTCAGCATCCTGAGAAGCCAAGACTACAGGCACATGCCACCATGCCCAGCTAATTTTTGTATCTTTAGTAGAGATGGGTTTTTGCCATGTTAGCCAGGCTGGTCTTGAACTCCTGACCTTAGGTGATCTGCCCGCCTCGGCCTCCGAAAATGCTGGGATTACAGGTGTGAGCCACTGCGCCCAGCCAGCACATTTGTTCTAATTAAGCAGTTTCCCTTATAGGAGTCTATTAGAAATATTTACAAATGTGTACAAGGTCATATGACAAAGGCATTCACTGCAGCATTACTTGTAATGGAAAAGTATATGGAGACAATCTGAATGTCTAAAATTAGTTAAATTCTGGAGTTGTGAAACTGCCTTGCTATGGACTACCATGTGACTGTCAATAATAATGATGGAGATCATTATGTACTGATGTGGAAAGATTTTATGCTTTTAAGAAAAAACAGCAAGTTACAGTATTATTTTCAGTTATATAAAACAGTACCTGGCATACAGTAGCTAATCAATAAATATTTATTGAGCTGAAAGAGCATGAGCCCAGCCTGTTAAAAACAAATGACCCCCCAACACACACTTACAAACAAGCCCACATATTTTCATGAAAAAAAATGTTCTGGAAGGACAGTAACCACTGTCAATTGTGTTTATCCCTAGTGCATGAGCAGCTTTAACTTTCTCTGGCTCTGGTCTACACAGCCCACATTGTGTGAGGTGAGGCCGCAGTGGGCCCACACAGGCACCAGGCAGTTCACAGGTGTTGTTGCAGAGGTCTTTCGTCTGCACTCTCAGTGGGAAAGAACAGTAAAGCCCAACCACCCCAGCCACCATCCACGGTGACTTGCAGGTCATGGAGAGAAAAAAAAAAAAGGCCAAGGACAAAGATATGTAATTATTGACACTATTTTATTTATACCTAAGGAGAGACACCAAAGTATGAGCATCCAAGGGCCAGGGCATTGGGTGGACCAGACATTATGGGTGGGTGGCTTCTAAGGCTTGGAGAACCCAGGCCAGAGGCCACCCAGTATTCCCTGAGCACCTGTGGCTGAATCCTGAATGTCCTGGGTCTCTGCACTCAAAGCTTAAGGGAGAAACAAGGGGTGTCAGGCAGGGTCAGCTCTGAGGAGCAGGCGAGGTCCCAGTGGCCTGCCAGGGTGAGGTCAAAGGAGCTGAGGTCTGGGTAAGAGGACACTTCAGGTCAGTTACAGTGGCCTGAGAAGGACTGGTAGGCCTCCCTGAGGTCTTGGAAATAAGTCTAAAAGAGTGTGGCTTTAGAATATTTAGAAGGACTTTTTCAGAATTTAGGAGACATAACATAGTTTGGGGAGACTTTAGAGGAAGAGTGCTCAGCCATACATGGTGGCTCATGCCTGTAATCCCACCACTTTGGGAGGCTGAGGCGGGCGGATTACCTAAGGTCAGGAGTTTGAGACTAGCCTGGCCAACATAGTGAAACCCTGTCTCTACTAAAAATACAAAAATTGGCCGGGCGCAGTGGCTCACGCCTGTAATCCCACCAATTTGGGAGTCGAAGGTAAGTGGATCACGAGGTCAGGAGTTCGAGACCAGCCCGGCCAAGATGGTAAAACCCCATCTCAACTAAAAATACAACAAAATTAGCCAAGCACAGTGGCAGGCGCCTGTAATCCGAGCTACTCTGGAGGCTGAGGCAGAATTGCTTGAACCCGGGTGGCAGAGGTTGCGGTGAGTTGAGATTGTGCCACTGCACTCCAGCCTGGGCGACAGAGTGAGACTCCATCTCAAAAAAAAAAAAGAACAGCTTGGCTGGGCATGGTGACTCATGCCTGTAATCCCAGCACTTTGGGAAGCTGAGTGAGGGGAATGCTTGAGCCCCAGGAGTTGGGAGACCAGCCTGGGCAACATAGCGAGACTCTGCCTCTACAAAAAATTAAAAAATTAGCTGGGCATAGTGGCATAGGCCTGTAATCATAGCTACACAGGAGGCTGAGGCAGGAGGATTGCTTGACCCCAGGAGGTCGAGGCTGTAGAAAACCTGAGCAACAGAACAAGACCCAGTCTCCAAAAAAAAAAAAAAAAAAAAAAAAAAAAAGAAAGAAAAAGAACAGCTTGATGAATTTTTCCAAAGGTATACACACATGTAACCACCACCCCAATGAAGACAGAGCCTTTCCATCATTCCAGAAAGTTCTCTCATGCCTCTTTGCAGCCAATTGCCCCAACCCCCATAAGCCCCAGGCAACCACTGATCTGCTGTCCCTATAGCTTAGTTTTGTCCATTCTAGAATTTTACATAAATCCAGTTATACAGTACATACTCTTTTGTGTCTGGCTTCTTTCACTCAACATAATATTTTTAAGATTATGCATGTTGTGGCTGGGCGCGGTGGCTCAGGCCTGTAATCCCAGCACTTTGGGGAGGCCGAGGTGGGCGGATCACGAGGTCAGGAGATCGAGATCATCCTGGCTAACACGGTGAAACCCCGTCTCTACTAAAAATACAAAAAATTAGCTGGGCGTGGTGGCGGGTGCCTATAGTCCCAGCTACTCGGGAGGCTGAGGCAGGAGAATGGCGTCAACCTGGGAGGCTGGAGCTTGCAGAGCCGAGATCGCGCCATCGCACTCCAGCCTGGGCGACAGAGCCAGACTCCCGTCTCAAAAAAAAAAAAAAAAAAAAAAAAAAAAGATTATGCATGTTGTGTGTATCAATAATTTGTTCTTCTTTTAAATTACTGACTTGTCTTTAATTGTTCTGGATATACCACAATTTACTTATCCATTCTCCCGTCAACTGATATTTGTGTCCAGTTTTTGGCTACTGTGAATAAAACAGCTATGAACATTCATGTACAGCTGTTCTGTGAATATACATTTTCTTTTATCTTGGGTAAATACCACAAAATGGAACTACTGTTATGTCTGTTAGTTTTATTTTTAAAAACTGCCAATATGTTTTCTAAAGTGGTTGTCCCATTTAACACTCCCACCAGCAATGAATGAGAGTTCTAATTGTTCCATGTGTTCATCAGGACTTGGTAGTATCAGTCTTTAATTTTAGCCATTCTGGTGGGTGTGTATTTCACTGTGGCTTTAATTTGCATTTCTCAGTTGGCTATTGATATTGAGCATATTTTCATTTGTTTATTGACCCTTTTTATATCCTATTTAATAAACTATCTTTTACCTATTTACTTTTATAATTCAAAAAATTTGTTCAACACAATTTTACTGAAGTAGTTGAGGTAATTATGGTTATTTCCTTTTTACAGGTAAGGAAAATAAATCCAGAGAGACTTATCCACCTTTTCCTTTTTTTTTTTTTTTTTTGAGATGGAGTTTCGCTCTTGTTGCCCAGGCTAGAGTGCAATGGCGGGATTTTGGCTCACCACAACCTCCGCCTCCCAGGTTCAGGCAATTCTCCTGCCTCAGCCTCCTGAGTAGCTAGGATTACAGGCATGCGCCACTATGCCTGGCTAATTTTGTATTTTTAGTGGAGACGGGGTTTCTCCATGTTGGTCAGCCTGGTCTTGAACTTCTGACCTCAGGTGATCCACCCACCTCAGCCTCCCAAAGTGCTGGGATTACAGGCATGAGCCACCGCGCCCAGCGCTTATCCACCTTTTCTTGTAACAGATAACCAGCAGCTGGCCAGGTACAGTGGCTCACTCTTGTAATCCCAGCACTTTGGGAGGCTGAGGTGGGTGGATCACTTAGTAGAGATGAGGTTTCACTATGTTGGCCAGGCTAGTCTCAAACTCCTGACCTTAGGTAAGTTCAGGAGTTGAAGACCAGCCTGACTAACATGGCGAAAACACACTCTCTACTAAAAATACAAAAATTAGCCAGGCGTGGTGGCATACTCCTATAATCCCCACTACTCGGGAGGTTGAGGCGGGAGAATCGCTTGAACCCTGGAGACCGAAGTTGCAGTGAGTGAGACTGCGCCACTGCCCTTCAGTCTGGGCAACAAGAGCGAAATAGTTTCAAAAAAAAAAAAAAAAAAGAAAGGAAAACCAGAAACCTGTGGCAGCACCTCTGAGTTATGCTGAGCAACTGTCCGTACTGCAAAGGTAGGGACTGTCCTCCTCAGGCTTTGCTGAGTGACATCTACATGCTTAATGGGCTTTACTCAAGTTACCCAAGTGTTTGAGAATAAACTAGAACCATCTGATATTTAAGCTCCCTGCCCAGTAACATTTAAAAAGCAGATGTACACCTAAATTAAAGGAAAGACGTTCTATGTTCATTGATCAGAAGACTTAACATGGTTAAGATGCCAGTTTTCCCCAAAATGATCTACAGATTCATTGCAATCTACAGCAAAATCACAGCTGGATTTTTTGGTAGAAATTGACAAGCTGATTCTAAAATTCATATAGAAATTCCAGGAATCCAGAATAGCCAAAACAGTCTTGAAAAAGAAGAACAAAGTTGGAGGGCTCACACTTCCTAATTTCAAAACTTCCTATAAAACCGTGGTAATCAAGACAGTGTGGTACTGCCATAAGGATAGACATAAAGCAATAGAATAGAATTGTGAGTCCAGAAGTATACCCTTTCATTTATGATTAATTGATTTTCAACAAGAGTGTCAAGACAATTGAATGGAGAAAAAAATAGTATTTTTAACAAATGGTGTTGGGACAACTGGATATACAACTGCAAAGGAATGAAATTGGACCCCTATCTGACACCCTACATGCCACATATTTCTTTTTTTCTCTTTTTTTAAATAATCTGCATTACTTTGGAGAAACCATATATTTCTTAGAAGAAATATAGGAAGAAAATATAGGAATAATATTTGTGACCTTGGTATGGGCCAAAGCACAAGTGACAAAAGAAAAAAATAGATAAACTGGACTTTATCACAATTATAAATTTTGGTGCTTCAAAGAACACCAATAGGAAGGTGAAAAGACAATTCACAGAATGGCATAAAATATCTGCAAATCAGATATCTGATAAGGGACTGCTGTCTAGAATTTATGAAGAACTTTAACAACTCAATCATAAAATGACAAATAACCCAATTAAACAATGGGCAAAGGATCTGAATAGACATAGCTCCAAAGAAGATACAGAAATGGCCACTAGCCATCATGGAAAGGCAAATCAAAACTACAATGAGATACCACTTAACACTCATTAGGATGGCTATTATCAAAAAGATAGACAATAACAAGAGTCTGCGAGGATGTAGAGAAACTGGAACCCTCATACATTGTTAGTGGGAACGTACAGTGGTGCATCCACTTTGGAAAACAGTCATATGATGCAGCAATTTCACTCCTAGGTATATCCCACACAAAAACGTGTATATGAATATTCATAGCAGCATTATTCATAGTAGCCCAAAGTGGAAATAACCCAAATATCCATCCATTGATGGATGGATAAATAAAATTCCATACAATGGAATATTATTTGGCACTACAAAGGAATGAAGTACTGATACATGCTACAACGTGGATGAACCTTGAAAACGTTATGCCAAGTGAGAAAAGTGTCACAAAAGACACGCGTTGTATAATCCCATCTATATGCAATGTCTAGAATATGCAAATATATAGGGGAAATGAGGAGTGACTGCTAATGGATATAGGGTTTCTTTTTCGGGGGTGATGAAAATACAGTTGACTCTTGAACAACACAGGTTTGAACTGCACTGGTCCACTGATAGACAAAGTTTCTTCTGACTGTGCCACCCCAAGACAGCAAGACCAACCCGTTTTCCTCCTCCTCCTCAGCCTACTCGACGCGAAGATGACAAGGATGAAGATCTTTATGATGATCCACTTCCACTTAATGAATAGTAAACATAGTTTTTTCTTTCTTATGAGTTTCCTGATAGCATTCCTTTTCTCTAGCTTACTTTATTGTAAGAGTATAATACATATAGCAGACAAAATATGCGTTAATCAACTGTTTATGTTATCACTAAGGCTTCAGGTAAACAGAAGGCTATTAGTAGTTAAGCTCTGGGGGAGTCAAAAGTTATACATGGATTTTTAGCTGCAGGGAGGCTGGCACCCCTAACCTCCACGTTGTTCAAGATTCAATTATATTCTAAAATTTATTCTGGTGATGTTGCAGAATTCTGTGAATATACTAAAAAATACTGAATTTTACACTTTAAACAATTTCATGAATTATGAAAAAGATTGTGCAAATGTCCACTTTTATAAACCATTGAAAATTTTCTTAATTGGAAAATGATTTTATAAATAAAGTTGCATTATTGCTTTGTAGACGAAGTACTTTTATTATAAGCCTACAGAGCAGAATGCAAAATGATGCCATTTATGAATTCATGTCAGTAGTTATTTGCTGAAATTATATCAGTATAGTGCATTGATCCTGCTTCAAAGCAGGTGTAGAGAGGATTTCCAATATGATGAACAACGTGTGGACTGGAAAGCAGAAGAAAATATGCATAGAATTGGGTACAAAGTAAATGTATTTTCTTCAACATTGTGTTCTGTTCATATTGTTCTGAAATAAAAGAACAAGTTCTAAACATTAAAACAAATACACAACATCCAAGAAAAACGATACAATAAGCAAAACATGCAGAATACACACACACACACACACACACACACACACACACACACACACACACGCACACACAATCTGGCAGCTGGAGCCACATTCAGAGACAATGGTTGTTGGGGGAAGCCTCCCAGTTTCCTCCAAGGAAAGGACATTCTTGATTTGTCGTCTCCACTCCCCTGTCACCCTGGACTTAGGTGCAAAGATGGGCAGAGCAGCTGTGCACACCAAGTTGTCTCTTCTTTCAGGGGGTGCCCATGTGTGTTGGGGTAAAAGGGAAACTGGGGGAGGGGGCACTCTCACGGGTGTGGCCCAAGAGTGCTCAGCCCAAGGGCAGCCTCAGCGAACAGCACTGCCACCTTGCGGCTTGGGTTGGTCTCAGCTCTGATTAAGGGTCCAGGGACCCACAAGGGGGCTCCTTCATGTTCTTCAGAAGAAAATATTTGGCAATTCAGTAGCCTTCCTTCAAATATCATTTTTATGTTTTTTTCTTAATTTAAAAGTAATTCACATTCACTTTATAACATTTTTAAAGTAGATATAAGGAAAAATAAAATAATAAAAATTATCTGTAAATCCAACCTCCAGAGATAACCAAGATATTAGGCACTTGAGTGTATATTCTTCCAGTCTTTTTTCTGTTTTTTTTCTTTTTTTAACAAAAACAGGATTATACAGTACATACTGTTGTTTCATAAACTAAATATATTGTACGAGTATCTTTCCACTTGTTAAATACATTGTATGAGTATCTTTCACTTGTTGTTCTGCAATACCTTTTATTTTATTTTATTATTTGGAGACATGGTCTTGCTTTATTACCTAGGCTGGAGTGCAGTGGTGCAGTCTCTGGTCACTGCAGCCTTAGCCTTCTGGGCTCAAGCAATCGTCCCACCTCAGCCTCCTGAGTTAGCTGGGATTACAGACATGTACCACCACACCTGGTTAATTTTTGTATTTTTTGTAGAGACGGGGTTTCGCATGTTGCTCAGGCTGGTCTCAAACTCCTGGCCTCAAATGATCCACCCACCTCAGCCTCCCAAAATGCTGGGATTACAGGAATGAGCCACCACACCCGGCCCACAACATAATTTTTGATGGCTGTATTGTATTCCTTTCTTTGGGTGACTGGGCCATAGTTTATTTAACCAACTATTGTTGGAACACTTAAATTATACCCATTTTTTTTTCACTGAAGTAAATAATGCTGGGATGAACTTCCTTGTTGCTGAATCTTTACAGAAATCCACGGTTCTTTTCTTAGTTAAATTCCCAAGACAAAGTGGATATGAAGTTTGTAAGGTGTTTCATATAATACAGTATATTAGTTAAGACTTTCCAGAAAGGCTTAATTAGGAGGCTTTCTACCTTATTTATTTATTTTTAATTTTTTTGAGACGGGGTCTCACTTTGTGCAGTAGCGTGATCATAGCTCACTACAGCTTCAAATTCGTGGGCTCAAGTGATCCTCCTGCCTCAGCCTCCCACAGTGCTGGGAGTTTGAGGCTACAGTGAGCTATGATCGTGGCACTGCACTCCAGCCTGGTTGACAGACTGAGACGCTGTCTCTAAAAAAATTAAGATAAAATAAAATAAAAATTAAGGGCTTTCTCCTCATATGTTAGTGGAGATTAAACCAATAGAGAAAATTATAACGATTTAAAAAATACTATAAGTTCAGAAACATTTTATTCTTTTTCAAAATAATTTTTCTTTTTCTCCTCATGTTACTTTGTTTAAGATAAATTCAGAAACATTTTAAAGTGAGCTTTATTTATTTATTTATTTATTTTTTGAGACCAAGTCTCGCTCTGTTGCCCAGGCTGGAGTGCAATGGTGCAGTCTCGGCTCACTGCAACCTCCGCCTCCTGGGTTCAAGGGATTCTCCTGCCTCAGCCTCCTGAGTAGTGGGATTAATGGCGCCCACCACCATGACTGGCTAATTTTTCTGATTTTAATAGAGACGGGGTTTTACCATGTTGGTCAGGCTGGTATTAAACTCCTGACCTCGTGATCCACCCCGCCTCAGACTCCCAAACTGCTGGGATTACAGGTGTGAGGCCACTGCACTCTGCCGCTTTATTTTTATTAATCACAACTACACCTATATACTTCTCCTATTTTTTTATTTTTACGAATTTTAAAAACAGCAAATTTGAAGGAATAGTATTAACACCCCTCCACTCTCCACCAAGCTTCAACATTTTAGGCATTATACAACTTTGCTCTCTCTCTTTATAAATATATATATATATTTTGAGATGGAGTTTCTCTCTTGTTGCCCAGGCTGGAGTGCAATGGCGCAATCTCGGCTCACCACAACATCCGCCTCCTGGGTTCAAATGATTCTCCTGCCTCAGCCTCCCGAGGAGCTGGGATTTCAGGCATGCGCCACCACGCCCAGCTGATTTTGTATTTTTAGTGGAGACAGGGTTTCTCCATGTTGGTCAGACTGGTCTTGAACTCCCGACCTCAGGTGATCTGCCCACCTCGGCCTCTCAAAGTGCTGGGATTATAGGCATGAGCCACCATGCCCAGCCATGAATACTTTTTTGCTTAACCTTTTGAAAGTAAATTGCAAATGTTATGTCACTTCACCTCTGAATATATTTGCATGTATCTCCTAAAAGAGGGACATTCCCCTACATAACTACAAAATCATTATCATGCCTAAAAAGTTAACAATAATTCTCTAATATCATCTAATATTTAGTTTATATAACATTTTACCCAATTGTCCCTAATTATAGATTTTTAAAAATCAGATTCAATCCAAGCTTATGAATTGTTGTATCCTTTAAGCTGGAAGAGTCGCTTCTTTCTTTTTCTATAACATTGTCTTTTTGAAGACTCCAGGCCAGCTTTCTTACAGAATGTTCCACATTTTGGATTGAGTGAGTGTTTCTTCATGGTGTTGTTTAACTTGTTCCTCTGGCCCTCTCTGTTTTCTGTAAATTGGAAGGTTGGTGCAGAGAACCTGTATAAAATAATTCTACCGGCTGGGTGCGGTGGCTCACACCTGTTATCCCAGCACTTTGGGATGCCGAGGCGGGTGGATCACCTGGGGTCAGGAGTTCCAGACCAGTGTGGCCAACATGGTGAAACCCCGTCTCTACTAAAAATACAAAAAATTAGCCAGGCGTGGTGGCAGGCGCCTGTAATCCTAGCTACTCAGAAGGGGCAGGGGAATTGCTTGAACCTGGGAGGCGGAGGTTGCAGTGAGCCGAGATCGCACCACTGCACTCCAGCCTGGACAACAAGAGTGAAACTCTGTTTCAATTAAAAAAAAAAAAGAATTCTACCATAGTTGGTTGCATTATTGGTTCTGATTTATTCTATCCTTTCCTGTGAGGTGATTATACGTCCTCTCCTTTTGCTATGTGACTTGCGGCACTCCTTTTTAGGAGGAATACACTTCACTGTCCCATTAATGGCGGGCATGGTCACACGACTTGAGGTGGCCAATAAATGTAAGTGGAAATGACTATGCTTTTCCCTGCAGAAGGTTTAAGAACTATGGCAGACTTCTATCACTTTCCTTTTCCCTCTGCCATGAGGATTACATATTTCAAATAGAGGCTACATCTTCTGCCCAGATCCCAGAATGGAGAGGACAACACAGAGCAGAACCACCAATGACCACAGCCGACATAAAATGTGCATAAGAAATAAACCCTTCTTACTGTAAGCCACTAAGAGTTTTGGGTTATTTGTTACTACAGTGTAACTCAGAGAAAGCTAATTAAAATATAAACACATATGTCAGCAATATTATTTCTTTCATCACAGAAGAGCCTTGCTGTATCCATAGAGTTGAGAGCAGGTCTCCTTGTTACACTGTGGGTACACTAGATTCCAGAACCACTACCTACTGTGTCTCTGTATCAGCTCCTGCCTTCAAGCGGCTCAAGAAATGACTTTGGGGACCCAAGCCTGGGGCCAGTCTGTCCAGGATGACTAAAGAGGGAGTTAGATGGAGAAGGCAGGGTCTGGAGCAGTACCTGGCACATGCAGTACTCAAGGATTTGATAGATAAATGAGTAATTTGCTTGCATTCTTGTGCCAGGGTTTTTAAGAGTCAGTCCAAAATAAGGATTATGTTATGAATTTTTCAAAAAGCCTTTTTTCCTTTAAAAGACTTATTGGCCGGGTGGGGTGGCTCACGCCTGTAATCCTAACACTTTGGGAGGCTGAGGCAGGCAGATCACAAGGTCAGGAGTTCGAGACCAGTTTCGCCAACACAGTGAAACCCCATCACTACTAAAAGTACAAAAAATTAGTCAGGTGTGGTGGGGTGCACCTGTAATCCCAGCTACTTGGGAGGCTGAGGCAGGAGAATCGCATGAACCCAGGAAGCAGAGGTTGCAATGAGCCAAGATTACGCCATCGCACTCTAGCCCGGGCAACAGTGCGAGACTCCAACTCAAAAAAAAAAAAAAAAAAAAAAGACTCATTTAGGAAGACGTAAAATGAAGATTTTATTTCCTTTAAAAGACTTATTAATCCACTTAACAAATTATTTACTAATTACAAAGGGGAAAATGGTAATTTGACAGTGGAGAAATCTGGTGGCCACCCTTTTAACTAAGAGAGCAAAGTTAACATCTCTTAAATAGGACAAACCAATGTCATATGCCTTCTGATGTCATGCAATGAGAAAGGACGTATCATTTCTGTGGTATTTTGGCAAAAATGCATTACTTGAGTGTAACCATGAGCAAACATCAGACAAACTCCAACTGAGGGACCTTCTACTCAATAACAGGCCTGTACTTTTCATACACACAAATGTCAATGTCATGAAAGACAAAAGAAAGCCTGAGGAAACTGTCAACAGATTGAAGGAAACTGAAGAGACATGACAACCAAAAGCAACGTGTGATCCTAGAATGGATCCTGGGCCAGAGAAAGCAATGCCTAGAAGAGGAAAAAGAAAAGAAAAAGAGGAGGAAGAGGGTGTAGAGAAGGAGGAAGAAAAGGAGGGTGGGGAGGAGGAGAAGGGGAGAAGAGAGAGAAGTAGCAGCAGGGGGAGGGAGAGGGGACATTATTAGGATAATTGGCAAAATTTTAATCAATTATGTAGATTATAATATTATATCAATGATGTTAAGTTTCCTGGTTTTGGTGATAGTACATAAGTATTTCAGGGTAAAGAGGTGCAATGTCTATAATTTACTCTCAAATAATTCAGTAAAGAAATTTATATAAACAGGGAGTATTCTGTCTTGTGCACGTGTTCTCTTTCTCTGTGTGTATGAATGTAGAGAGACAGAATCATAAACCAAGGCTGTGCACAGTAGCTCATGCCTGTAATCCCTGCACTTTTGGAGGCCGAGGTGGTGGATCATTTGAGGTCAGGAGTTCCAGAACAGCTTGGCCAACATGGTGAAACCATGTTTCTACTCAAAATACAAAAATTAACTGGGTATGGTGGCATACACCTGTAATCTCAGCTACTTGGGAGGCTGAAGCAGGAGAATTGCTTGAACTCAGGAGAGAGAGGTTGCAGTGAGCCGAGATTGAGCCACTGCACTCCAGCCTGGGTGACAGAGTGAGACTCTGTCTTAAAAATTTTTTTTTTAAAAAAGAAACTCATAAACCTAATATAGCAAAACATTAGCAACTGGTGAATCTGGGTGAAGAGTATATAGGAGTTCATCGTACTATTGTAGCAAATTTTATGTGTGAAATTATTCTAAAACAAAAAGTTAAACAAATGGATATTCATCTAAAATGATGTCATTTCCATATTTTGGGAATTAGAAAGTCTTTATTTATGAACTGATGGGATAGTAGATGGTGGTTTTTTGTTTTGTTGGGTTTTTTGTTTTTTTTTTTGAGATGGAGTCTCGCTCTGTTGCCCAGGCTAGAGTGCAGTGGCAGGATCTCAGCTCACTGCAACCTCCGCCTCCCCAGTTCAAACGATTCTTGGTGCCTCAGCCTCCCAAGTAGCTGGGATTTCAGGCACACGCCTCCACACCCACCTAATTTTTGTATTTTTCGTAGAGACGGGGTTTCACCATGTTGCCCAGGCTGGTCTCAAATTCCTGACCTCAAGTGATCCGCCCACCTTGGCCTCCCAAAGTGCTGGGATTATAGGCATGAGCCACTGCACCCAGCCAATAGTAATTATTTTGAATGAACTTGCTTGGCAAAGTAAAAAGTTAGCCATCCCCTGTTGGCCCCTCCCCACGAAGTCTTTCATGGTGCAAGAAATCCTCAAATGTGGGAAGCAGTATTTTAGTGTGAATCCCCAACAGGATGGACTCCTGCTCTCATCCAGAATCCAGAGGCAGGACACAGCATGTCCTCAGTGATGGGCCAAGAACAACTCCGCAGAGGCCTCCTGGGGCAGGAGAGACGCATGAACACACACACCTTCTTGGGCACACATCCACAGCACACACCCTGAGAGCCCCTGGAAGGGGGAGCCCAGCCTCCCTTGGCATGTGATTGGCTGTCCAGCCTAAGATGTGGCGGATGCTCCAGAGCTGACCAGAGGCACAGAGATGACATCACTGTCTCTTTCTGGAAACAGCAATGACAGAGAAGACCACAGCGAGTGATAAAGGTAGGCTCTAATTAAGCCCTCAGCTGTGTAGGACTTGGGCCTTGATGGAAGGGGTAGGATTTAGTTAAGCCAGGGAAGAGGACGATGCTTTCCCCTTCTGGGAGTCCCTTACTATACTCAGTAGGTACTCAGAGAGTAACGATGTAGTCACTATCAATTTTAGGAAACAGGAGCAGCCAAGACTCTGAAGATCAAACCAGCCTTTGTTTCCTTTACCAATTCTTGGTGGTAATGTTTGGCTGACCCAATAGCATCCCTGGGTGTGCCGGGAGGAAGGATGAGGCTAAGCGCTGCTCCTCCTTCACCGTGAAGGCTAGTATAACTTCTGTTCCAGGAGGACCCAGGAGGATGCAGGACCTTTAATGGCAGGTGAGATTAAGAAATGGGGTTCCAGCTAGGCACGGTGGCTCACGCCTGTAATCCTAGCACTTTGGGGGACTGAGGTGGGCTGATTACTTGAGGCCAGGAGTTTGAGACCAGCCTATCCAACATGGTGAAACCTCGTCTCTACTAAAAATACAAAAAAATTTAGCTGGGCATGGTGGCACCCGCCTGTAATTCCAGCTACTTGGGAGGCTGAGGCATGAGAATTGCTTGAACCCAGCAGACAGAGGTTGCAGTGAGCCTAGATGGTACCACTGCACTCCAGCCTGGGTGTCAGAGCAAGACTGTCTCAAAAACAACAACAACAACAACAACAACAAAAACAAACACAGAAGAAAAAGAAAAAGAAATGGGATTCCAATTCCTTCAGCAGAAGCAGCAGGAACTGGAATTTGTTCTGTAGACTGTGGCAGGCCTGCTGGACAGAAGAGGGTCCTGCCAAGTCTCTGGACTCCACTGACCGGTTTGGGAGCACACATGAGGATGCAGGCTGGGATTGGGGCCTGGAGCAGGGCAGCAGCTGGAGTCTCAACATGCGGACACCAGCAGGACACACAAACTCCATCAGGCCAACATCAGGAGAAGATTCTGTGCTGGGCTGGGCCAGTGATCCCAGATTCAAGGGAGGTGGGGGCCCCACTCAGGAGGGAAGGTCTGAGTCAGGGACCATGGAGACAAAAAAGCTGGAGGGCAGCATGTGGGGGCATGTTAAGGATGGAGATTAGTGAGCATGGGGAATAGAGAGACAGAAATAACCACAGAATTGTGAAGTCTAAGAAATGAAGGCGAGGATAGCTATGAGAGTTGAATTCTAGGGTTACAGCTGAAGGAGCTGAGTGATCCTGGGCTGATGGTGGATGGTAGTTACTTTTAATGAAGTTGCTCAGGCATCAGGATTGGGGCTGCTGATGAAGGGACTGGGGTGTTGGAAGGAGATTGGGTCATACGGAAAACAGGGTGATGGTGAGGCAGAGGAGAAAGCAGGACAAAGACCAAGGTCTATGGCTAAAGCCAGAGGCCCGAAAAAAGAGGGCCCAAACACGTGTAGGGCAACCCCAGATCCTTGCAGAGGGACATTCATCAGGTGGGATGTCAGAGCCAGGAGAGTTAATACTTATCCCCAAAGTAGAGGTTTGGGGAGCAGAGAGGAGGGCAGAGGCGGGTGGGGTGCAGACATGGGGAGGGGTCGCGCTCCTCTGTGGGTTTGGAGGGCTGCCTGTCCGGCGTTGCCTGCCGGAGGGCTTGGCGCTCAGCCACAGTTGCATCATCACTGAATGCACTGAGCCTGTGACCCTGTTTTTACACACACCTGTACCCAGTTCAAGCGGCATCGGGAGAGTCGTCTTAAAACTTCAATCTAAAACGTTCTTTTCCATCTGATCGGGCAGAGCGCAGGCCCCACGGGCCATCGTGGGAGGCACATACAGTCCGCACCGCGCGGACGCCCAGACCGCGGCCTCCGCTCCGCCCCGCCGCCTAGTCCAAGCGGGCAGCCAGTCTCCGCCCTGGAGGCGGCGGCAGAACCGGCTGCGCGAGGTCGGCGCTGGGGCGGCCCGCACATTCCCGCAGGCTCTGCGCCAAGGGGCGGTGCTGCGTACGAGCAGAGCCGAGACCTTGACCCTGACCCGGGCCCTGGGGAGGGAGCGTCCGGCCAGGGAACCTGCCCCTGCGCGCTCCTCGGCTCTTACGCGGCGGCTAGAGGCGTGAGGCCAGAGCCATGATCAGAGGGCGCGCAGTGAGGACGCCCCCAGCCCGCCTCGGAGCTTGGGGCCGCGCTGGGGTCAAGCGGAGCGCACAGAGGCCTGTTATCTGCCAGGGTTAGGAGCCACCGTGGCCAGGTGCCCTGGAGCGGGCCCTGGACCTGCGCGATCGCTGCGGGACAGAAGAGCGGAGACGCGGTTCACTGCCTGGCGCCTACAACCAGCGTGAACTAAGTGGCGAGTGGAAGAGAATAATTTGCCAAAAGAGGGAGGATTTGCTGGTCTACTGGCGGAACTGGAACCCACTATACCCACATCCCCATTCACGAGCGCCCACCTTGAAGGCGTAGAGACGCCATGGTTGTCATAGAAACACTCGTGCTGGGCCGCTGACATGAGCCTGCGGCGTGGAGTGAGGCAAGTTTTTACCAGAATGTGTGCACACATGTAACACGACGTAAAATGTCTGTCACTTATTACGCACATACCCTGAACCTAGGACTGTGCAAGGCACATTACAGAAGTAACTCAGATGTGGGTGTTTTGCAACCTACCTTTCCTCCCTAAGGAATCCTCGAAGCAGGGTTTACCAATGCTCTCACTCCTCCCAAAAGAAGCCACCTACACAGGTGGATTTTATTGAAGGCTTATAGAGGAGACCAAGGAAAGAGGAGATTTTTCATACATACAACAATAGGGTGAAGCATTTCTTTCCATTAAACATCTCTCCCTTGTTTTCCTTTTTGGCTGTTTCTCATGGACCCTTTCTCTGAGCAGTCTCTGAATCTTGCCCAGCCCCAAGTGCTCCCTCCAGGATCTTCCTCTGGACTCTCCATCTCTCCCCTTTCCCTAAGAAGATCACCCGGGTCCTGCCTCTCCAAGACTGCTCGTGGGAATACACACTGTCACCCACACAAGACAGCCTGCTCAACGAGTACTTGCATCGCCAGCATCCACAGTCTGCAGAGGTCAGCAACAGTTTTTATTTCTGAAACACATAGCTTTTCTCATCCAACTTGCCCAGAAATCCAGGAGGTAGATATCATTCCCATTTTACAGACGAGGAAACAGAAGCCTGGGGAGGTTAAGTAACTCCTCCAGTATCACATGTAATAAGTGACAGAACCAGCACTCAAACCCAGGCAGTCAAGCTCTTTCCCCTCCCCAAGGAGTCTCACAGAGCAGCAGTTTAAAGAACCATGTCTGGGTGATATCTTCTGGTGCTTCTATGAGCATTCATGGAATTGTTGCATATGTGATGTGCAGGTCATGAGAATGTGTGATGTTCTTGCATCATTTTATGCTGCTTTGGACTTGAAGCAGCATTTCTCAGATACAGAAATTATGTTGGCAAGTTAAGTTGGATGACAACTACCTACACCCGTATTTTCTTTTATTAATCAAATACAAATGTAGCTGAGGTATATGGCCTCATTCGATCCTCACAACCCCTTATGAGACTGAAACAGTGGTAAAGTGATTCCTTCTTCCACATTGTGAATTTCCTTCACGGAAAATTCTGAACATACAGTACTTCAAAACGTAAATCTTTTCCACAGTGTCACAGATTTCAAACTAATTATAAATACTACATATAAATGCTGTGTAAATATGACATATACACACACACACACTATAAATGCTATATATTTATATGGTAACATCTAAATGCCAGGTACTGCTCTAAACACTTTCCATAGTAACTCATTTAATAATTACAATCACCCTATGAAGTAGAAACTTATTTTTTTCAAAGATATTTTTAAATTATTAATTTTTATGGCTGCATAGGTGTATCTATTTAGGGGTACATAAGATATTTTGATACAGGCATATAATGCATAATAATCACATCAGGAACTGGGCGCGGTGGCTCATGCCTGTAATCTCAGTACTTTGGGAGGCCGAGGCAGGCAGATCACGAGGTCAAGAGATCGAGACCATCCTGGCCAACATGATGAAACCCCATCTCTACTAAAAATACAAAAATTAGCTGGGCATGGTGGCGTGTGCCTGTAGTCCCAGCTACTCAGGAGGCTGAGGCAGGAGAATCCCTTGAACCTGGGAGGCAGAGGTTGCAGTGAGCCAAGATCGTGCCACTGCACTCCAGCCTGGTGACAGATCGAGACTGTGTCTCAAAAAAAAATAAAAATAAAAATGACATTAGGGTAAGTGTGTTATCTACCACCTCGAGCATTTATCATTTCTTTGTGTTAAAAACATTCCAATTATACTCTTTTAGCTTTTTATTTTTTAAATGGAGTTTCGCTATGTTGCCCAGGCTGAAGTACAGTGGCACAATCTCGGCTCACTGCAACCTCTGTCTCCCAGGTTCAAGCAATTCTCCTGCCTCAGCCTCCCAAGTAGCTGGGATTATAGGCATGTGCCACCACACCGGGCTAATTTTTGTATTTTTGTATTTTTTTTTTTTTTTGAGATGGAGTCTCGCTCTGTTGCCCAGGCTGGAGTGCAGTGGCATGACCTTGGCTCACTGCAACCTCCACCTCCCAGGTTCAAGCAATTCTCCTGCCTCAGCCTCCTGAGTAGCTGGGACTACAGGCGCACGCCACCACACCCAGATAATTTTTTTTGTATTTTTAGTAGAGACGGGGTTTCACCATGTTAGCCAGGATAGTCTCGATCTCCTGACCTCCTGTTCCGCCCATCTCAGCCTCCCAAAGTGCTAGGATTACAGGCGTGAGCCATCGCGCCCGGCCTAATTTTTGTATTTTTTGTAGAGATGGGGTTTCACCATGTTGGCCAGGCTGGTCTCGAACTCCTGACCTCAGGTGATCCACCCGCCTCAGTCTCCCAAAGTGCCAGGATTACAGGCGTGAGCCACTGCACCCGGCCTCTTTTAGCTGTTTTTAAATGTACAATAAATTATTGTTGACTGTAGTTACCCTGTTGTACTATCAAATGCTAGATCTTATCCATTCTATCCAAGTATATTGTTATACTCATTAACCCCACTACCCTCCCCACTATCCTTCCTAACCTCTCATACCATGGTTCTACTCTCTAGCTCCATGAGTTGTTCAATTGTTTTAATTTTTAGCTCCCACAAATGAGAACATGCAAAGTATGTGTTTTTGTGCCTGGCTTATAAAGGTATTTTAAGCAAGACCTTATCTCTACAACAAAATGAAAAAATTAGCTGGGTGTGGTGACACATACCTGTAGTCCCAGCTACTCTCAGGAGGCTGAGGATTGCTTGAGCCTAGGAGGTAGAGGCTGCAGTGAGCCGTGATTGCACCACTGCATTCCTGCCTGGGCAACACAGCAAGATTCTGCAATAAATAAACAAACAAACAAATAAATAAATAAAGGTACTTTAAATTTGAGGCTTAATTTACATACAGTAAAATGTACAAATTTTAAAGTACAATTCTGAGTTTTGACAAATGTATGTACTCATGTAACCATCACCTCAGTCAAGATATAGAACATTTCCATCACTCCAGAAAGTTCCCTGTGCCCTTCTCAGTCTGTACTATGCAAAGAAGCCACTGTTCTGATTTCTAATACGACAGATTAGCTTAGTGTTTTCAGACCTTCATACAGAATTGTAGAGCGGTTTATTTAATCCAGTGCTTTTGAGATTCGTTTATGCTGTGGTATGTATCAGTAGTTTGTTCCTCTTATGCTTAGTATTCCATCATATGAATACATCACAATGTATTATGACTTTGTTTATAGACGTTTGGTTGTTTGTAGTCTTTGGCTATTATGAATAAACCTGCTATGAACATTTGTGGGCAAGTGTTTCGGTGGACATAGATTTTAATTTCTTTCTCTTTTTCTCTCTCTCTCTCTGGTCTCAAACTCCTGGGCTCAAGCGATTCTCCCGCCTCGGCCTCCCAAAGTGTTGGGATTACAGGCGTGAGCCACCGCACCCAGCCTAACTTTATAAGAAACTACCAAATAGTTTTCTAAAGGGATTGTCAATTTGGTATTATTACACAAAAAAAGGAAACTGAGACCCAGCCACGTTAATTGCCTCAGAATAATTAGCCCAGGCATATGTGTTCTGGAGTCTCTCTAGCTGGGGCTGGGAAAAGAAAAGGTTGTGAGGTGGGAGTGAAGAGATGCTAACCCAGGAGAGCCAGCCTCGAACCGTCCCGTCCTGTGTGCTGGGGGAAGAGCCCCGGCTACAGGCAGGAGACAGGGCTGTCCCGGCTGAGCTCTGGGGTCCTGCCCGGGGTTTGGCCGGCAACATCACCCCTCGCCAGCTTCTCGGGCCCCCTGGCTTCCCATTGCTCACCCAAACTCCCCCACTGGGAAGCAGCAGGCGGGCGGGCACAGCACTAAGCTGCCTTCACACCGAGGCGCCCGGGAAACGCGAGGCCAGAACAGAAAGCCCAGGAGGCGTCTCTGCAGATCCTGCAGGGGGAGCCGCTCCCACCGCCAGAGTCTGGCGGAGGGCGGGTTTCCACCGCTTGGAGGGGAGGCGGGAGCCCTCTTGGCCTTGGCGGGAGTGTTCCAGAGCCTGCTCCCCTGACACGGCCCCCGCGGTATACACAGCGCGCTGGACTGTTAGGTCTTTTCTCTTTTCTCCAGTAAGTGATTTTGTTGGAAGCTGCTTACATGGAGAAGTGAGATCACATCGAATAGTAAAATCAAACATCTCAGCTGAATATTCCTTTGGTTGCAAAGACACCAACTCACAGATTCTAACAATAGAGTTGTCGACATTGAAACAGGAGTGGAGGAAATAGATTTTAAATGTTAGCATTTTGTACAGACAGCCATTTGAACCACGAAATACCATCTAACATACAATGGGTAATTGAATAGAAAGCAAACACATTTTCATCAATAAGATGGAAACTGCCTTTTGTTAAAAACCTGAAGATACACTCTGAGGAGGCCCAATTTACCTGGCAACTATGTGCCTTTTTCTGTCTGACTTGTCCTTGTACGTTAATATTTTGATTTACTTGAAAGGAAAAGTTGTAAATATATGAGAAGTGTTCATGATGAAATGGAATGAAAGTCTGAGAGGCCTAATCAACCAGTTGTCTGTTCTCAGATATTCACTGGGTTCCCAGGTTAAACACTGCAGAGGTTCCAAAAGAGGTGAGGAGGGCCAGCGATTGATTTCACTGGGAAGACAAGACTTAGGCACAAGAAGCAATTCGCTATACAGGATGGTCTGTACCATGTAGTTATGTCACTAGTCATGAAGATTCAAATTTTCCTAAGACCACCATCATCCTACCAAAGTAGAATTAAAAGTTCACTGAGCCAGGCACAGTGGCTCATGCCTGTAATCCCAGCATTTTGGGAGGCCAAGGTGGGCGGATCACGAGGTCAAGAGATTGATACCATGCTGGCCAACATGGTAAAACCCCATCTCTACTAAAAATACAAAAATTAGCTGGACGCGGTGGCGCATGCCTGTAATCCCAGCTACTCAGGAGGCTGAGGCAGGAGAATGGCTTGAACCCAGGAGGCGGAGGCTGCAGTAAGCCAAGATTGCACCACTGCACTCCAGCCTGGTGACAAGAGTGAGACTCCGTCTCAAAAAAAGTTCACTGAAATCATGTGAATTTTTTTACATTTAACTTTTTGCATAGGCAATATGTTAACAAGATTCAACCGTCAGGAGATATTTAAAACATTTTCACAAAGTCTCCTTCCTATGGCATCTCTTAGCCACCCTTCCCATCTGTTTTCCTTCTACTTTATTAATCTGATCCCAGAGTTGCTTTATGCACCAACACACACAGAGGAATAAGCTCCCCTCCTTTTTACACAAAATATAGCATACTCTTCACACTGCTCTATATCTTGCTTTTTCCCCTTAATATATTTTAAAGATCTTTTCATTTATTTATTTTTAAAATTTATTTATTTAGAGACAAGGTCTCACTCTGTTGCCCAGGCTGGAGTGCAGTGGCGCAATCATAGCTCACCTAAACCTTAAACTCCTAGACTCCAGAGATCCTCTCACCTCATCCTCCTGAGTAGCTGAGACTACAGGAATGTGCCACCACGTCCAGCTATTTTTATTTTTTCGTAGAGATGGGGCTCACTTTGTTGCCCAGGCTGGTCTCAAACTCCTGGCTTCAAGCAGTCTTCTCACCTCGGCCTCCCAAAGTGCTGAGATTATAGGTGTTAGCCACCTTGCCCAGCTGAAAATCTTTATATATCAGCTTATAGAGAGCTTTCTCATTAAAAAATATTTTTCAAATAATACGATATTATCTCACTGTATGAATGTACCATAACTTAATTTTCCAGTCCTTTTATCTGTGGGCATTTAGGTTGTTTCCAATGTTTTGCCATTACAAACAATAATGCAGTGAATAACCTATTATACATGTCATTTTACACATAAGTTTATCTTTAAGGTAAATTTCTAAAGTGGAGTCTGCTGGATGGAAGGAAGTGCATTTGCAGTTTTGAGAGATATTGTCAAATTGCTCTCTGCAGAGGCTGTCCCACATCACCCTCCTATGCCCTCACCTACAGAGTGTGTTATCAAAGGTTTGGATGCTTGCCAAACTTTTCGTGAAGAAGGTTTTCAGTGTAGTTTTAATTTACATATATCCTACGAATGAGATTGAACATCTTTTCATATATTTAAAGCTCATTGTGTTTTTTTCCTGTGTATAAACTCTTATACCCTTTGCTCATTTTTTATTGGGTTATTAGTTTCGGGTTTTTATTTCTAAGAATTCCCATGTAACAGAGAAATTACGTTTTTTGTTTGTTTTGAGACAGAGTCTCACTCTGTCGCCCAGGTTGGAGTGCAGTGGTGTGATCTTGGCTCACTGCAACCTCTGCCTCCCAGGTTCAAGTGATTCTCCTGCCTCAGCCTCCCAAGCAGCTGGGACTGCAGGCATGCACCACCACACCTGGCTAATTTTTGTATTTTTAGTAGGGATGGGGTTTCACCATATTAGCCAGGCTGGTCTCGAACTCCTCACCTTGCGCCTGCCTCAGCCTCCCAAAGTGCTGGGATACAGGCGTGAGCCACCGTGCCCGGTCGAAAAATCAAGTTTTTGTGATGCAAGTTGCAAATATTTCCCCAAATTTTACATTGTCTTTTGACTTTGCTTACAGCATTTTTTCCATGCAGGAGAGTTTTTCTTTTTAGTGTGTTAAAATATGTCCATCTTTTCTTTTTGTGGCTGCTGGAGTTTATTCATAGACAGAAAGGTCTCCCCATTTTAAGGGAGGAGTTAAAAGAGCAGAACGTATTTTTTATATATATGTGTGTATGTATATATATTTTATATATATGTATATATACACACATATACATACACATATACACATATACACATATACATATATACACATGTATATACACATATACATATATACACATGTATATATACATATACATATATACCCACACACATATATATGTGTGTATATTTTTTTGAGATGGAGTCTTGCTCTGTCGCCCAGGCTGGAGTGCAGTGGCATCATCTCGGCTCACTGCAACCTCTGCCTTCCGGGTTCAAGCAATTCTCCTGCCTCAGCCTCCCAAGTAGCTGGGATTACAGGTACCTGCCACCACACCTGGCTAATTTTTGTATTTTTAGTAGAGACAGGGTTTCACCATGTTGGCCAGGCTGGTTTTGAACTCCTGACCTCAGGTGATCCGCCGGCCTCAGCCTCCCAAAGTGCTGGGATTACAGGCATGACCCACCACCCGGACAACATATTGTATTTGTATAAGACTATTTGAAACAAAGCATCTATTGCATAATGTTGATCCCTACTCCTGCCCTACATTAGTACATACAATAAATAAGCATATGATATGATAATATGATCCAAGGTGACTTTTTTTTTGAGACAGGGTCTTATTCCATCACTCAGGCTGCAGTGCAGTGGCACGATCATGGCTTACTGCAGCCTTGACCTTCCCAGGCTCAGGTGATCCTCCTGCCTCAGCCTCCCAAGTAGGTGGAGTAGCTGGGACTATAGGCACATGCCACCACGCCTGGCTAATTTTTTTGTTTTTTGTAGAGATGGGGTTTTGCCATGTTGCCCAGGTTGGTCTCAAACTCCTGTGCCCAAAGCAATCCACCCACCTCAGCCTCCCAAAGTGTTGAGATTACAGGCGTGAGCCGGCTGTTACTGCCTTTTTAAACAAATGTCCATCTTCAGATTTTTAAAAGATACTTTTCTTTATTATGTTCTAATTAACATAAAAAACAAATTTAATTCCTTAGCCAATCACCAGATTCAGAGCTGGATAGCAGATTCAGAACTAAAGACATGGGGACACCTCAATTTAGAGGACATTTTTATCAAATGCACTCATTTCACATCAAAGAAAGAAGTATCCATGAAGAGGATTGATGCCTATAACATATGCAAAACTTAAATATTTTAGAACAGAAGACTCAAAGCACAATCATAACAAACTGGATCCACTTAAATCCATCAAAAATCAATACATATCTAGCAGGTGCCTGCTGTGGTAAGGCACTGCTAGGCACTGTGGGGAATATAAAGAAATGAGAGGTCATTGTTCATGTTTACCCTTTCACATTTTACATAAATTTGCACATAATCATATGACATATGACAATGTGGGTGGTAAGCCATCTTTCCAAGGTTTTCAGCTAGCAAGTCATCTAGAAACTTTGGCCAGGAGAGAGCAAATACGAACAACCATGATTTTTGTTAATAAAATTGAGAGGAAAACAGTTGATACTTACTAATTTTAAGAGCAATAAGGAGACCAGACTACAGCCTCCTTCATATGGAATCTTCTTGCCCTGTCTTTGCATCTGCCCTCCAATTCAGTGAATGGATGTGGAGATTGGTCATCTTGCCACTCCTTCATCCTCCTATGCCTCCTCATTCCATCTTGGGGGTACACTTTTATGACTACTGCCTTTGGTGCAATAAATGATTACACACTCTTTTATTATCCCTATTTTATGCAATGTGTTTTAAGTGTTATTTAATGTGTTTAGGGGCAGTAATGGTAGGTAAGTTGGATGGTGAAGTCTGGAATACAACTCAACATTTTGCATTCATCCTTATAGAAATAATTTCCATGTATAAGTTGTAGCAGAGGACAGATGCGGTGGCTCACACCTGTAAAGCCAGCACTTTGGGAGGCCGAGGCGGGCAGATCACCTGAGGTCAGGAGTTCAAGACCAGCCTGGCCAACATGGTGAAACCCCATCTCTACTAAAAATACAAAAAATTAGCCAGACGCAGTGGCACGTGTCTGTGGTCCCAGCTGCTCAGAAGGCTGAGGCAGGAGAATTGCTTGAACCTGGGAGACGGAAGCTGCGGTGAGCCGAGATTGTGCCCACTGCACTCCAGCGTGGGCAACAGAGTGAGACTTCAACTCAAAAAAAAAAAAAAAAAAAGTTGTAGCAGGGATGGACAGCTGTTTACCAGACTTCATGCTTTTCTTTGTAGTGTAGTGTATTGCTAGGAAAAAGCTTCCCATCCAGGAACTGTCTTTCCAGCTCCCTTTGTGTCTAGGTGGGACCAAGTGATAAATTCACATGATGGAATATGAACAGAAGTAATTGTGTACCACTTGCAGGCCAGTTTAAAGAAATATGGGCCAGGCATGGTGGCTCACACCTGTAAACCCAGCATTTTGGGAGGCCGAGGCGGGCGGATCACAAGGTCAGGAGTTTGAGACCAGCCTAGCCAATATGGTGAAACCCCGTCTTTACTAAAAATACGAAAATTAGCCTGGCGTGCTGGCGGGCGCCTGTAGTCCCAGCTACTTGGGAAGCTGAGGCAGGAGAATCACTTGAACCCAGAAGGCAGAGGTTGCAGTGAGCCGAGATCATGCCACTGCACTCCAGCCTCGGCAACAGAGCGAAACTCCATCTCAAAAAAAAAAAAAAAAGGAACACGTGTACCTTCTCCAAGTTCTCTCTTTGCTGATTGGCTGCATGGATGACAAAGCCAAGGGGATAATGAAGCTGTGTGATGAGGAATCACCTAGGCATGAATCACCAGAGGAGGAAAGGCACAAGGCACCCAACTGACCAGTAATATTAGCACTGGATTGTTACGGGTAGTAGAAATAAGCTTGTTATATTAAACCTGTTATATGTTGGGATTATGTGTTACAATAGCTAGTGTTACCCACGAAAGAAAACAAAAAATCCTTTCATTGTAAATTGCATTTTCTTGGAATTTAACTTCAATATGGAATGTAGACCAGTCCTCTATTTCAGGTATGTAAATTTGGGCCTTCTGTCCTTATGGAGATTATAATTTAGTTAACTATCTTTAGCCATGTCGTCTTTTATCATTTAGTGACCTGAAGGAATTACAGAAAGTCTAAAATGAAATTTGCATAAAAACATAAGGTAGAAAGGGATAGTATTATGTTCATTGAGAAAATCAGGATCCAAGAGTATCCAGGCTGGAATGATGGGTCAAATAAGAACACAAACTTTACGCATGCCTTAAAATGATATGCTTTCACAGATAGTGGTTTGAAACAGTAATGATTCAGGCATTATTTTGAATTGGAAGATACAACATTTGATGAGTAATGTGGGGGGAGGGAGGGAATTATTTCCACCATGTGCAAGGAAAAAGTGATTCTGTGCTCCACAAGATGAAGGTTATTCTCCAGTTACCTGAATAAAGTATGTGGGTCAGAATGTTTTAAATTGTCATTTATATATTTGAACGGGTTAATTTCTCCAGACATAGGGACTTCTGTCTCCTTGGAAGACTCTGTGTATTTGAAAAACGACAATAAAATACATACGAGAAAGACTGGATTCAAAAGATGAATACTTATAATCTTTTTATATACTAAAACTCACATTTATAGAAAAATGGTGACTCATTCTATGGCAGACTCAGTCTAGGTGATGACCTCAGTGATGAAATAGAATATTGTTCTGAGTGAAATTACCATAACAATAATAAATCATATTTATAGGGCTCCAGAGCAGTGCTGTACAATAGAAATGTAATGTGAGTCACATATATAATTTTAAATTTCTAGTAATCACATTTAAAAAGTAAAAAGGAACAGGTGAAATTAATTTTAGTAATGTATTTTATTTAACCCAGTATATCCAAAATATTATCGTTTCAACATGTATTCAATACAGAAAAACTGAGAAATTTTACATTTTTTCCCACTAAGTATTCAAAATCCAGTGTATTTTTTACACTTATAAAACATCTCAATTCAGACTAGCCATATTCCAAGTTCAATAGCTACATGTGGCTAATGGCTGCTGTATCAGACAGTATAGTTCTAAAGTATTCATCCACAGTTTCATTTAATCTTTGCAGAAATATTTTGCCATAGGTATTATTATTCACATTTTGCACATAATGTTTTCACAGAAATAAGGTAAAGACACACAGCCATAATGGAAGAGCAAGGGCTTGAATGCAACTTAGCTGATAACCAGTGTATCCCAAGGTTACGTGGATTGATGTCAAGTCCAACAGAACTAGCTTCAAATCCTGGCTCTGACATTTATTAGCTGTGTTACCTCAGGCACATTTTTTCACTCTGACACATGGTTTCATTATGGAAAATGTTGATAAGAACCCTAATTGGCCAGGTGAGTGGTTCTCATCTGTAATCCCAGGGACTCAGAAGGCTGAAGCAGGAGAATCACTTGTGCCCAGGAGTTTGAGACCGGCCTGGGCAACATAGCAAGACCTGTCTCTACAATAATTTTTAAAAAAAGGCTGGGCGCGGTGGCTCACGCCTGTAATCCCAGCACTTTGGGAGGCTGAGATGGGCGGATCACCTGAGGTCAGGAGTTGGAGACCAGCCTGGCCAACATGGTGAAACCCCGTCTCTACTAAAAATTTAAAAATTAGCCAGGTGTGATGGTGCACGCCTGTAATTCCAGCTTTTTGTGAGGCTGAGACAGGAGAATTGCTTGAACCCAGAAGGTAGAGGTTGCAGTGAGCCGAGATCACACCACTTCACTCCAGCCTGGGTGACAGAGTAAGACTCTGTCTCAGAAAAAAACCCCAAAAAACAAAAAACTTAGCTGGACATGATGACATACACGTGTAGTCCCAGTTACTCGGGAGGCTGAGGTGGGAGGATGATTTGAGCCCAGGAGTTTGAGACCACATGAGCTATCATCACACCACTGCATTCCAGCTTGGGTGACAAAGACCCTGTCTCTAAAAAAGAAAAAAGAGAAAGAAAAAAAAAAACCTCATAGATTACTGTGGGGTTAAATGGGATCATGCATGCAAAGTGCTCAGCACAGCACCTGCCCCTGGCCAGTGCTCCATGGAAGTGAATGGTTATTGCCTTGGCAACAAGACCCTTTCCACCTTCACACGCTGCTTCCCAGGAGCTTCTCCTTCCATTCCACAAGGGTTCTTTCTCACTATGTGCCAAGAACCAATGTACTGGATGATGGTTCTGACTCCAAGTCTAGCCTCATCCTTCGCATCACAACTGCTTTGTTGTCGTTTTTGGTTAACATATTATCATCTGCCAGTAGCATACAGTATGATGACTTGACAAACTACAAAGCAAACCCAGAAATACGTGAAATCAAACCATACAGTCCAATTCTGAGACCCCCTCCAAAGAGCCCCCTCATGACTTTGGGGATTGCAGGAATACGTGCCACTCAGTGCTCAAACTGCCTGCATCCCTTCTTCAAGCCCTCTGCAATCTGCAAAAGTGAAGGGGGGGAAGCAGTATCCCTAAGCAGGGGCTGGGCATCCTCACAGCCTCCTCCCTGCCTGGCACTGGTATCCTCACCTATCTGCAGTGTGGTAACACGACCCTTTTCCCCCAGAGCCAGGTTGCCCGCAAGCCAGTAATGAAGTGTTTTTTACAACCCTGAAAGAAATACTTTAATAAAGCATGTGGTTGGATTATCGAACCCACAAGTATAAAAATATTGTGGTGCTCACACATGCAATGCATGCTGGTTAGTGACTGCCTCCAAAAATGTTTTACTTGCCATCACAGAGAAACGGGTGTATTGAAGATAAATGTTTTTAAAAGACCGACACGTAATGAAGTGAATCATAGTTCATTCACTCCTTCAACAAATACTGAACCCTACCACGGACCAGATGAGCAGCATGCTGGAGATGCAGTGGTAGGCAAGAAAGACAGAACTGCTGCCTTTGATGACCTCACCTTATAGAGGGGGATATAGACATGCATCAAATATAGAATTACAAGCTGTGGTAAGAGCTACAGAGGAGAAGGACACAGTGATCAGGGAGCAAACCACAGAGATCTGATCTGGTCTGCAGGTCAAAGGAGGCTGCCCAGAAAAGTAATGACTGAGCTGAGGGGGCACAGACTATGTAATAGAATGGGGGTCTAGGGGAGAAGCCTCAGCATAGGGGAGTGTCCAGGGATTATGCTAGGGTCACCTCGGGGTCTGGGATAACAGAACTCTCTATCAAAAACGTCTTTTATCCAGAGGCCCACTGGGTGTCTTGGGAAATGGCAGAGAGGATGCTGGGATTCAAGGTTGGGCTCTGGGGGCCAGGCGCAGTGGCTCACGCCTGTAATCCCAGCATTTTGGGAGGCCAAGGCGGGTGGATCACCTGAGGTCAGGAGTTCGAGACCAGCCTGGCCAACATGGTGAAACCCCGTCTCTACTGGAAATACAAAAATTAGCCAGGTGTGGTAGCACACCCCTGAAGTCCCAGCTACTTGTGAGGCTGAGGCAGGAGAATCACTTCAACCTGGGATGTGGAAGTTCCAGTGAGCCGAGATCACACCACTGCACTCCAGCCTGGGTGACAGAGCGAGACTCCGTCTCAAAAAAAAGGTTGGGATCCTAAATAAGAAAGGTAGAAAAATGCTGCCCCAAACTTCTGAGAGAAGCAAGCTGGGTGGGCAGGAACTCGTCCTAAGGTAGGAGAGCGCTGGGCCACATGAACACCATCTGGAAGAACTAGCTGGTGTCTCGTTCACAAGCCAGACTATTCAAGGTCTGGCCCAGACTCAAGAGAGCTGGGCTTGATGTCAGTGGAGAAACCATCCCTCCTCTCACATTAGCAGAGATGGCAGCTGCAGTTGAATGTCATGAGGGCCAGGGTAGTGGCCCTGTCTCTTTTTGGCAGCCAGAGGCCACAGCAGTAAGAAAAGGGCAGCTATACAGAGTGGTAGACATGGCAGAGGCAGGAGCAGCAAGGGCAGTTTCAGGTGAGAGTGAGTTGGCAGAGTCAGCCCAGTGGAGAGGAGGGGCCCATGGTGCTGAGGTCTCATCCAGTGACTTCAATGTGCTGGGGGCTTGTCTTAGAGATCATGGAATTGTTTTATGTCATTAACTGAGCTGCAGGTTGTCAGATTACGAAAACATGATGTTACAGCTTAGAAAATGTCCAGAATTGGGAGGTAACATGGCTCATAGTCCCTTGAAACAAGTGGCAGTCTCCTGGGGGACATTTTCAACAGCACTGAGTCAGAAGTGCAGTAACACCTGTGACATTCAGGATTTTTTTTTTTTTTTTTTTTTTTGAGACGGAGTCTCACTCTGTCGCCCAGGCTGGAGTGCAGTGGCACGATCTCAGCTCACTGCAAGCTCCGCCTCCCGGGTTCACGCCATTCTCCTGCCTCAGCCTCCCGAGTAGCTGGGACTACAGGCACCCACCACCACACCTGGCTAATTTTTTGTATTTTTAGTAGAGACAGGGTTTCACTGTGTTAGCCAGGATGGTCTCGATCTCCTGACCTCGTGATCCGTCCGCCTTGGCCTCCGAAAGTGCTGGGATTACAGGTATGAGCCATGGCGCCCGGCCGACATTCAGGATTTAAATAAGACCTGGGACATCAAAAACCTCATTTACTGCAGGCTCTGGCTCTTTGGGTGCCTACCACTTCCTCCCTTTTTGTAGATCCATTCATGATTGAGAAATATATCAAAAGAGGCAAGTAGAAAACCTTTATATTTATAGTTATTTAAGGAAATGCAAATACAAACCCACTAAAACATTTTTTATTTTTATTTTTTTAGAGACAAGGTCTTGCTCTGTCATCCAGGCTGGAGTGCAATGGTGCAATCATAGCTCACTGCAGCCTCTAACTGCTGGGCTCAAGCCATCCTCCCTTCTCAGCCTTCTGAGTAGCCAGGACTACAGGTACATGCCATCATCACACCTGGCTAATTTTTTAATTTCTTTTTGTAGAGAGAAGGGCTCACTATGTTGCCCAGGCTGGTCTTGAACTCCTGGACTCAAGCGATCCTCTTACCTTGCCTCCCAAAGTGCTGAGATTACAGGCATGAGCCACCTTGCACAGCCACTAAAATACTTTAAAACAAAATTGAAAAACCGCTTTTATTGTTCAACAGTTTAACATTCTTAGTATTTGCAATAGCTAAGCTGAAGGCACAAAGGTAAGCACAAGTAGATATATGGTGTCTATCTGCTTGAAATTCATTGGCTAATTGGGAGCCAGCCATTAATTAAATAATTGCCCTAGGAGATATATAATCACACATAGACAGGAGGGCCATAAAGATGAGGTGCATCTCACTGTGAAAGCTTATAGCAGGCCAACTTATCTACTGGAGGGGGTCAAGGAGGCTCCCCTGAGGAAGTGACAACTGGGAAGGTCTGAAGGATGACAGACAATGCAAGGTAGAAGCAGAGGAGGGAAAGCATTTAAGAGGGAACAGCATGTGCAGAGGCTCTGTGGTAGGCAGGGAAGCAGGTGTAACTGACACCTGAAAAGCCTATGTGGCTAGAAAAAGTGTTCTAGGAAGTGGAGGTGAGAAAGGAAGACAGGGTGGACCATGCAGGGTCTATGGCTGTGCTGAGTATGTAGGTCTTTATTCTATGGCTGTGCTGAGTATATGGGTCCTTATCCTAAGAGTGGAGGGAAGTTACTGAAGGATGTAAGCGGACTGGGCTGGAATGGGACAATGGAGATTTGGGAAGCTAGAAAGGAGGCTATTGCAATAGTTCAGACACAAGACAGTATTAGTCATCACCTTAATTGTGGCACTAGAGAAGGAGTAGAGATACAGAGAAGTGGAGGCATCTTGAAGATAAAACAAGATTGACGACTGACTGGAACATGGGGAGAAAAAGGGGTTAAGCAAGATTCTCAGGTGTGTGGCCTGTGAAACTGCATGAATAGAGGTCTTGTTCATCAAGACAGGAATAGAGTACAAAAGCAAGGCTTAGGCTGTGTGCAGTGGCTTATGCCTATAATCCCAGCACTTTGGGAGGCCAAGGCGGGTGGATCATGAGGTCAGGAGGTCGAGACCATCCTGGCCAACATGGTGAAACCCCGTCTCTACTAAAATACAAAAATTAGCCAGGTGTGGTGGCGCATGCCTGTAGTCCCAGCTACTCGGGAGGCTGAAGCAGGGGAATTGTTTGAACCCAGGAGGTGGAGGATGCAGTGAGCCGAGATCGCGAGCTACTGTACTCCAGCCTGGTGACAGAGCAAGACTCCATCTCAAAAAAAAAAAAAAAAAAAAAAGAATCTGGCACCTCCTCCTCTCTCCCTTGCTCCCTCTCACCATGTGACATGCATGTTCCCCCTCCACCTTCTACTCTGAGTAAAACCTTCCTGAGACCTCACCAGAAGCTGAGCAGATTCTGGTGCCACGCTTGTAGAGCCTGCAGAACTGTGACCCAAATAAACCTCCTTTCTTTGTAAATTACCCAGTCTTGGGTATTCCTTTATAAGCAATGCAAAACAGACTAACACACTTCTTCTTCTCCTCATTTTTCTTGGGGAGAAAAGCATGAATTTTGAACATGTCTAATTGTAAGTACCTTTGAGATGCCTAAATGGTGGTGCTAATTAGCATCTGGATACATGACTCTGTAACACAGAGGGTGAGCCCTGGGCTAGGGATCTGTATTTGAGATCACTGGCATGTATGGTACTTGAAACATCAGGCATTTGGCCAGGCATGGTGGCTCACACTTGTAATTCCAACACTTTCTGGGAAGCTGAGGCAGGAGGATTGGTTGAAGCCAGGAGTTTGACACCAGCCTGGGAAACCAAGCAAGACCCCATTTCTTAAAAAAAAAAAAAGAATGAAAGAAAAAGAAAATTAGCCGGGTGTGGTGATGCACACCTGTGGTCCCAATACTCAGGAGGCCGAGGAAGGACTGCTTGAGGCCAGGAGTTGGAGACTCCAGTGAGCTATTATTGTACCTCTGCACTCCAGCCTGGGTGGCAAAGTGAGACCCCATCTCTAAAAAAGAGGAGAAAAAGGAAACATTGGGCAAGAATGAGAGAGTTGGGAGAAAACATACTGTAAGAGAAAGAGGACTGGGGAAGACCTTGACAAGCCTCAACATTCAGTGACTGAATGTAGGAAATAACCCACAAAAGAGCCAGAAGAGTAGGCAGGGGTCAGAGAGTGAAGAGTAACACTAGCAGAGAGGGCTGTCCAGAAAGCTAAGGGAGGAGGGTGTTTCAGCAGAGAGAGTGTGATTCTCAGGACTGAATCCTGCTGGGAGGTCAAGAAAGAAGCCTGAGGATACCCACTGAATCCAGTGAGACAGAGGTCACTGATGACTGTGGGGAAAATGATTCTATGGAGTGACGGGGGCTGGAGTGGAGGAATGAATAGGAAGTTCAGAAATGGAGACAATGCATATAAATAACTCTTTCTAGAAGCTTGGGTATTCTATTAGCACACGCAATTGTGACGTTGAAACCACTGTATTAGGATTCACTGAGGCGAATAACATATTTCAATGGAAAAAGAGCCACTGTTTGTCAATAGGAAACCCACATACTAAAATAGAATTGGTGCCCCTCTTGATGAATCTGTGGAGCACTGATTCTGGTAGGACTGCTACATATATCCTGACATCAACAAGACAAATGTTCTTCATTTTGGGTACATACCTGCAAACCTAAACAGCATGATCTATATGTACAGATGGTTTGGTAGACAATTACTGATACAGGGGCATTTTTAGCCCTTTGATCTACTAGGAACAGGAAGTGGCAGAAAAAGAGACTAATCACAGTGATGGATGTTTCATCAGAACTACTGACTCACAGCATGTATCAGCACCCAGTTCTTGCCACCATTGCCTGTGGCACTTCAAACAGCACGGAGACCACTTCAAAACCACAAGGCAAGGTCTGCTATGGAAACACAAGCATGCGGCATTCATTCAATCCACAAATGAGAACTACGAGGGAATGGGAGATTTGGGGACTGAAACACACTAAAACCCACACTTTGATACCTGATCATGTTAGAAGCAGGAGATTATTTCATTCTGGATCTCAATACTTGAGACATTTTGACCCATTTGAAGACACTGACAACATTCACTTGGTACTGAATAGTCATCAGCACACTTCTTTTATCTGTGTGCATATACCAAAAATCTCCTAACCCTAATTGCTGATATCTGAAGTTTCGGTTTCGGCGGCAGGCACCCCTCCTTTTATTTTATCCTTTTTACCTAGAAAGCAGATCCTGAAAAGTTGAAATACATGTCAGCAGAATAGAGAGTGTTTGAAACTTTCAAATTGGTGTTCATTAAGGCAAGTATCTCACTGGTACATCATATTGACAGCAGCAATGCCTTGCACTAAGAGCGTTGGTACTTAAAAACGGCTTTGGGCATGCTTGAAACATATGTACTCATAGGCTGAGCATATATTAAAGGGAAGGGTTTTCAGAGACAGTTATTTGACAGTGACAGCTATCTATATTCATACATCAGGTATTTGCTTCTCCCTATCTGTAAGCTCCTCTTTGGGTTTAAGAAACACACCAGGGGTGGCTCACACATGTGATCTCAACTTTGGGAGGCCGAGGTGGGAGGATACTTGAACCCAGGAGTTCGAGACCCACCCAAGCAACATAGCAAGACCTTTTCTCTACAAAAAAAAATTTTTTTTGAGCAAAGGCCTTCTCACTGTCGCCCAGGCTGGAGTACAATGGTGATCTTGGCTCACTGGAACCTCCATTTCCCAGGTTCAAACAATCCTCCCACCTGAGTCTCCTGAGTAGCTAGCTGGGACCACATATTCCAGCCAACATGTCTGAATATATATATATATATATATATATATATATATTTTTTTTTTTTTTTTTTTTTTTTTGGTAGAGACCAGGTTTTGCCATATTTCCTAGGCCGGTCTCGAACTCCTGGACTCAAGTGATCCACCTGCCTCAGCCTCCCGAAGTGCTGGGATTACAGGCATGAGCCACCGTGCCTGGCCCAAAATTAAATAATAATAATAATAATAATAATAAGCCAGGCATGGTGGCATGTACCTGTGATCCCAGCTACTTGGGAGGATGAGGTGGGAGGACTGCTTGAGCCTAAGAGGTCAGGGATACAGTGAGTCGAGACTGTGTCACTGCACTCCAGCCTGGGTGACAGAGTGGGACCCAGTTTGTTTTAGTCAGGGTTCTCCAGAGAAACAGGACAAATGGGATATATACATAACATAGAAAGATTTATCCTAAAGAGAAGCCCCAAGATCTGTAGTTGGCAAGCTGGGGACCCAGGAGTATCAAAGGTATAGCTCCAGTTGGAGTCCAAAAGCCTGAGAAGCAGGAGAGGCAACAGTGTAAATTCTAGTCTGAAAGCTGGCAGGCTTTAGACCTATAAGAGCTTATGTTTCAGTTCAAGTCTGAGGCAGGAAAAGACCAGGATCCCACTCAAGGCAGTCAGGCTGAAGGAGTTATCCCTTTACTTTGGAAGGAAGGTTAGCATTTTGGTTTTATTGAGGCTCTAAACTGATTCAATGAGATTCACTCACATTAGGAAAGGCAATCTGCTTTACTCAGTCTACTCATTCAAATGTTAGTCTCTTCCCAAAGCATTCTCACAGACACACCCAGAATAATGTTTGGCCAAATATTTGGGCATCTCGTGGCCCAGCCAAGTGGACATGCAAAATTAACCATTACAAAAGTAGAGCACAGGAAGACCTGCTGCTGCACCTAAAACCAACAGTCACTCATTCTACCTGCTAGTTCACAAGATTACATCCAACAATAGTGCTAGTAAGTACTTTATACAAATGGCTGCAATTTATAGAGTATGACATGCATTATCCCAATCTAAGTCTCCAAACCCCGTTCTACACATCCAGAAACCAAGGCTGCAAGAAGTGAAGCAATTTACCCAGTGTCATACAGACAAGTCATGAACTGTGAATCTGAACCCAAGTCTGCCTGGTTTCCCACTCTCTGCTGTTAACCACTATGCCAAGCACCCCGAGGAGATTATGTCTTTACAAGGATAGAGGAGGAGGTGTTCTATTATGTGGTACACAGCTAAACTGAATAATATTTACAGGGATTCCAAGCATCAAAATCTTCTTATGCATAGTTTGAAAAAAATTTAAAATAGTAGATAAGTGAGAAAGGATTTTTTTTTAGCGCAAACCAAAAATGGTCAATGTTTATTACAATTTAAAACTTGAGGCTGGGTGCAGTGGCTCACGCCTGTAATCCCAGCACTTTGGGAAGCCAAGGAAGGCAGATCACCTGAGGTCGGGAATTCGAGACCAGCTTGACAAACATGGAGAAACACGTCTTTACTAAAAATACAAAATTAGCCAGGAGTGGTGGCACATGCCTCTAATCCCAGCTACTCGGGAGGCTGAGGCAGGAGAATCGCTTGAACCCGGGAGGTGGAGGTTGCGGTGAGCGGAGATCACGCCATTGCACTCCAGCCTGGGCAACAAGAGTGAAACTCCGTCTCAAAACAACAACAAAAACAAACTTCAGGAAGTTGATTCTCCATTTCTATTTATTTATTATTATTATTTTTTGAGATACGGTCATGCTCTGTCACCCAGGCTGGAGTGCAGTGGCACGATCATGGCTCCCTGCAGCCTCGACCTCCCGGGCTGAAGAAATCCTCCCGCCTCAGCCTCCTGAGTTGCTAGGACTACAGATGCCCGCCACCACTCCCTGCTAATTTTTGTATTTTTTGCAGAGATGGGGCTTTGCCGTGTCTCTACAAAAAAATGAGACTTCTGGGGCCCAAGAAATCCACCCGCCTCGGCCTCTCAAAGTGCTGGGATTACAGGCGTTAGCCACCATGCCCTCCTGGTTCTACATTTCTGAAGTCAACAAATAATAGCATGTGGATTGTAAAAGCTGCGGTGCTTAATATTAAAGCAAGAGAAAAACAAAACTTTTTTTTTTTATTAAGATAATGTCTTGCTTTGTCGCCCAGGCTGGGGTGCGGTGGTGCGATCTCGGCTCACTGCAACCTCCGCCTCCCGGGTTCAAGCGATTCTCCTGCCCCAGGCTCCTGAGTAGCTGGGATTACAGGCGCCCACCACCAGGCCCGGCTAATTTTTGTATTTTTAGTAGAGATGGGTTTTCACCATTTTGGCCAGGCTAGTCTCGAACTCCTGACCTCAGGTGATCGCCCGCCTCAGCCTCCCAAAGCGCTAGGATTACAGGCGTGAGGCACCGCGCCCGGCCAAAAACCGTAACTTTTGGGAAAAAGAAAAAATACATTCAAAGGAGTACACATAAAATATATGCACAGTTCGAAGAGTAGTACAATAAAGGTATTGTATTACTTTAGGTAGAGGTAAAGGTACCCCCTCTACCTGGGCGGGAAGGCTGCCTAGGGGTTGGCGCCCAAGCACCTGGGGACCGGCTTCCTCCAGCGAGGCGCTGCTCAGTACCCGCTCTGATTGAGCCTCTCCGCAGGCTGGTCTCGAACTCCTGCCCTCAGGCGATCCTCCCTGGAGCCTCTCCTGGAAACAAGCAGTTTCCAGCGCCGGCGATGGCGGTCCGCCCACCGTCCCCTTTGTCTCTGCCAGTCCTGGGGATGTGGCTCCCCTCAGCAGGCACCACGTTTTCCATGGCTGAGGCAAGGACAGGCCTCCTGCCAGGAAACCCAACATGGTGAGAAACCTGGTTGACTCTTGGGCCTCACTTTTCTCACCACGGAACCCGAGCGCCGGGGGAAGAGTTTCCCTGTGCCTGGTTCCTGGTGTAGGGCTCAGTGGCGGAGAGGGGCGTGGCTGATGTGGAAGCCCGATTTTCCTACTGTCTGCTCGGAAGATTTTCACTTCTCCGTGCCCCCGGCATCTGTCTCATCCTCAAATCTGAGCTCTAGGTTGTCGCTGGGGAAAATCTCGGGTCCGCATATTTGTTTTTGGCTTTCTGGGAGGCGGGGAAGTCAAGCCGCCATTTTAAAACAGGAAGTTCCCTTTCTCCCTGAATCATCTCGGCTCAGCCAGAAGTTAGAAGATGGAGGCGGCACTGGCTCACGACGAATCCCAGCGATGTGGGATGCCCAGGCGGGAGGATCGCCTGAGGGCAGGAGTTCGAGACCAGCCTCGGCAACATGGAAAGACCCCCCCGCCCCGCCCCCTCCTTTCTCCCCCGTCTCTACAAAAAATACAAAAATTAGTCGGATGGTGTCGCGCGTCTGTAATCCCAGCTACTCAGGAGGCTGAGGTGGGAGGATTGCTTGAGCCCAGAAGTTCGAGACTAGCCCGAACAACATAGCGAGACCTCACCTCTACAAAAACAATTTTTTTTTTGGAGACAAGGTCTCACTCTGTCACCCAGGCTTTCGCCTAGGCTGGAGTGCACTGGCATGATCTTGGCTCACTGCTCCCTCCGCCTTGAGGGCTCAAATAATCTTCCCTCCTCCTGAGTGGCTGGGACCACAGGTGTGGGCAGCCACGCCTGGCTAATTTTTTGGTTTTGGGTTGTTGTTGTTGGGATTTTTTTCTTTTTTCTTTTTTTTTTTTTTTTTTTTGAGTAGAGACGAAGTTTCACCGGGTTGTCCAGGCTGGTCTTTGTAGTCCTGGACTCAAGCGATCCGCTAGCTTTGGCCTCCCAGAGTGCAAGGATTACAGGTGTGAACCACGGTGCTCAGCAAATTTTTGTATTTTTAGTAGAGACGGGGTTGCACCATGTTGGCCAGGCTGGTCTCGAACTCCTGACCTCAGGCGATCCGCCCGCCTCAGCCTCCGAAAGTGCTGGGATTATAGGCGTGAGTCACCGAGCCCGGCCGAAAAACATAACGTTTGGGGAAAGAAAAACATTCAAAGGAGTACACATAAAATATACCCACAGTTAGAAGAGTAATACAATAAATGCTCCAGTACCCACCCCCTCCGTCTACCTGGGGGTAAGGCTGCCTAGGGGTTGGCGCCCAAGCATCTGGGGACTGGCCTCCTCCAGTTCGGTGCTGCTGAGTACCCGCTCTGATTGGCTACAGAGCAGTTTCCAGGGCCGGGGATGGTGGTCCGCCCACCGTCCCCTTTGTCTCTGCCAGTCCTGGGGATGTGCCTCCCCTCAGCAGGCACCACGTTTTCCATGGCTGAGGCAAGGACAGGCCTCCTACCAGGAAACCCAATATGGTGGGAAAGCTGGCTGACACTTGGGCCTCACTTTTCCCACTACGGAACCCGCGCGCAGAGGGAAGTTTCCCCGCGCCTGCTGCAGAGCCCAGTGGTGGGGAGGGGCTTGGCAGATGTGAAAGCCCAGTTTTCCTACCGCCTGCTCGGAAGATTTTCACTTCTCCGTGGTCCCAGGATCTGTCTCATCCTCAAATCTGAGCTTCGGATTCTCGCTGAGGAAAATCTCCGGGCTGCATATTTGTTTTTGGCTTTCTGGGGGGCGGGGAAGTCAAGCCGCCATTTTAAAACCGGAAGTCCTCCTTCTCCCTCAATCATCTTCTGGCTCAGCCAGAAGTTAGAAGACGGAGGCGCCCACTGAGTTCATGCCTGGAATCCCAGCGATGTGGGATGCCCAGGCGGGAGGATCGCCTAAGGGCAGAAGTTCGAGACCAGCCTCCACCCCCCCACCTCACACCCCATCTCTACAAAAAATACAAAAATTAGTCAGACGGTGGCGCGCGTCTGTAATCCCAGCTACTCGGGAGGTTGAGATGGGAGTATAGCTTGAGCCCAGGAGTTCGAGACCAGCCCGAACAACATAGCGAGAACTCACCTCTACAAAAACAATTTTTTTTTTTTTTTAGACGGAGTCTCGCTCTGTCGCCCAGGCTGGAGCGCAGTGGCGCGATCTCGGCTCACTTCAAGCTCTGCCTGCCGGGTTCACGCCATTCTCCTGCCTCAGTCTCCCGAGTAGCTGGGAGTACAGGTGCCCGCCACCGCGCCCAGCTAATTTTTTATATTTTTAGTAGAGACGAGTTTTCACCGTGTTAGCCAGGATGGTCTCGATCTCCTGACCTTGTGATCTGCCCGCCTCGGCCTCCCAAAGTGCTGGGATTGCACGTGTGAGCCACCGCGCCCGGCCAACAATTTTTTTTTGTAGACGAGGTCACACTGTCACCCAGGCTGGAATGCAGTGACATGATCTCAGCTCACTGCACTCTCCGCCTTGCGGGCCCAAATAATCCTCCCTCCTCCCGAGTAGCTGGGACCACAGGTGTGGGCAGCCACACCTGGCTAATTTTTAGTTTTGGGTTGTTGTTGGGATTTTTTTTTTTAATTTAATTTTTTTTTTTTTTTTTTTGGTAGAGACGGGGTTTCGCCATGTTGCCCAAGCTGGTCTTTGTAGTCCTGGACTCAAACAATCCGCTAGCCTTGGCCTCCCAAAGTAAAAGTGCAAGGATTACAGGCGTGAGCCATGGTGCCCAGCGAATTTTTGTATTTTTAGTAGAGACGGGGTTGCACCAGGTTGGCCAGACTGGTCTCCAACTCCTGTCCTCAAGTGATCTGCCCGCCTCAGCCTCCCAAAGTGCTGGGATTATAGGCGTGAGTCACCGTGCCCGGCCGAAAACCTAACTTTTGGGGAAAAAAAAAAAAAATTCAAGGAGTACACATAAAATAAACGCACAGTTCGAACAGTAATACAATAAATGCTCCGGTACCCACCCCCTCCGTCTACCTGGGGGGAAGGCCTCCTAGCGCTTGGCGCCCAAGCACCTCCTCCAGTTCGGTGCTGCTGAGTACCTGCTCTGATTGGCTACAGAGCAGTTTCCAGGGCTGGGGATGGTGGTCCGCCCACCGTCCCCTTTGTCTCTGCTAGTCCTGGGGATGTGGCTCCCCTCAGCAGGCACCACGTTTTCCATGGCTGAGGCAAGGACGCGCCTCCTGCCAGGAAACCCAACATGGTGGGAAACTTGGTTGACACTTGGGCCTCACTTTTCTCACCACGGAATCCGCGCGCGGAGGGAAAGTTTCCCCGCGCTTGGTGTGGGGCTCAGTGATGGGGAGGGGCGTGGCGGATGTGAAAACCCGATTTTCTTATCGCCTGCTCGGAAGATTTTCACTTCTCCGTGCCCCCGGGATCTGTCTCATCCTCAAATCTGAGCTCCAGATTGTTGCTGGGGAAAATCTCGGGGCTGCATATTTGTTTTTGGCTTCCTGGGGGGGCGGGGAAGTCAAGCCGCCATTTTAAAACCGGAAGTCCCTTTTTTCCCTGAATCTTCATCTGGCTCAGCCACAAATTAGAAGATGGAGGCGCCCACGGGGTTCGTACCTGGAATCCCAGCGATGTGGGAGGCCTAGGCGGGAGGATCACCTGAGGGCAGGAGTTCGAGACCAGCGTGGTCAACGTGGAGAGACCCCTGTCTCCACAAAAATTAACCAGATGGTGGCGTGCGTCTGTAATCCCAACTACTCGGGTGGCTTAGATGGGAGTATCGCTTAAGCCCAGGAGGTCGAGGCTGCAGTGAGCCGTGATTGCGCCACTGCACTCTAGTCTGGGTGGCAGATAGGGACCCTGTCTCACCAGAAAAAGAAAAAAAAAAGTATGTGAGAACATTTAGTTGGAGACCAGTCTGGCCAACCTGGTGCAACCCCGTCTTTACTAAACATGTGTTTATCTACAGGAAACAATAAAAATGGCAAAGCTGGTTTAAGAGCTCATGTGAGTCTTTTAGAAACTTGTCTTTCCCAAAGCGGATTCAGAGGAACTCCACACTTGTGAAAGAGAGATTACCTGGTCAAACAAGTTGGGAAGAAGAACAGTGTATGTTCTGTTGTCTACACCTCTCACGCAAATATAGGAGACACATTAACGTATTAGGAAAAAGAAACATTCTGCAGTCATCTTTTAAATGTTGTGTAACTCTGGATTTCCCTAACATATTTGACCACCAAAAGTTTTCACGAGACCTGTCACCAGAATGCAACTTGTATTGTTCCTCTGGGGAAATGCTAGCACCTGCCTGGCTCAAGGTAGGCACTCACTAATGACCCTGGCAATGCATGAATGGTTTTCTGACCAGTGATGCTCGTGACAGCACACTCTGAATGGTAAAGTATCTCTACACCCCTGAGAAAAGTTGTGGCTCCAGAGGGAAAAGGAATGAGGACAAAGCCATAGCACTGTAGTCAAAGAGAGGGGCAGAGGGGGAAAACCAACACAAGATTGGCAAATTTGCTTTGTGGGTACAAGGAGGCATCATCCTAATGTTTGCAACATTATCCTAATGTTTCAGGTGGTGCTTTCCAGGAGGAAAGGAATGCCTTCAATTATGAAAAGTAAAGCATAAGATCTTGTTATTTCACTTGTGTTTTAACCAGCAAGAGTCTCATTAACAATTATTAAATTAACAATTATTTAAAAAATGTTACTGTTCCAATAGCAGTTTAAGAATACAAGCTACTGAGCAAAATGTGTAAACACATTGTGAAGCTGCTTCCTAACCTGCTGGACATGGCCAGGGAACATAGACACAAGTAACATTTTCATCACAAACACCTACACTTAGCAAGATTAGAGCAAGGACAAAAATGATACTGTCAGGCCAGGTGCGGTGGCTCACGCCTGTAATCCCAGCACTTTGGGAGGCTGAGGTGGGCGGCTCATGAGATCAGGAGACCAAGACCATCCTGGCTAACACGGTGAAACCCCGCCTCTACTAAAAAAATACAAAACATTAGCTGGGCATGGTGGCAAACACCTGTAGTCCCAGCTACTCATTAGGCTGAGGCAGGAGCATCGCTTGAACCCGGGAGGTGGAGGTTGCACCACTGAACTCCAGCCTGGGCGACAGAGCGAGACTCCATCTCAAAAAAAAAAAAAAAAAAAAGATACTGTCAGGGCTAGGCGCAGTGGCTTATGTCTGTAATCCCAGCACTTTAGGAGGCCAAGGCAGGCAGATCCACTTGAGGCCAGGGGTTCAAGACCAGCCTGGCCAACATGGTGAAACCCTATCTCTACTAAAAATACAAAAATTAGCTGGACGTGGTGATGCACGCCTGTAATCCCAGCCACTTGGGAGGCTGAGGCACAAGAATCTCTTGAACCTGGGAGGCAGAGGTTGCAGTGAGCTGAGATCGTGCCACCACACTCCAGCTTGAGCAACAGAGCAAGACCCTGTCTCAAAAAAAAAAAAAAAAAAGATACTAGCGGTCCAGAGAGGTGGCTCACCTATAATCCCAGTGCTCTGGGAGGCCGAGGCACGTGGATTGTTTCAGTCCAGGAGTTCGAGACCAGCTTGGGTAACATAGCAGACTATGCCTCTACAAAAAATACAAAAATTAGCCTGGTATGGTGGTGCATGCCTGTGGTCCCAGCTACTTGGGAGGCTGTGGGAGGATTGCTTGAGCCTGGGAGATTGAGGCTGCAGTGAGTGGTGATTGTGCCGCTGCACTCCAGCCTGGGCTGTTAACAGAGCAAGATCCTATCTCAAAAACAAACACAAAAAAATAAAAATGATACTGTCCAGTTCCTGTGAGACTTACAGCCTAAGATGATACACCACCAGAGAGCCAAACAGAAAAAGTCAAGTTTTGAGAAAAGTGGACATCCATTTTAGGACAAAATACTATCCATTGCAATAATCAGTTAATGTTCTCTATGTAATAAAGTCTTATATGAGTGTATAGATTAAGACAGCAGTATTTTCCCCAGAGTGTCACAATGCTAACTGAAGAATCCAACAGCAACAATAGTAAGTAATAATAAAGTCAGATTGGCTGGGCATAGTGGCTCACGCCAGTAATCCCAACACTTTGTGTCTGAGGTGGGAGGAATGCTTGAGGCCAGGAGTTCAAGACCGGCCTGGGTAACACAGTGAGACACCCCCACTTCTACAAAACAATTTTTAAAAATTAGCCAAGTGTGAGCCAGGCACGATGGCTCACGCCTGTAATCGCAGCACTTTGGGAGGCCGAGGGGGGTGGATCATGAGGTCAGGAGATGGAGAACATCCTGGCCAACATGGTGAAACCCTGTCTCTACTAAACATACAAAAATTAGCTGGGCGTGGTAGCGTGTGCCTGTAATCCCAGCTACTTGGGAGGCTCAAGCAGGAGAATTGCTTGAATCAGGGAGTCAGAGGTTGCAGTGAGCCAAGATCACACCACTGCACTCCAGCCTGGTGACAGAGCAAGACTCCGTCTCAAAAAAAAAAAAGAAAGAAAAAAAAAATAGCTATGATCATATCACTGTACTCCAGCCCAGGTGACAAAGAGACCCTGTCTCAAAAAAAAAAAAAAAAAAAGCTAGATATGTATTCCATGAGCTCCTTTGAATTTGATGCTTATTTGTGATTTCCCCTTGCATCATGATAAATCCACTACCCATGGCCATTACTCTTGACTTTGTGAAGTGTGGAATTAGGAGCCTAGACTGTAGGCTCCCGTGAACCCTCATATGTCTCAGCAGAGACCAGATAAAAATGCTTAGCAGCAGAAACACAAGTGTCAGGGGCCCTCAGCACCCTGAATGCCATCCAGGGATTCTGAGACCACAGGTTAAGGAATCCTGGTCTACCAATGGCATGTTCTGCAGAAATAGAAAAGATCATCTTAAAATTCATATGGAATCTAAGAGGACTCCAAATAGTAAAAAAAACAATCTGAGAGAGAAGAACAAAGCTAGAGGCCTCACGCTTCTGGATTTCAAAACATGACAAAGCTACAGTAAACAAAATAGTATGGTGCTGGCATAAAGATAGTCATATAGACCAATGGAACAAAATAGGGAGCCCACACATATATGGTCAAATGGTCTTCAGCAAAGATGCCAAGACTACACAATGGGGAAAGGGCAGTCTTTTCAACAAATGGTGCTGAGAAACAACATTCACATGTAAAAGAATGTAGATGGACTCTTACCTTATGTCATATACAAAAATTAACTCAAAATGGATTAAAGACCTAAACATAAGGGTTTAAACTATAAAACTACAAGAAGAAAACATAGGAGGAAGGCTTCATGACATTGGAAAGGGCACTGGTTTCTTAGATGTAACACCAAAAGCACAGGCCACAAAAGTAAAAATGAGACTACATCAAACTTAAAAACCTCTGCACAGCAAAAGAAACAGTAGTGTGAAGCGGCAACCTATGGAATGGGAGAAAATACTTGCAAAGCATATATCTGATAATGGGTTAATACCCAGAATATATGAAGAATTTCTACAATTCAGTAGCAAACAAACAAAAAACCCTGATTAAAAAGTGGGCAAAGGTCTTGAATGGACATTTCTCCAAAGAAAATATACAAATGGTCTACAAGCCTATAAAAGGCTAATCAGGGAAATGCAAATCATAAACCACAGTGAATTATCATCTCACATCCATTAGGATGGCCACTATAAAAAACAAAACAAAACCGAAAAACAGTGTTAGTCAGGGACCGTGGCACATGCCTGTAGTTCCAGCTACTCAGGAGGCTGAGGCAGGAGGATGGCTTGAGCCCAGGAATGTGAGTCAAGCCTGGGCAACCTAGGGAAACCCCGTCACAAACAAGTATTGATGAGGATGTAGAGAAATTGAAAACCTTGCACACTGTTGGTAGGATTGTAAATAGTGCATCTACTATGGAAAACACTATGGAGGTTCCTCAAAAACTTAAAAATAGAGCTACCATATGATCCAATAATCCCACTTCTGGGAATATAGCCAAAAGACTTGAAATAAAGATCTCAAAGAAATATTTGCATGCCCACATTCATTGCCACATTATTCACAATAACCAAGATGTGAAAACAACCTAATGTCCATTGTTGGATGAAAGAAAGAAAATGTGGTGTAATAATGAAATATTATTCAGCCTTAGAAAGAAGGAAATTCAGGTACATATTACAACATGGATGAACCTTAAGGACATTATGCTAAGCAAAATAAGCCAGTCAAAAAGGACAAATACTGTATGATTCCACTTATATGAGGTATCTAAAGTAATCATAGAAACAGAAAGCAGAGTGGTAGTTGCCAGGGGATGGTGGGGAGGGAGGGGAGATGGGGAATTGTTCAATGGGAATAGAGTTTCAGTCATGCAAAATGAAAAGGTTATGGAGCTTTACTGTACAGCAGTGTGTGTGTGTAGTTAATACTGTGCTGTACATTTTAAAATTGTTAAGAGGGTAAATTGATGTTACATGTTTTTTATCACAATTAAAACAAAAACAAAACTATGGTCTAGAAACATCCTTTCTTTCTTTGCCGCATCTACTGTGTGAATGAAGACCATTTTCAGCAATCAGACTATCGACATTCCAGAAAATGTCGACATTACTCTGAAAGGACACACAGTTATCGTGAAAGGCCCCAGAGGAACCCTGTGGAGGAACTTCAATCACATCAATGTAGAACTCAATCTTCTTGGAAAGAAAAAAAAAAGAGGCTCCTGGTTGACAAATGGTGCAGTAACAGAAAGGAACTGGTTACCATTTGGACTATTTGTAGTCACGTACAGAACATGATCAAGGGTGTGACACTGGGCTTCTGTTACAAGATGAGGTCTGTGTATGTTCACTTCCCCATCAACATCATTATCCAGGAGAATGGTTCTCTTGTTGAAATCCGAAATTTCTTGGGTGAAAAATACATCCGCAGGGTTCAGATGAGACCAGGTGTTGCTTGTTCAGTATCTCAAGCCCAGAAAGATGGATTAATCCTTGAAGGAAATGACATTGAGCTTGTTTCAAATTCAGCAAGCCACAACAGTTAAAAACAAGGATATCAGGAAATTTTTGGATGGCATATATGTCTCTGAAAAATGAACTGTTCAGCAGGCTGATGACTAAGATCTAAGAGTTGTCCAGCTACAGAAGCAAGATGTCAGATGACTCCTAAAACCTACTTGTGATATTTAAATGATGCAATAAAAGACCTATTGATTTGGGAAAAAAAAAAAAGAAACATCCTTTAATGCTGCTCTGGGTGATGTTCCTCAAGCTGTATCCTCCAGCCAGGTCCTGGAAGACTTATTTTCCAGGTTTCTTCTAGAAAAGGAATGTAAAACTGAGCTTTCTAGACACTTCAAGAGCTGGAATGACAGAAGAGAAACCACCCGATATCAAGGAGTCAGGTGTGGTGATACACGGACTTGTATTTTTGAGTAAGGACACGACACCACAGAGGAAGATGGCAGAGAAGAGAGTGTCTCCTGAGGGCAGGGAGGAGGCAATGCCAAGAGGAAGCTGCCCCCAAAGAAGAGCACAGCCATGGGGCTAGAGCACTGTCCAAGGCTGGCCGCCATTCCACAGGCTGTTGAGTAGCACGGAAACATACAGTGAGGTCACCAGAACAATTGGAAAAGCTATTGTGTTGTGGAGGGACAATGTGAGCAGCTGGGATGTTCAAAAGATTAGTTGGGGAGCAGGACAGAGAGGAGTCTGCAGTTCTGGGAATGACAATGCCATCTTGAATGGAACTTAAAGTCCAATAAGGGCTACACACCATTTAAAAACACTAACTGGTAAATTGCTTGATATTTGATCTTTGAGGGGGTCAAAGTGAATCACTACTTTGTGAGTCCTTTGAGACAGACTTTAAAGTTTAATCCTGTGACATTTTGTAGGTTTTCTAATTTTCATTATAACAATTATAGGCCTGGCCACAGATTTAAGAAAGAATATATTGGCTGGGCGCAGTAGCTCATGCCTGTAATCCCAGCACTTTGGGAGGCTGAGGTGGGTGGATCATGAGGTCAGGAGATTGAGACCATCCTGGCTAACACAGTGAAACCCCATCTCTACTAAAAATTCAAAAAATTAGCCGGGCGTGGTGGCGGGCGCCTGTAGTCCCAGCTACTCGGGAGGCTGAAGCAGGAGAATAGTGGCCTGAACCCAGGAGGTGGAGCTTGCAGTGAGCTGAGATCGTGCCACTGCACTCCCAACCTGGGCAACAGAGCGAGACTCTGTCTCAAAAAAAAAAATAAATAAATAAAAAAGAGCCCAGCCTGATCTCCACCTCCCGTGGACTTCTCTGCTCTGGTGGCCCCTCTGGCCATGATGGTGCTTGGATTCTGAGGACTCTGCTGCCCCTGGGCTCTGGCGGGAGTCACAGAGGCAGCTCTGTCTCTCCAGCACTGAGAACAGAAACATAATCAGGTGATGTTTTGTGGGCTCCTGCTCCTTGGGCTGCTGTGAGGCTGAATATCTGCTTTTCTTCATCTGCAACCCAGCAGTGAGCCAGCAGCCCAGCCAAGTCTGGGGACACTGCTGGGCCACTGGCAGGAATGGCACCACAGGCTCCTCCTTCCTGAACCCTTGAAGCTCCTCATATCTCTCTGTTCCCTAATGCCCTACCCCAAGGCTGAGGCTGGCACAGCTTTCCTGCTAGAGGGTTCAGGGGGCAGTAAATGACCTTGCCTGAACTTGGTCCTCCTTGCCCCCTCACAATGACAGATCAGGGCTGATCCTGTGATTCCCTGTGCCTCTATGAGTTCTCCTCTGTAGATGAATCCTCTGTTGAAGCAAGGATCAGGCAGTGATGAGCTGAAGAGCTCAGTAGAAGGATGCTACAGAAAATCTGGCATTCATATGCATGCAGGTCCCTGGACACTCTCTTTGAGGGAATTTCCCTTCCCTCTCAGGCTGCCCCTGGAGTTTAAGTCCAGCCAGATAACCACATTGAGAGGAAGACTGGATGATATCCCGGAAAGCTCCGTGACACTAGCATCTAGATTCAGCCTCTGGGTGAGTCTGCTCCCTCCACCCCAGCTAAGGATATGAGCCTATGAGAGAGGAAAGTAGACAAAGGTGAGCATCAATATCCACCAACTATCGACAAAGACACAAACCACACATAATCAAAACCTACAGCAAGTTGGGTAAATTGCAGAGAAAATGTCCTGAAAATTATAGCATGAGCATTTCGGCACAGTGATGGCGCATGTCTTCCATGCTCAAATGAAGGGCAGAGGCTGGGTGCGGTGGCTCACATCTGTAATACCAGCACTTTGGGAGGCCAAGGTGGGTGGATCACTTGAGGTTAGGAGTTCAAGACCAGCCTGGCCAACATGGCAAAACCCCATCTCTACTAAAAATACAAAAATTAGCCGAGCATGGTGGCACAAACCTGTAGTCCCAGCTACTGGGGAGGCTGAGGCACAAGAAATGCTGGAACCTAGGAGGCGGAGATTGTAGTGAGCCGAGATCATGCCACTGCACTCCACCCTGGGTGACAGAGCAAGACAGTCTCAAAAAAAAAAAAAAAAAAAAAAAAAAAAAGAAGGAGGGCAGAGGCAGTGGTCCAGCTATAAAGCCAGGAGATGGCCATGGGGGAGAGTTTAATTCAGTACCCCCAGGACACCTAGAGCTCTTGCTAGGCCCACAGCTGTTTTCTGGTTGTTTGAAAGGTCACTGTGTCAACAAAACCCCTGGGGGCCAACACCTATAAGTCACAGCAGACATGCCAGGTCTGCGCAGAGGTGCACTGCTCAGCTTGTTCTTCAAGAGAACTTGCTGGGAGAAGTGCAGCTGGCTGAGAGCCTCCAGCTGCCACACCTTTCTGTCTGGCTCAATATTCAGGTTTCCCCTGGCTGCTTCTACCCAACGCCTGAACATGCCTGGGGTGCTAACGCTGCAACATTTCTGCCCACAGAGAGCCCCTCTAATAGGCAATGTTTGCCTGCGATTCTCCACTGGCCTTTCAGAGACTTTCTCGAGCTGCACTGTAATCTGAGACTCTTCCTACCCAATGCTTCCTTCCTTCTCTCCTTTCACAAGTGTAGGCTGTTTCTGCCTCCTGCTCCTCCCTTCTCCTTTATCCTCCACAGGTGTTTTCCCCAATAAATCTCTTGCACATCTAATTCTGTCTTTGTATCCACTTCTCAGAGGATCTGAACTGATAGTCCAGTACATTCATGGTCTGGGTCCAACAGTACTGGAAAGTTGATCTTCAGGTAGGCAAACCTAGGGGATTTTATAATAGCTGGAGAGAGTTGTGAACAGAATCATTTGTGCAGTGTTCAGAAGGAGGACTGGAGAAGGGGACATGAATCAGAGAAGAGGAACATGAGGCACATCACAAAGCCAATAAGCTGGGTAGTTTATAATGCATATTCATTTTGAGGGGAACAAACCTTAAATGGACAACAGTGGACTCGGTAAAGAAAATGTGGTACATATACACCATAGAAAACTACACAGCCATAAAAAAGAGCAAAATCATGTCCTTTGCAGCAACATGGATAGAGCTAGAGGCCATTATCCTAAGCAAATTAACACCAGCAACAGAAAACCAAATACTTCATTGTCTCACCTATAAGTGGAAGCTAAACAGTGAGTATACATGGCCGCAAAGAAGAAAACAATGGACACTGGGACCACTTGAGGGTGAAAGGTGGGAGGAGAGTGAGGATGCAAAAACTACCCAGTGAGTACTATGCTTATTACCTGGGCAGTGAAATAATTTGCATGCCAAACCCCTGCAATACACAATTTACCCATGGAACAAACCTGCACGTGTATCCCCTGAACCTAAAAGTTAGAAAGAAAAATAGAAAAAGAAAAACCTTAGTTGGAGCTGACTTTTAATCCCAACCCTGCCATCTCTTTGGGCAAGTCACTTAGGCTCAATTTCCTCATCTAGAAAATGGAAATAATGTTACTTACCTTGCTGGGTTGTAAGAATGGAGAGGATGAGGCATGTAAAGCACCAGCACGGGTACTCTCAGTTCACAGTAGTTACTGTTCATTATTAGTCTTTCTCTTTAGGAAGAGAAAAAATGCCTTCCTCTCTTTAGAGCCAGGCAGGGGCTTGTTCAAAAAGAAAGATCCTTCCAGCCTGGGCAACACCCTGTCTCTACAAAAAATAGAAAACATTAGCTGGGCATAGTGGTGCACACCTGTAGTCCCAGCCACTCAGGAGGCTGAGGTGGGAGGACTCCTTGAGCCTGGGAAGTTGAGGCTGCAGTGAGTTATAATTGCAACACTGCACTTTAGCCTGGGCAACAGGGCAAGACCCTGTTTCAAAAAAAAAAAAAAAAAAAAGAAAGAAAGCAAAAGAAAAGAAACATCCATCCTGAGTGGGGTCTTGGGAGCTTGGCCCTGTGGTGATAGGCCCATGGAAAGGTGAGGGTTCAGTGTCCACCCAGGGGGGTGGGTCAGCTGCCCCACTCTGCCCTTGTTGTGTCCTGCAGGGGCCCTGTGTGGTGTGATGCTCCTGGGGTGTGGGGGCAGAGGCGAGAGTGGGAAGAGGGGCGGGAAGAGCCTCCAAATTTAAGGTGGTTTCTGGGCAGTAGCTTCAGATGGGATGAGAAATGGACAAGAAGTGGAGCCTGGAAGTGGAATCAGGGTCGAGACAGGAAGGCCAGCCTGCTTCGGGCTCCTCCCCTTCCTTTGTTCATAGGCCTCAGCTGTGAGAGAAGTTAACTGCCCCTGTGCCTAGGGGACCTGGGTTGGGTTGTCCGGGGAGTAAGTTCTAAAGGGGCCCCTTGTCTTTTGAGGGGCCAGGCGGTAGGGTAGGGCTTGGCTCCAGAGGGTAGGGAACCACAGCAGAAGCAATGAAGAGGAGGAATCCGCCAGGTGCGGTGGCTTACGCCTGTAATCCCAGCACTTTGGGAGGCTGAGGCGGGCAGATCACAAGGTCATGAGTTCATGAATTCAAGACCAGCCTGGACAATACGGTAAAACCCCGTCTCTACTAAAAATACAAAAATTAGCTGGGCATGGTGGCGCGCGCCTGTAGTCCCAGCTACTCGAGAGGCTGAGGCAGAAGAATTGCTTGAACCCAGGAGGTGGAGGTTGCAGTCAGCCGAGATTGTGCAACTGCACTCCAGCCTGGGTGACAGAGCGAGACTCCATCTCAAAAAAGAAAATAGAAAGAGAGATGGAGAGGGAGAGGGAGAGGGAGAGAAGAAAAAAGAAAAAAGAAAAGAAAAGGAGGAATCCCCAGAAGACACAGTCCAGGCATCCAGTCCTGAGAATGCCCCCATCCCCGCCCCGGTGACCCACAGCCGGTAGTGCCTCCAGTACCCAGCATAAAGCAGGTCCCACTAGGGCTTGCTGGACCCCACAATTCTATGCCACTTCCTTGGCAGCTTCTTTTAAGAAGTCTGTTTTCCTGAAAGGAAGGCTACGTGACAAATTATTTTCCTCAGGGGCTGACTAGTGGAAAAATAATGACCCAGAAGGTAGCATTTGTCTCTCCTGTCCCTCTCCTCTCCTCTTCCTCACACCCTCCTCCCCACACCACAGGTGTCCACTTGTGGCTGTCAGGATGCTCTAAGGCCCAGCACCCCTTTTCTGCCTGGGAGGAGAGTAGCCAATAAATTAACCACATCAAGAGCACTATCTGTCTCCCGGTCCTCCAGGGCAGGAACTGGTAAAAGTCAGCTGGGCTCAACTGGGTTCTTTGCAAATGAACGAAAGAACTGAGGAAGGAGAATGTTTGCAAATACCCCTGACTACAACCCCACCTACCCTTCCTCTAACTTCACCTTCCTATTCCTTCTTCTCTCTACCCCTACCTTCCATAAGCCTTCCTCCTTTCCTCCCTCCCATTTGGGAGGCAGACAGACCTGGGTTGGACACTTTGGGCAGGTTATTTATCCTCTCTGTGCCAGTTTCCATGTCTGTAAAACAGGATGACCCCACCGGCACGCGGCTGTTGTGAGGATTAAATGGGGTGAGTACAGCAGCCGGCCCCAGTGTTCTCCAGGTTCTCCGGTTCGTGCTGCAGGCCCCAGTTAGGGGGACTGATTAGCTGCTGTAGGTCTGGAGCCGCTTAAAGTCCCAGGCAAGGAGGAAAAAGAGGGTGCAGTAGGGGGGTCCTGAGGGGTCGGAAGCTCAGAGAAGGACTGACTCATTGGTAGAGGAAGTAAACCCAGAGGTCAAAGGGGCCCTGCCCAGAGGTAGCAGTGATACCCAGTGCTGGGCCAGACACAGTGTCCTGGCTTCTCCCTTGTCCCCACAGGCCTCTGAGGGGTCAGGTGTTGAACCAGCATCCAAAAGAACATCCACTGAGCCAGGTGTGGGGATGGGCCCTTTTATTCATTTTGTCTTCATTAATCCTCCCCTCTCCTAGCAATCTACATGAGATAGGTGTTTTTATTCCCACGACACATTGGAGAAAACAGAGGCTCTGAGAGATAGGCATCTGGTGAGGAATAGGGCTGGGACTTGATCGGTCTAGGTAAAGTCCCCAGAGCCAAGGGGACTCTGAAGAAGGACATCTGAGCCAGACAGGGGGTCAGGTAAGGCCTTCTGGAAGCAACATGGCCTGATGAGTCATAGTGGAGAGCCATAAGTGCCCATAGAAGCCCCCTATCCCAAATATGGGAAATAGTGTTAGTTTTCCTCTACAAAGTCCAATCAATAGCAAAGCTAGCGACAGGTAGCACCTGCAAGGGGGCCCTCCCTGCCTCCCTTCCTTGGGCCCCCCTCTTACCATAGCCTCAGGTCTCTATAAAGTACAGCAGTTCCCACTGGGGGTGTGTGAAATAGGGCTAACAGAGAAGGGCCAGCTCTGGCCTTGCAACTCTCCCTTGGGCCCAGCAACTCCTGATGGGCCTGGGATCCCTGGAGAGCAGTGGGGGCAATGGGCCATACTGAAGTCTGTCCTCTGCTGCTCCAACTGTATTCCTTCCACAACTTTCTCTGGACCTAAGTCAACAAGAGCCTGACCCTCACTCAACCTCCTTGCCTGCCTTCCTTGTAGTGCCAGAAAAAAATCTCCTTGCTCACACAAAAATTTTCTTTTTCATTTGAAAATGGTCCGGGGCCAGGCGTGGTAGCTCACGCCTGTAATCCTAGCACTTTGGAGGGGCCGAGGTGGGCAGATCACCTGAGGTTAGGAGTTCAAAACCAGCCTGGCCAACATGGTGAAACCCCATCTCTACTAAAAATACAAAAATTAGCCAGGTGTGGTGGTGCGTGCCTGTAATCATCCCAGCTACTTGGGAGGCTGAGGCAATCGCTAGAACCCAGGAGGTAGAGGTTGCAGTGAGCCAAGATGGTGCTACTGCACTGCAGCCTGGGTGACAGATCGAGACTTCATCTCAAAAAAAAAAAAAAAAAAAAGAAAGAAAGAAAATGCTCTGGGGGAACTTCTCATTCAACTCTTATTGAATAAGAGGAGGATCCCGTATCTCCTACCCACCTACTTTTTTAGGGAATAATACATGTAGGTATGCTCTGGACGTGAGGCCATTCCTAACTGGGCTTGCCCTTTGGTGACATCCCAGGATCTGAGTCTGTGATCTGGTATAGCCTATTAGAAAGCCCCCAAAGTCTCCATGGAATGGCAACGGCCCATTGGACCAGCCCAACCAAGTTATACCTTACTTTCTCTATCTACAGGCTGCCTCCCCTGACATGGGAAGACAGACATCGAGGAGATCTGCTGGGCCCACAGGAGCTCCAAGGGAAATCACAGAAATGCTCGCCTTATATATAAAACTGCTTTATTAAAAAGTCAGCTATTAGGAAAACAAAGCCCTTACAAGGGTTCTATCAAAAAGTACAAATTTTAAATAAATGCATCAGAAAAATGGCAGCCAGATATACCAGCCACAGTCACAACCTCAAAGGCCTTGTGGGGAAGGAAGGGAGAATTAGGGAGGAGGTTCCGAGAACTCAAGGAAGAGGCTGGGCACAGAGGGTCTTTGGGTGCCTGCAGAGCTGGGTCCTGGAGCTACCAGGCAAGAACCCTGCTTCCGTTTTCCTTTCCTTGGAAAAATGTAAAGAACTGGCAGGTGTAGGAAATTTTGAGACTGGAGCAGAAAGGCACAAAAGTCATTTATAAGGTATGATTGCTCACTCTAGTCCTGAGGCACATGGGGTGGATAAATGGGGGATCAGAGCCACAGGGTCCCTGGCTCTGGTCATGCTTGCCCCTGGCTGGTACCATCTCTGAGTTTGGCCACAGGTTAAATTAAGGTAGACCAAGTGGACTGCATAATCCTGGCAGCCCGGGGTCTGGAGCCAGTCTTTAGATCAGATGTGTTGCTTCATTGGCAAACTGGTGTCTGCCCCCCAAGAGATCCCCCCAATGAGGAGCAGCAGGTCTCCTGCCTAGCCCTGTCCTCTGAGTCACTGTGGGTGCCCACCCTGGACAAGGAACTTCTGAGGGCAGTCTCTGCCATCCAGGATCCTGAGAAGCCCCAAGCCCCAGAGCCAGAGTTTCTCCGAATGACAGGCAGAAGCACAGAAAGCTGGCGTTGAAACCAGTCCCCACCAGCTGCTGGCCCCACACCCATGGTCACTGCTGACACGCCTCCTTGGTGACATTAGGCAGTGGGTAGGCAAAGAGGGAGAAGTCCAGGATATACTTAGGCAGCACATCCTGCAGCAGGGCCCGGGGGGCACTGCACAAGTGGTAATGCAGGCTTTCGGGGCTGGCTGGCCGGTACCAGGCCTGGCGAGCTGGAAATCGGACGTGAGGTGGTGCCCGTACCCACTCCAGCACCTGATTTGCATCAGCCTCCAGCCTCTCATAGGAGCCCACAAAGTCATAGTGCACGGCACAAGGCTGGCACAGGTGGTACACGGGCATCCAATGCTCATTCATGCGCTCAGGGTCCTCATCCACCAGGTATCTCAGGAACTCGGGGAATGTGACATCGTCGCCTGCAGGGCTGGGCCCCGCTCCAGCCCTGTACCGCCTCACTATCTCAGCCCCATAGCGTTGCTGGTACTCTCGGATCTCGCCAAACTTGTTGCGGTAGGCAGAGAGGAGGCGTTCCAAGGGCTCCCGCACAAACAGGAACTTAAAGTAGTGCTGCAGGCGGTAGCGAATCTCCTCAGGCCGCAGGTCGGCCAGGAACACCAGGTCACTGCGGTGGTCCATCTTGAGGCGGACGTCCACGCTGTCCAGGACGCCTGCCAGCACCTTCATCACCCGCTTCCAGTTAGAGCAGGCCACCTTGGGGACGTAGCAGTAGAGGAAGCGGTAACGGTCACTTACGAGGATGTGGCGCAGCAGGGTGCGCCGCTGCCCCACCGGCAAGTCCCAGGGGTCCCGGGGCATGCCTGGCTGTCCGCACACCGCCCGCAGGGTCCTGTTCCGGACGTCCTGCCGCACTTGCAAGTCCGCGTCCCCAGCCCTGAGGGACAGGCCCCCAGGCTTGGGGGCTTTCCCGCGCCAGGCTGTGCCCTCGCGGCCGGGCGGGTGCAGGGGCAGGGGCTTCATCTCGGCCAGGATGCCCCGCTCGATCATGAGCAGCAGCCCGCTGGAGGCCACGATCACCGCAAACATCAGCATGGACGGCAGCAGCAGGGGCGGCCCACCCAGCCCCGCCCGGGCCCTGCCCAGAGGGGCCCGCCTCAGCGCCCGGCCCAGGGGCTCGGCGCCATTTGGGGCCGCCAGCGGGGTCAGCGGGCGGGGGAACATGGTGCTCAAGGGGTGGGGGCCTGCGCGGGCCCGGCCGATCCGAGGGCGGCCTGGAAGGCGGGCTCGGGCTGGGGGCGGGAGGAGGGTCTGGGACCGGGGGTAGTTGGGGAGGGGAGGGCAGGGGACAGCCCTGGCGCGTGTAGGGGTGGCCGGCTCCCGGGCTGCGGCGCCGAAGCGGGCGGCGGGCGGCGGGCGCGGCGAGGGACCCGGGCCGGATGTCCCGCCCGGCCGCTCTCCACCCCCGGCCTCGCAGTGACACAGGCGCGGGGGCGGGCCCACGCCGGGGGCGGGGAGAGGGGCGGGCGCCCCTGCGGGGCGCGGGCTTGGGAGGGCGCACGCGGACCCCTACCCGGAAGAGGGCGCCTGAGTCAGGGCCACCCCTGTCCTCTGGGCTTGGGGACAAAAGCTCCTGAGACCTCGAAGGCAGAAAAGACTCGAGGCTGCTCTCCTGCAGCGTGTGTCCTCAGGGAAGTGGACAAGGGGGATTCGCCACAAACTCAGGCCTGTCCTAGCCCTTCCTCCAGCAACGGGTCTGGAGGCAGGGAGGCGGGCAGCGCTCTCTCCGAGTCCAGACGTGCCGGAGGCTGGTCTTTCCAGCTGGAAGCGGAGCCCTCGGTGTGCTCCCCCTTGCCACCCTTAACTCCCTCCGTCCTGCAGGTCGTGGCCACTCCAGGAAGGAGAAGCAGAACTGTCAGACACTGACCAGTCTCCATGGTGACCCTTGTGTTTAGCAATACCTGGGGACTGACTACAGTGCTTGTCCACTGGGTAATGCTGAAATGTCTGGAAATGGAGTCTCCCCTCCTCTGCCTTCTCCTCATGAGGCAGTGGGATAACTGGGCACTCTGGGGAGGGTCTGACACATTGGTCCATCAGCTGCTGGTGTGGCCAACACACATTTGGAAGGGTGAGGAGCTGGGGGCACAAAACAGCAGGGAAACAGCACGTAGTCTCCTTGCCTGGAGCTAGATGTGTGCTCCATGGCACCAGGCTGGTCACTTGGGCGGACAGCAGACCCGAAGTGCTTTGGATGTCAGCAACCACCATTTCCCACTGGGAACCTGGCTCAGTAGCCAGACTTGGTCCAGCTATGTGCTTGCTGCCTGCAGAGAGCCAGCAAGCCTCTGAAGCAGCAGAGGAATATGATTAGAGCCCAAGTGTACTGAGGACAGCGCCCACTAAGTGTTTTATATTCATTATCTCCTTTAGTTGTTACAGCCACCCTGGCAGGGAGCTAGTGTGGACATTCCCTTTGTACAGCTGAAGTAACAGAGGCTCAGGGAAGATGTGACTCAGTATGGGTGGTTCTGAGTCTAAAACCTAAATTTCTAATCACGGCCCTTCAGAGATTAAAGGAGCATATCATGGAATGGCTAGAAGGGAGGAAGCAGCTGACTCGAGGGCGGACTGTACAGAGCAGGTGATGGAAAATAGAAGATACCAGTGGGAGAATGGAGCTACCAGTGATCAGATGAATTCAGAAGGGTGAGGGGACTTGAGGGATGAGGTGATACTAGAGGGCTCACTGATGACCCCACAATCCCAGCAACAGGAAAAGCACACAGATGAGCCAGGGGAAGGAACGGTAAAGCCTTGCAGCCTTCCAGCTCTCCAGGGCAGGCTCTCCACATCTGATTGCCCCAGTGCATCTGCAGGCTACCACCTGTCCATTTGCTGCACCAGAAGTTTGCGTGAAGGTTCTGCCTTGTCTACACTGCTCCTTGCTTCCAATAATCCTAAAGGTATACATTTCTGGTGATAGGATTTTCTATTAAAATCATATTTTCCAGTAAGTATGTCCTTTAAACCAGGAGAGGAAAAAAAGGCCTTAGACCTTTAAAAATCTTTTGATAATGTGGCCACATGTGCTCCCTTCTGTGTTACAGGGTAGTTTTCTGTGTTAGCAGTCAGGGTGAGGCAGGGGGAGTCCTTGGGCCTGGTACTTATCTCCATACCAATTTCTTGTCTGTAAGATAAGGACAAGCTACCACTCGCCTCAAGGGAGTCTTGTGGACACCACACTGAAGGCAGAGCTAGAAAAATCCATGGTGGTGTCTGTGCCACCAATAAATTCTGAAAAAATGTTCCTGCCCACATGCACCATGCCTTAGCAAAATGCAGAAGTGGAGGCGGGGCGGGGGGGTGCTGTGGCTCCCAGGAACCTCTATGGCCTTAGAGCTGCCCCACCTGGAACATGGTCAACACTGAGGCTTCCAGGCTGGGACCAGGGCTGGGCTGAAGCAGGGGTCAGCTGGCCGCAGACCCTTGGCCCCATGATGTGGCCTTCCTCAGCAAGCAAGAAGCACCAGCTGCAAGACACTGAGGCCCTAGGACAGTGCTGGCCAGTTACCCAAGGTGATGAGGAGGGATGCTTTTTTTTTCTTTTCTGAGACAGGATCTCACTCTGTCACCCAGGCTGCAGTGGTATGATCACGGCTCACTGCAGCCTCGTGCTCTTGGGATCAAGCAATCCTCCTACCTTAGCCTCCTGACTGAGACTATAGGCATGCACTGACATGCCGGGCTAATTTTTAAATTTTTCGAGAGACATGGTCTATGTTGCCTAGGCTGGTCTTAAACTCCTAGGCTCAAGTAACCCTCCTGCCTCTGCCTCCCAAAGCACTGGGATTACAGGCAGGAGCCACTGCATGAGGCCAGTGATAAGAAGGTATCTTTGCCATGTACCTACTTGGGGACCAATTTCCAGGTCACTGGTCAGGTGAGGGCTGGCAACTGAAGTATTTCACACAGACCTAAGCAGGCAGCTGTGGCCACCATGAAATCAAGAAGTCAACTCCAAGTTCCCAGTCCCTCTGTCTCCTTCCCTCACTCTCTTTTCCCTCTGCTTCCCTGCCCTCTTTGCTCATTGGCCTTGGTGAGCATCCATGCCACAGGGGTTAAGAGGGACCTCTGAAATAAGAATAGTGGGTCTCTCCACACCCACACACCAAAAGATGACAGGACACACAGGAAACGATCCTTTTCTAAATCAATACAATTTCTCAAATTTATTTTTTTCTTAAAGAAGTACTTCTAATCTCTGTCAAAAGGGAGGTGAGGAAAGGTCCTTCCTCCCTTGTAAACACTGAAATACAGATCTGGGAAACCAGGATCAACACACACAAAAAGTGCATTTTACAAAATATCAACTAAAATATATTTTACATGGATTATGCTTCCATTGAAATTCTACCAGCTGCATTTTCAGGTTCGAAAAAATATTTCCACATCTAAGAGATTTCAAAAGCATTTAAGTTCGGGGCAGCCAAGACCCTACCTCCTGGGAGGAGGGCCTTCATCTCCTTTCCTGCTAGGTGAGGCTGGGCTCCTTGGCAGCAAGGGCCCAGAATGAGCAGGCTCCAAGGCTGGCTCTGCAGAGCCCCCACTGCCACTCTGCCAACCTCATTTACTGCCCCATCCTCCCAGACAGACACCTTCCTCCAAACAGCTTATTCAATATAAGGAGATCCAAGTCCCTTCCCTTCAGGTTTGGGATCAGGCTTCCCAAGCATAAATTCACCTCTGAAGCCTCCAGGCCTCACCCAAACCCAATGACCAATCAGGAGCAACTCATCTACTAAGGGACAGGGCATGGCAAGTTGGGGGAGCCCTCAGGGTTCATTTCCACCTCCCTCTGCAGCCCCTGCCCAGCTGTCCTCACCCAGTGCCACCTCCTAAGCCTGCTGGGTTCATCTGCCCTTCCTCCCTAAGGGAAGACCCAGGGCTGCAGTTCTCAGCCCCAGCCCCTGCCCCCAGGGGTATGCCCTTGTGGAAGTGCTCAGCTAGCAGGTTCCCAGCACCAGGCCCAAGCCACACTGCACTCCACTCCCTCTCCCACCATACTCCTCTTTGGTACAGATAGGAAATAACCAGGCTGCTCCAGCCCCCTCACAGAGTCTCAGGGCCAGGGCCAAGGCCTAGTCTCCACAAGGACAACAGGGGACTGAGCCTGTTAGTCTACTCTGGGGAGCAGCATGAGGTGAGAACAGGGCCTCTGGGCAACAGGAACAAACTGAAAATGCAAGTCCTTAGCTCCTAGAGCAAGTGGCTGCAGCTCAGCAGGTCCGTGGACTGATACAGTGTTGATTCTTGCTAGGATGTAAATTAGTGCAATCTACAAAAGACTAGGGAAAGGGTGGCAGGGCAAGGGGAGCCACAGCACTCCTTTGGTTTGATTTCAGGTGGGTGTGGCTTGAAGAATCACGTGTGAAGTTCTGCAAGAGGTTTCCTGGAACCTCCATGTGTAAGGCAAGAGGAAAAATCTTCAACAAATCAGGTAGCAATTTTCCTTGCCCCCTGCCCCCAACCCTCTCCCAGCACCCATCTTCCCTCCCAGATATGACAAACCCCACAATCATCAGTTAACTTTCTGGGAAGCCAGACCCGCTGGGTGGCCGTCTCTGGGAGGTGGACAGGAGACTCCCACAAGTGGGCCACACCCATGACTGTGAGAGGTGGGTCAACTTGTCCCAGCACCAGTTGCTACTGCAGGGCAAAGGAGGAAAGCCAGAGAAAAGGCCTCAAGTCTAGGAAGAGGAAGTCAATGCTCTGGAAGCCAGACTCTGGCTCTCTATGCCTCAAAGGAACAAGCTCAGAGCTGTGCTGGGATCTAGGAAAGCCTGGTCCCAGGCTGAAGGGGAAGCGGCGGGTCACAGTGGGTGAGGTAAAGCTGGCCCCCACTCCCCCTTTGAGGGCAAGGGGGAGGCTACAGAAGGGCCTGTTGGGTCTGGTTCCTGAAAGACCTTGCCCCTCCTTCCCGCCCCCACCCTCCTAGGGCCCCATTTCCCTCAGGCTTGGCCCAGCCTCAGAGAAGACTACTTTTCGGAAATCTCCACCCAGGGGAACCACAGAAGGTACCTTGGGCCAAGCTGAGAGTTCTGATGCTTTTCTTATACCCTGGCCTCCCCAGCTCCCTCCCCTGGAGCCCAGAACCCACAGGGGCCCCTGCCCTCCCCCCCAAGAAAACCACAGGCCAGCAAACTTAGGCCTCTGTGGCCCCCTAACCAAGTGCTGTGCTTCAAGCAGTGCCCCCTACCCCGAGCCCCACTTGCCCATGGGTAGCCCCAGCATGGGCATGAGGAGGCTACTGGGGGTTCTTAAGGATGCGCCCGTGGCGGAAGTCATAGACATGGCGGCAAAGGAACACCAGCTCAGGGTCCGTGTCCTCTGGCACTGTGCGGTGGGGTGGGGTGGAATAGTCTGCAGAGGGGGGAACCAGTGCTGTCTTTCGGCTGGGGAGGCCTTCACCTCGGCGCTTGGCCATGGCACAGAACCTGTAGAGAGATACCATTCACTGTCTTTACTCCAGCCACTTTTGCAGGAAGACCAATTCCTTCCCTACCCTACCCTACCCGACCCAGAGAGCTAGGCTATCCTAGCTCCCCAAGGGGTGGTACTGTCTCCACCCATCCCAGGGATGATGTCTGCTCTGCCAACCACCAGGCTATCTTCTCTGTCACTGGAGAACCACACTTGCCAGGGCCTCTCTCCATTTGCCTGCCAATTCGCCTAAATTTTTTCCAAGAGCAGTAATGTTACCCCCCAACTCTGCTCCAACCATTCTACCTCAGTGTGGCAACACAATTTTTCTTCTTTCTTCCAAAAAATATCAGATGGTAGAGGCAAGCAATAGGGAAGTAAGTTCTGGGAGATTAGGCTCAGTGAGTAAGATCAGGTAGAGAGCAGAATGAGATCCTCTCGGGGAATTCCAAGCAGCCCCAAATATGCCTGGGGAGCCTGAGGGAAGAGGCCAGCCAGAGGGTGCAGGGAACCACCTACCTGCAGTACTCGGCAAAAGTCAGCACATAGCACTTCTCCTCAATGCAGGCCACACTGTTCTGGTCCTGATGTCGCGATGCAAACACTTCATTCTGCAAGGGCTCAAAGGGAGACAGGTGGAGGTTGTTACCAGGGCTGGAAAGCACCTCATTCCCAGAGCAAGGCAGACATTAACCCCTCTGCTGGGCCTGCTGACCTGAGATGACTCCAGCAAGCTTCCCTGGAAATTCAGCCTAAGTATGCCTCACCTACTGCCTCCAGGCATTCCTCCTGAGTCCCTTCTAGGTCCCCCCCTTCTCCAGAATAGCCAGGTATCTGCTCTAGCCCCTGATTGTCACTGACCTCCCAAACCCCAGCCCTGCCTAGCGTAGGAGAGGGGAAATGTTCTTCATCTTTCCAGTTAGATGGAAAGTCCCTGCAAGGGAAAGTGAAATAAAAGGTGAGCCCAGGGCACACACAGATGGCAGTCACCTCTTTTAGCACACAGCTTGGTGGAGAGCCTATGGGGTGTTAGGAGGAGTCTTTCCTCCCCTCCCCTCCCCTACTACAGAAAATACCAAAAGTGACCAGGTATGCAGCTCCACCTCACCTTTCCTGTTTCCAGGGGAACACATCCACTTGCTCCCATTGGCACCTGCTACCTCAAGGGTTCCCTTTCTGTTCCTCTTTTTAAGACAAAGGTTATTATTCCCTTTGAAACATGAATTGGGGCAGTGTTGGGAAAAGAGAATAAATCCTGGGCCCTTTCCCAGGTTCTCTGGAGTCCAAAGTGACAAGCGCAGGGATTTGACTACAGCCCATGGCTGCCCTCCCCCTACCACGTCTTAGTGCCATAACCTTTCCCTCTGTCTCTCCTGCCCTCCCTGACCCATCTGCCAGGCAGCTCACCTCGTGCATGCTGGGACTGCGGCCTCCCTGTAAGTGCTCAGGTCTGTAATACCACAGGAGGCTCATCATCAGCTCTCCTGGAAGGACAACACAGTGGTTATGGCTTGAACTGGCAACCTGAGTTACTTAGACAGGCAGAGAGGCTGGCTGGCTGCCCTGGAGGTTCATCCAACCTCAATCCTGCAGGCTCCGGCAACCCATGTCCCCTGCCCCAGGCCAAGCATTCAGAGGCCTGGAATGCTGTTAGGCATGGAGGGAGAAGGGGGAGAAGGCACTGACAGGTGAGGTGGGGGGACAGGTGCCCAGGCTCTGCTGGCTGGAAAGGTTAATGAGCTGATCCAACCCAAGCCACAAGGTCACCCACAGCCCTCGGCAGCAGAGAGACCCCAGCCGAGTGGAAGGCAGACTCTGTGCCAGGAACACGGGGAGACTCACGCCAGGTCAAACTCCAGGCAGGGGCCAATCTGGGGACTACAGTTCTGCTGAAGGCAGCTGCCCCTTGGGTCCCCAGCCAGAGGGAGAGGTACCTGACTCGGGGTTCTCCCAGAGGGCAGAGATCTTGGCCACATAAGGTGTGGAGGTCTTTCGTGGGCCTGATTTGAGAAGGACGGTGTCCCGGACTCGGATTGTCTCCCCATGCCGCTCTACCGCCTGGTAGCTCTTTCGGATGGCTGGCTCCGGCTCATCCTAGGCAACAAACCAATGACACAAATAGGCTTGCAGAGCCACACTCAGAGTAAGGACAGAGAGAGGGAATGACATCCTTTCCACGATTTCCTCAAGATAGTCAAACCACTACCTTGGTTTTGTCAAACCACTATCCTTTTTTGGATGGGGCTGGGGAATTCTCATGGTTGGAGAAAGGATGAGAAAAGGGAATAGGGGTGGAAAAGTGGCCTGAAGCTTCTGGGGCTGAGCTCTGACCACCATACCCGACAGCTGACTCTCACTCCAAGACCCCCAGTGCTGGGTAAGTGCTCATGCTTCCTAATGGAACAAGTCTCGGTCTGAACCCTTAAACCACTGTTATAAGGGGCACAGCCTTTGACAAATTATTTAAAGTATTGCTAAGCCTCAGCTTCCACATCTGTAAAATGGGATTAATTATAGGAAGATGGGATATATACCACATAGGGTAGTGGTGAGGATTAAAGGGCATAATACTTACAAAATGCTTAGCTCAGTTCTGGCATCTAAGAAGTGCTCAATAAATTTTATGTATTTATGTATTTATTTATTTTTAGAGACAGGGTCTCACTCTGTCACCCAGGCTGGAATGCAGTGGTGCAACCATAGTTCACTGCAGCCTCAACCTCCTGGACTCAAGTGATCCTCCTGCCTCAGACTCTCAAGTAGCTGGGACTACAGATGCATGCTACCATGCCTGGCTAATTAAAAAAATTTTTTTTCTGTAGACAGGATCTTGCTATGTCGACCAGGTTGGTCTTGAACTCCTGAGCTCAAACAATCCTCTAGCATCAGCCTCTGAAAGCTCTGGGATTATATGCATGAGCCACCTTGCCCAGCCTCAATAAATTTTAGTTAATATTCTTTTTGTTTTTAATTAATTAATTTTAAAAGCCAGGGTCTCTCTGTCACCCAGACTGGAGTGCAGTGGTGCAATCAGCTCACTGCAGCCTTGAACTCCTGGACCTAAGCAATCCTCCCACTTCAGCCTCCTGGTGCACACCACCATGCCTGGCTAACTAATGTTTTTACTTTGTAGAGATGAGGTCTATATTGCTCAGGCTCGTCTTGAACTCCTGGCCTCATGCGATCTTACCACTTCCACCACCTAAAGTACTGGGATTACAGATGTGAGCCACCGCACTTGGCCTCTTTTCATCATCCGAGATGTTCTCTGTGTCACTAATTTTCTCTGCCCATTCCAACGCCCCCTATATAGACTTATCCAGAAAAGTTCTCCATTGAAAGTCCTCCACTTTACAATCCAGGGTGTAAGGGACAAAGTGAGCAGGGAGGGGAGGGGAAGACACTCACCGAGATGGCAGCCACCAGCTATGACTGTGTGTCTCCTGACCTCCCTGGGGTGTCTGGTACAGGATCAGTAGGGGGCTAGGGAAGCAAGCTGGGTGGGCCAGCATGACTGGTTCCTGGGGTACAAGTAAACTGGAGTCCCTTGTCAGCTCTCAGAGTAGCTAGAACCAGGTGCTTCTAGCACCTACCTCACTGCAGGTCATGTGTCCCCACTGCCTCCCTCCCTCTCGTCATCAGCTAAGAGCTAGCACTTACCAAGACATACACAGCCTTCTCACACGCAGCCCCAACAGGTACCCAGCCATTAGTGCGGCGGCGACGGCGGCGGCGAGGGCGTGGGCGCTGGACACGTGGCTGCTTGGGGTGGCTAGGCCTGCGGGCAGCCTTGCTCCTTGCAGTGTGCCTGCAGCTGGAGCCTGTGCGCAGACCTGACTTAGAACCGCTGGGAGGTTTGGCGCTCTGAGGGCACGCACGGGCTACTGTCTGGGGCTCCGAGGTGGGTGTCTGAAGATGGGGGACGGGCTCTGCTGCAGGTGGCACACTGGGTACAGGGCACCCCAGGAGTGGGTGGGCGGGTGAGGCTGGGTGGCCAGCTTCCGGGAGAGGAAATTCCAACTGGCCCAGGGATCTGCAGCCTTCTAGGAAAGGGAGAGAGTGGTCAGGACAGGACAAGCAGTGACCCCCATCACCCATCTGCTTTCAGAGCCTGCTCCTGTCTTAATTCTAACTGTGCAACCAAAGGCCACTGAGGTGGCCGATGGGATCAGAGGCCTTTTTATGGTGGACTGTCAGAGTGACTCTCTAAGGGGACAGGGGTGTTTCCTGATCTTGGAGATTGGCCATCTCCCCTTTTAGTCTGAAAGAGAGGTGGTTGGAACATCCTTTTTAACTCCGAACTTTTTTTTTTTTTGAGACAGAGTCTCGCTCTGTTGCCCAGGCTAGAGTGCAGTGGTGCTATCTTGGCTCACTGCAACCTCCGCCTCTCGGGTTCAAGCATTTCTCCTGCCTCAGCCTCCTGAGTAGCTGGGATTACAGGTGCCCATCACCACACCCAGCTAATTTTTTTGTATGTTTAGTAGAGATAGGGTTTCACCATGTTAGACAGGCTGGTCTCAACCTACTGAGCTCAGGCAATCTGCCCGCCTCAGCCTCCCAAAGTGCTAGGATTACAGGCATGAGCCACCGCGCCTGGCCCTGATATTAATTTTCTAAGGCTTTCATAATGCTTGGGAATAGGGGTTCTAGAATCAGCCTGGGTTCTGCCACTTACTAGCCATGTGACTTCAGGCAAGTCACTCTGCCCCTCAGAGCAACTGGCTGGTTTTCTTACGAACACATTAACTCATTTCATCCTTACAAAAACCCTGTGAGATAGGTATCATTACACCCATTTTATAGTTAAGAAAACTGAGACACAGAGCAGTTACTGACTCGCCCATAGTCACATGGCTAGGAAAGTGGGGGAGAACATTTCACTCCAGGCAGTCTGGCTTCGGAGTCTGTGCTCAATTACATGCCAAGCAGCCTCCCATATGTAAAGCACTCAGAACAGTGCCTGGTACATGGTGTTTACTGGTGTCCTTATTATTAGGGAGAGGGGATAAGGGTCTAGACTTGGGGAATGGCACAAAAAAAGAAGGAAAACCCCAAGCAGCAGCCTGTTCTCATGTCATAAGAACTCTAACTCAAGCCACAACCTGAAACAACCAGTCTGGCCAGGGCCAACTGGTCTATAAAGTTGTTTTATAGACCCCTACAAGAAAGGATGTCAGGGGAAGGGAGATCTGGAAGGTCCAGCCCTCACCTCCCCAGCAGCAGGGCAGACCTGCTGGCCAGCATGTCTCATTTCCACCCAGGAGGCAGGCAGGGAGCCTGAAGAGGCAGGTGAGGATACCTCTGCCAGTTTAGGGAAGAGAAATGATTCTGGGAGTGTCTCAACAGCCGGAGCATGGGCCTCTCAGGTGTCTGGGTCTTGTCAGGCAGGCAGACACCAAAGCTGTGGGCCCTGATCGCATTCCATCCATGTCAGGGAACTCTGCTTGTCTGTTCTCATGGTGCACCCTCTCTATCCACACCCAGCAAAGTGATGCTCAGTCTGGGCACTTCTCTTTCAATGCCTCTATAGCCAGGGCAAAGCTGCCCTGTGCAGTAGGTACCACCTACTGAGCCTGGTACCTACCACCTTTCCCATGAATGCTGAACTTGGCCAGCATGCAGAGAGTACTGGTTTCTAGAAACTAGGGAATTCTAGCTTTCCTCAAGGAGGGTAGAAGGGCCGTGAGAACAATTTGGTAAAAGTCCTAATTCCAATATCTAACCTGCTCTTCAGAGTCTAAGAACGGGTATCCCAATGAGGAGAGAAGAGAGGCCTTCCTGTGGCCTGTACCACTGCAATGCTACCTAACTGCCAGGCCAAGAATCTCCAAAGGTAGCCTGGGCAGAGCAAGGCTGTCCAGAGCTATACGGGCCCTGTTCTTGGGAATGCTCCTCGGCTTGGGGCACAGACTACGGGAGTTCTCACTTCTGAAAGCCCCCTACCTTCCAGTTAGCAGCCAGACCCCAAGGGAGACCCCTGCTCAGATCAACAGCCCAACCTCCTGGGATGCCATGTCTCCGAGACTCCCCAGTACATCTTGGGCCCAGGAAGCCTCACCTGCTGCAAAAGGCATTTTGTATGGGCAGCCGCCACAGGTAGTGCCAGCGTGGGTAACAGACAGGGGCAACACTCCGCAGATGCTGTAGCCATTCACTCCAGTGTCCTCGCTAGAGCAGTAGCGAGAGGAGCCCCAGGGAGGGTGCTGGAAAGGGGTGCCTGAGGGCACTGAGCTCGGAGCTAAGAGGAGCCCCTCCTCGTGAGGTGCAGCCACTGGGGACAGCTTGCCCTCAGGAAGCATGGGGCAGGGCGAGTAGCCCCCACACTGCAGCCCCTCTTGGCCACAGTACAGGTAGAAGCTGCCTAGTGCAGTGAGCTCAGGCCCAACACACAGGCCATTGTAGTCGGCGGGGTTGCCAGGCATCGGCAGCGGCGACAGCTGAGGTGTGGGGAAAGAGGGCTGATGCAGTTCCTGCTTAGGGGCAGGTGACTCCTCGCCTGGGCGCCCAGGCTCCGGCTTCAGAGCCGCCTGTCCACCCATCAGCAGGGGCAGGTGAGGGCGCAGCCCCAAAGGGCTCTCCAGAGCCTTGCTCAGGGGCTGATGAGATGGCTGGACGGATGGCCCACAAGGAGTTGCAGATGGCCATGGTTCATCAGGGCAGCCTTGCCAGCCAGGTGGGCCTGCAGCCTCCCCAGAGCTGGCCCCCTGCCAAGCCTTGGGATAGTTCTTGCCATTGACCTTGGGCCACTTTGGCCTCGGGGCCTTGGGTGCTGGGGGCTCAGTGGAGCGCCCATCTACTTCTGCATGGGCACGAGGCAGCCGCAGGGGTAGCTCCCGCTCCTGGCTCAGTTTTAGGAAAGCAGCTGCGTTCAGGCTAGCCAGTCTCTTGGGAGCTGGGTCTCCATCTCGGCGGGGACCTTCATCGGGTGCTGGCTCTGGAGACAGGTCCCGACTTCCTCCTCCAAGGTCCCCCAGCCGGGGCCGCTTCTTGGAGGAGGACCAGCCCCCAGTAGCACGATCACGGTCACGGCTGCGGTGGGGATCCCCTGCTCGACTGCGGCGGGTGCCTGCCAGGCTGCTGGTGTCCTCTCGCTCCAGCAGCAGGTTATTGAGAGCTTCAGCATTGAGGGAGGCCAGGCGCCGCTTGCGGGGCTGGGCAAGGCCAGGGTCTTCACTGGATGGGGCCGGGCTGGGGGGCTTGGGCAGGTCAGGCGGTAGCTCATCAGCCTCATCTGCACTCCGGGGACCGGCCACATTCTCCAGGCGAGTCAGCAGCACTTTGCAGGCCTTGGGCTTCTCAGGAACCAATGGGCGCTTACGAAGTGGGTAATTCTTGCGGCGCCCTGTGAGGTGACCTGGGCTCTCGGGCATGCCTGGCTCCACACCCTCAACCCCCTGCTCCATGTTGCTGTCTTCCATCTGCAGGGGCTCTCGGCGGCCAGTGAGGCCCGAACTCAGCATGGGAAGGGACTTTCTCCGAGTGTGTGTCATGGAGTACTTCCAACCTGCAGGACAGAAGGTGGGCAATGAGAGAAGCCCTCTCTGGCCTGCTCCTGCCTGCTTTCTCTCCCACTGCAGCCTACCCAGCCCCAGGTGCAGTGATCCTGGCCTACAACTACCCTGTCTCCAGTATGGATTTTCCTGGGACTCCCTTTCCAGAGTGTGAAGGGGCAGTGGAATCAAGCTACCAGCAGCTGTGCAAGGACTGGTTCCTCCTCTTTCCTTTTAGCCTAGGGTATCTCTGAACTAAGCCCCTGAAGAGCCTAGGGAGCAAGGCAGACCCCAGGGACAGGGGATAGGAGGAGCTGGTGGCAAAGCTCTTTGTTCTCTCCCCCTGTCCTTCTCTCACTAGATATTCATCACAGGATAGGAAGAGGCTCTGAAGACAGAGCCTCCCAAGATGGGGGACTGGGTGGTAGAAGTCCATTTATTCTTTCTTCTTTTTTTCTTTTTTTGAGAGACGGAGTCTCGCTGGAGTGCATTGGTGAGATCTTGGCTCACTGCAAGCTCCGCCTCCCAGGTTCACGCCATTCTCCTGCCTCAGCCTCTCGGGTAGCTGGGACTACAGGTGCCCGCCACCACGCCCCGCTAAATTTTCTTTTGTATTTTTAGTAGAGAGGGGGTTTCACCGTGTTAGCCAGGGTGGTCTCGATCTCCTGACCTCGTGATCTGCCCGCCTCGGCCTCCCACAGTGCTGGGATTACAGGCGTGAGCCACTGCCCCCGGCCAGGAGTCCATCTATTCTTCCAAAAGTATAACCAAGGCATTAACAATCCCCTCCCCAAACGCAGGGCTTCTGAGGTTGGCCACAGGAGGACAAGAAGACAGACAGTGAAGAGCTGAGATGGGGACCCTGCCTGCTGGGCCATGAAGGCAAAGTTCAGTCTCTGAGGACTCCTCCCCTGGCATATAAAGCAAGACTGCCACAACCTGGGTCTAGCTGGAAAAGCTCTATCAAGGGTGAAGGCCTGGCTTTGAGGGGCCCATGGTGGAGAGGTCTCAGCTTTGAGGGGCCCATGGTGGAGAGGTCTCAGCTTTGAGGGGCCCATGGTGGAGAAGTCTCATTTGAACTTTGGTTCAAATTCCAGGCAAGAGCAGCCCAAAGGGTGCCAGTACCCAGGGCAAGGGTAACAGTAAGGCCAGGATCAGCATATTCCTGGGGGTAGAGAAAACCCAGGGACGGTGCGTAGACCTGCCATACAGCTTTAAACCCCTGAAGGCCACAAACAGTTGGGAAAAGAAAGTATCAAAGAGAAGCACTAACACAGGAGACAAATGAGCTGCCTTGTTAGTCGTGCTCGGTTCTCCCTCTTTGTAGGCAGGGGCAGGATGCAAGGAGGTGGGGGAAGCCCAGAGCCCCTGACAGAAAATGCATATGACCAGGCATCATCCCCTAACTTTGCTTGGCAAAACACTCCAACATACACCTGCGGCAGCCTGGGCCCCAGTTCTGAGTGAGAGGCCAGAGCTGGCTGTGCACTGGAAGCTGGCATGGCCAAGACAATGAAGAACTGCAGAGGGCGGTGGTCAGAGACTACGGAGCTGTTCACTTCCTACCATTCAACCCAAAGCACAGGGGCTGGCAAGTAAGGTGCCAGACAAGTTCTGTCCCTCACCAGGTACTCCTGCAACCCATCCCCACCCAGCGGGCCCAGGTTTTTCAGCTTAATTTCCCCACTGCTATTGCTGTTCACACTCATTCTACAGAGGAACTGAGAGCAGTCCCTGCTGTGCCAGGATTTAACCCTGAAAGTCTCAAGCCTGAGGGCTCCCAGGGATTCCTGAATCTTTCCCTGTTAGCTCCCATGGCCTTGGGCCAGTGGGTGGGGTCACTGGACACCTCCTCTCCAGAGATATGCTGCATTAATTGAGAAAGAGTGCTCAGAAAACCAGGCTGAGGGTGGTGTGGGCAACCTTCACCCCTGAGAAAGGACACGGAAAACTGGAAAGGAGAGGCAGCGTGCCAGGCTTTGCTCTGGCCACGTGCGGGGACTTGCCACTGCTCAGAGACCAGGCCCCGGGCAAGACAGAGTCACAGAAGGCAAACCCATTCATTCCTGAAGCACAGGTGGAGAGCTCCTAAAAAATCCCAGGCATCTGCTAGGCTCCGTAAGTCTCTTTCCTGCTTCTAATCAGGGTGACCACCCGTCCCTGTCTGCTCAGCAGGCTTATTGGCAATGCCGGGCGTGGTGGCTCATGCCCATAATCCCCACACTTTGAGAGGCCCAGGCGGATGGATCATGATGTCAGGAGATCAAGACCATCCTGGCTAATACAGTGAAACCCTGTCTCTAATAAAAATACAAAAAAAAAAATTTAGCCAGGCGTGCTGGCATGAGCCCGTAGTCCCAGCTACTTGGGAGGCTGAAGCAGGAGAATCACTTGAACCCAGGAGGTGGAGGTTGCAGTGAGCCAAGATCGTGCCACTGCACTCCAGCCTGGGCAACAGAGTGAGACTCCATCTCAAAACAACAACAACAACAACAACATCATCCCATTTCTTATAACCCACAGGCCCTTCTCTCATATCCAGGCACCCCTGTGCTGGAGGTGGAGGAGCATGCAACGAGAAGCAGCAGAAGCACATCAGTATCTCCTAGGGAGCCCAGGTCCAGCCCTCCCCAACTCCCAAATGGCCTGGAGATGATGGATAAGTGAACAGACCATGCATTTGAGCACGGGCCAAAGCCCCTCAACAGGCCCCAAGTTACCAGAGGGGCTAGGCCTGGGAACGGCTGGGAGCCAAGGTGGAGATCACCTGGGCTTGTCGTCTTTGAGGATAAGGACACAGTACAGAGTAAGGAGAAGGCGGCTGGGAAAGACAGCACAGGGAGGTGCTGTCAGGCCTGGCTACTGGAAGCGTTCTTAGCAGGGGGATGATTGGCCACCCCTGACCTCCAGCTGGCTGGGAGACTGGCTGCATGGGCAGATGGTCCTCAGATCTTTGGATAGTTGTCCCCACTCAGTCTTCCCCTCTCAACACACAGAAGTCCCAAGCAGAGAGAGGTGGGAAGGGAGTCAGTGCCTTGACTACACAGCTTCCACTTTCAGGAGTCTGAGCCCAGAACCTTTGAGAATCTGTTCCCTGTGGACTAATCTTGCTCTTTAACCTCTCATTCAGCTTTCCAGTCCCTCAGGGACACCCACTACTCCCCTGGGGGGTAGGGTGCTGACGATCCCAGGAAGCGTCTGAATCACAGGGTGCGAGTCACATTTCCAAATCCAGCAGAACAGCCTCCTGCTAGACTCCCTAAAATCTGCCAAATCCCCTGTCACTCGCTAAAAACACCCAAGGCCATCAAAAGCACGTCGCAAAATAGCTCCTAGCTTTCCTGTGGTGCAAAGTCCAGCCACTCGGCATCTTAAGGAGAGGCTGGGGTCTCTGCTGCCTGCCTCTCGCTGCACTCCATTCTGGGGAGAGCATGTGTGAGTCATGCTTTGAAGTCAGATGAAGAAACAAGAAGCTCGGCTGCAACTTTTTCCCTGGGGTGGGGCTGGGTGGAGGGGCTACAAGCCTGCCAGGGCCCCTCCAAACCACAAGGGATGGCCCAGCTACAGGGCTGGTTGGGGAGAGGGGATCCCAGCAAAGTGGTAGGCTTGGTTCCCCTCTCCCAGCCCCACCAATCCTCCTGCTGCCCCTCCCAATTACGCACTATCCACCCAGAAACTTTCAACCACTGCTAGGGCACAAGGTGCGCTGGGTTCTCTCAGCACTATCCCCTCCTCTCTGGGAAGCTCTGTCCTCCCAGACACGGGTGGTCCATGCCCTCTTGGGAAGGTCTCTAGGAGGGATTCCCAGGACACTTTCCTGACACTAAAAGATGTCAAGAAAGCTCTCACTGGAGAAAACCAGTCTGATTGTCTCCAGCTCTGACACAGCTGCCAGGAAGGATAGTGGCTGGCTGGTGGACATCCAGGCCAAAGACCCAGAGAACCACAGGTTGAATCCCAAATCCTCAGAAGTGTACTCTAAAGACAGTAAACAGGCCACCTTCACCTCAGGGGCATCAGGATCTCAAAATCGAGGGGGAGGTCAGGCCCAGCTAAACTGTCATAGTAGGGTCTGAGTGTAGTCATCTCCACAGAAGCAGAAAGGGACAGACAGATGCCCTGCTCTGGCCCTCAAGCTGCAGCAGCACCATACAGCAACCCCACCAGCACAAGCAGAGCACAACCAAGGTGCTTCATGCCGGGCTGAAGGTTCAAGGGAGAGTCAGAGGCCCAGGGGAGCACGGGGTGCTGGCACTGCTCTGGGGAAACAAGGGTGAGGGCCTGGAAGGGCAGGTCACAGCCCAGATCACTCCCACAAGCAGAGGCTGCCTGGGGCAGGAAGTGGCCCTCAGTTGTGGTTGCTGCTCTCCCCTTACCCACCCAGCTCTGGGTTGCACCCCGCACACCATCCTGAGGGTTTCAGGACTACACTTTAAATTTTGCTTTTCAGGCTTCTTTGGTTTTTCTTTTTTGTTGTTTTTTGTTTTTGTCTGAGACAGGGTCTTGCTTTGTTGCTCAGGCTGGAGTGCAGTGGCGCAATCATGGATCATGGTAGCCTCGAACTCCCAGACTCAAGTGATCCTTCCACCTCAGCCTCCCCAGTAACTGAGACTATAAGCGCGTGACACCATGCCCAGGTAATTTGGTAGAGACAGGCTGCAGGGGGTTGGGGGGGGCCGGGGGTAGAGGGCCTCACTATGTTGTCCAGGCTGGTCTCAAACTCCTAGGCTCACGTAATCCTTCCACCTTGGCCTCCCACAGTGCTGGGATTACAGGCATGAGCCACCATACCTAGCCCGGTTTATTTTTAATGAGAGGGAGGGATTCAGGGGAGCCTTAGATAAGGGTAGATCAGGTCATCTGGGTGAGGGCTGGGAAGGACCCTGCCCCATTAGAAGCCACCTCCTTCCAATTACAGCTAAAACCACAACTGGAGCTGAGTTAAGCATTGTCCTCCTCTGCATTCTCTCTTGGAATAACCCCTCCCATCCATGAAAGGAATAAAACACTTGTCATGAGCACTGAATTTCTTGAATCTTCTATCAGAGAAGAAATGTGGCAAGAGCACAAAACTAGGCTCCTTTTCACTTAAAGTTAGTTGCTGTTACTTTATGGAGAAACAGGTGAAGCTGCTGAAATTCTTATGGTAAAGCCAGGTAAAGACACAGCTGGTAGTGAATCTCTTAAAGAGCTGGTACAGCAGAAAGAACCAAAGCATTGAGTCAGACCTAGATTTAAATGCTCTGTCCCTCCTGAGCAATGTATTTAGCTTTTCCAAACTCCAGATCCCTCATCTAAGATGGATATACCAAAAAGAGTCTTCCTTAGGAGCGGTGGTAAGCAGAGGCAGGCAGGCCAACCTCCCCCATCCTTCCAACCCGACAGAGGAGGGCAGCTGGCCCTGGCTGGCCATTCCCCACAGCAGGAGCCCGGGACAGATTCCTCCTACCCCAGTGAGAAATCTGAAAACCCAAGCTTGCACCTGAACTTTGCTCTGCCACTATTCCACTAAAAACACCTAAGTGCCCACCCCAAGGAAAGATAATGATGATGACACTCCTTTTCCCTTGCAGGACCCAGTGTGGGGTGAGTTGTGGGGGGTTCAGTTTACAACTCAGCAAGAGGGCCGGGTGTAGTCATCTCCATAGAAGCAGAAAGGGACAGACAGATGCCCTGCTCTGGCCCTCAAGCTGCAGCAGCACCATACAGCAACCCCACCAGCACGAGCAGAGCACAACCAAGGTGCTTCACGCCGGGCTGAAGGTTCAAGGGAGAGTCAGAGGCCCAGGGGAGCACGGGGTGCTGGCACTGCTCTGGGGAAACAAGGGTGAGGGCCTGGAAGGGCAGGTCACAGCCCAGATCACTCCCACAAGCAGAGGCTGCCTGGGACAGGAAGTGGCCCTCAGTTGTGGGCCACAACTGAGCAAGAGGGCCGGGGCAGAAACTATCCCAACAGACCCTGAACAACAGCTCTGTGTCTCTGAGAAATACTCAACTCTACAGTGAAAGGCCAAGTTCCTCAGATGCTAACGGCAGGGCTAGACCCACAACGTGAGGTCAGAAGGTGTGCGTCCTGCCTGTCTGTGCCACCTGAATGAGGCTTCAGTGGAGGCACCCATGCAGAGCAGAAGTCTCAGCTCCACAGCACAAAGTTGCAAGGAGCACTGTCCTCAAAGAGAGAGAGAGAGCAGGGGCCTCAGCCACCAGCCCTGCCTCCTCAGTGCCCATACAGCCTCACTTGCTGCGGGCACTCAATTCATTCTGTAACCAGACTGGGAGCCTAAAAACACCTGGGCAAGAAGCACGAAGTGCAGCTGAAAGGAATTGGCCTGATCCATCTGGACACAGGCTTGCTTTTAGACTGCCCTCGGGTCTGGTGGCAGGGGCTGAGGACAAGAGAAACAAGAGTATACCTCTCATATCTAGAAGTTGCTATACAACACACAGATCCCTGAGTGAGGAGAGTGGGCAGAGAGCATTGTGTTTTAATCATACCAGTGTTCTGCCTTACGAACTTTAACCTGACAAATTAGAAGGTAATCACATGCAATAAAAAACTAGTCTTTAGAGGCTTTCTTAAAAGGCACATGTCCCTACTTTAGGCAACGTGCCTTCCCCCAGCTTCTTCCCAGTACACAACTCATGTGTGCATAAGGTAGACCTGCATCCACAGGTGCTAGCCCAGCTAAGCCTGCCCCTCATTCTCAGGCACACAGCACCTCTTGTGACCTTTGCCCATTCAGCCAACATTTGCTGGCCCCCCCACAGCAGAGGGAGACCCATGTGGGGCTGGAAGCCACTTCATGCCACTGCTAATCCTGTGTGGCCTTAGTCAATGGCTTGAACTCTGAGTCTTGGTTTCCTTGTCTACACAGCAAGGTTGCTGTGAGGATTAAGTTAAAGAAGAATGTGTGTAAAGTGCCTAGCAGAGTTCCTGGAATACAGCAGGTTCTCAATACAAGCTCATTTGTTTTCTCTTTCCCCTACAAGCACCAGACTAAGTGCTGGAAAAAAATGCAAAAGACTAAGAGTTGGAGCATGGGCTAGCAGGAAGACAGAACAAGATAGTGTGACAAGGGCTATAATGGACTGCTCAGAGCTTGGCTGAGGGGTCCCCCCAAGGCAGCTTCTCAGAGGGTACATATGAGCCAGGCATTTAGACACTTACTGAGGGCCTACTTTATGCCACGTGTACCGTGGGAACAAAAGCCCAGTAGGGAGTGGGCAGCACTCTGAGAAATTCATTTCATAAATGTTTGGATGCAGGAAAGGGTGACAAACAAAAGCTAAAGTTTTTTTTTTTTTTTTTTTTTTTTTTTGAGATGGAGTTTATGCTCTTGTTGCCCAGGCTGGAGTGCAATGGCGTGATCTCGGCTCACTGCAACCTCCGCCTCCTGGGTTCAAGTGATTCTCCTGCCTCAGCAGGAGTATCCCGAGTAGCTGGGATTACAGTCACCCACCACCACGCCCAGCTAATTTTTGTATTTTTAGCAGAGACGGGTTTTCACCATGTTGGCCAGGCTGGTCTCAAACTCCTGACCTCAAGGGATCTGCCTGCCTCGGATTCCCAAAGTGTTAGGATTACAAATGTGAGCCACTGAGCCCGGCCCAAAAGCTAAAGTCTTAAAGCAGGAAACAAATGCAACTTTTCCCAGACTCGCCCCTATTAGCTCCATGTAGGATGACTCCAGGCAGGGGTTGGGGGGCACCCCTTAACTCTGGGCTAAGGCTCCCTCAGACCCTCCCATCCAGATGCCATACTGCCCAGGATCAGCCAGAGGCAAACCTACACCTGCAGCAAAACCCATTTGCTCTGAGCAGCTAACAATGTGGGAGAAATAAAACAGGAATAAAACAGGGGACAGGGCACCCCAAAGCTCAGCAACAGGCCTCAGCAGAACCAGGGAAAACCTTGTGCTACTGATGCACCATTCTTCAAAAAACATGAACAGCTCACCAGCCTTCTCCAAGCACCTGCCCAGGAATGGCAAAGAACGAGTGTTGGTTCAACCACCAGGACATTACATGGACCAACAACTTAGATTTCTAAAATGGCTTGCCAAGACTACAGGTGCTAGCTCTAGTCCTGAACAGAAACTAGCCAGCCAGGCCAAGATGGAGCTCTGCCTCCAGCCTCCTCAGCAGAGCACTAACCTCCTGAATGAACCAGCTGTGAGGAACAAGATCCAAGACCAGGCCTCCCCCACACTCCACTAGCAGGAGCAGAATCGCAAGGCAGATCGTATCAGAGTTATGGGCACCCTACCCAAATATCACTCACTTAACTAGTTAAGTGGCTAGTGCCACCTCCAATAGGATGCCAGCCCTATGGGGACAGGTAGGCTCTGCCTTCCTTAACAGTAAATCCCACCCACATGACTTAATAAGAGCTTGGTAAGAATAAATGAAGATCTGGCTGTCCACCTGCCCCACCCTGTGTAAAATCTTTATCCTAGACTTAGAGCACCACTTGGAGCTCAAGACAAGAGCCCTCTGACCTCCAAACTCTCCTCCATCCCCAGGAGTCCACTGTGCATCTTCAATTTAATCCACAGTGCAACAAGGTTACAATAGGAAATCTCTTGTATTTTCATGGCACAACCCTCCTTCATTACCATCAATTTTCATTTTCTTTTTTTTTTTTTTTTTTGAGACAGGGTCTTGCTCTGTCACCCAGGCTGCAGTAGTAGGGCAGTGGCACAATTATAGCTCACTGTAGCCTCGAATTCCTGGGCTCAAACAATCCTCCTACCTCAGCCTCCCGAGTAGTTGGGACTACAGGCCTACACCACCATGCCTGGCTAATTTTTAAATTTATTTTTATTTTTGTAGAGACAAGGTCTCACTATGTTGCCCAGGCTGGTCTCAAAGTCCTAGCCTCAAGTGATCCTCCCATTTCAGCATCCCAAAGTGCTGGGATTACAGGCATGAGTCACCATGCCTGGCCTCATCCTCCTCCTTCTCTCTCCCAAGTTGCCCAGCTACCTCTGGAAAGCATTCCACTGGCTGTGGCTGCCCCTAAACCATTAAGCAAGTGAATGTAGTACTACAGACACTTGTATCAAGACAAAGAATGTCACAGATAGGTGAAATCAGGAGCAAAGAACTAAAGTTAGCATTATCAGTCCCCAGACACCCTAAGTGTGCAGGGTTGGAAATTTCTGATTCACTGCAGAGGTGACTACTGTAAAAGGATGGTCAATGTTTGTCAAGCACTCACTATGCACCTGGCAAGGTCCTAAGCACACTACATTCACTATCTCATTTATCTTCCCAACAGCCTTATGAGCTAGTTGTTACCATTTCATCCTAACAAGGAAAAAAAACAGGTACAAAGAGTTAAAAGGAAGGCTGGGCGCGGTGGCTCACGCCTGTAATCCCAGCACTTTGGGAGGCCGAGGTGGGTGGATCACCTGAGGTTGGGAGTTCAAGGCCAGCCTGACCAACATGGAGAAAATACAAAAATTAGCCGTCTCTACTAAAAATACAAAAATTAGCTGGGCGTGGTGGCACATACCTGTAATCCCAGCTACCTGGAAGGCAGAGGTTGCGATGAGCCGAGATCACACCACTGCACTCCAGCCTGGGCAACAAGAGTGAACCTCCGTCTCAAAAAAAAAAAAAAAAAGAGTTAAAAGGAGATGCTGGGTGGGCGTGGTGGCTCACACCTGTAACCTAGAATTCCTGTGCTGTGGGAGGCCAGGAGTTAAAAGACCAGCCTGGGCAATACAGTGAGACCCTGTCTCTACAAAAATAAAAAATTAGTCGGGCATGGTGGTGTGTGCCTGTAGTCCCAGCTACTTAGGAGGCTGAGGTGGGAGGATCACTTGAGCCCGGTAGGTGGAAGCTGTAATGAACCATGATCATGCCATTGTACTCTGGACTCGGTGACAGAGCTGGCTCTTAAAAAATAAAAAGTTGCTAGGATTGAGGACAGAGGTGAGCCATCCTGGCATCTACACCAAGGCCCACACTTCCTGCACTGCAACACACTGCCTCTACTTAGGGCATCACAGGATGGCTGCTGGATCACAGACCAAGATGCAAGATAACTTGCACGTTCAGTTTTATTTTTCTGTGCTTTAATTATTGGCATTACCACACATTATTAGTTTTCCCACCACAGAGGAACTGAAGATGTACTCCAATTAAATGGCATCTATGGGCTAGAACGTAAATACAATTAAAAAAATTTTTTTTGAAAGAAACTTTTTTTTTTTTTTGAGATGGAGTCTTGCTCTGTCATCCAGGCTAGAGTGCAGTGGCGCAATCTCGGCTCACTGCAACCTCCACCTCCCAGGTTCAAGCGATTCTCCTGCCTCAGCCTCCTGAGTTGCTGGGACTACAGGCGCATACCACCATGCCCGGCTAATTTTTGTATTTTTAGTAGAGACAGGGTTTCACCATGTTGGCCAGGATGGTCTCGATCTCCTGACCTCGTGATCCGCCTGCCTCCCAAAGTGCTGGGATTATAGGCGTGAGCCACCGCACCTGGCCGAAACAAACATTTTATATCCTAGAAAAGGGTGACATGCTAAGAAGTCTGGGCTAAATAAATAAATGAATAAATGAGAGAGCTTCAAAGATACGTTGTCCTGATTTTATAGTAAATCCAGAAAAAGGTAACCCCCAACCATGCATCTACCCAATACCTCTTGTCTCAGGTGAAATTCCCTGCCTCCAGCCCAGACTGCAATGAAGACTAAAAACTGGTCATCATGCTCTAAACTGTCATCTTAACATGCAAAGACATATTAACTGCCCCTTGTCTACCTCCCTCTGGGCCAAATAAATTCAAGTCCTTTCAATTTCTCTGGAAATCATCTCTCAGTTATTCAATCATTTTTATTTTTATTTATTTATTTATTTATTTATTTATTTATTTATTTATTTATTTATTTATTCTGGAGACAGAGTCTTGCTCTGTCGCCCAGACTGGAGTGCACTGGCGCGATCTGCAACCTCTGTCTCCTGGGTTCAAACAATTCTCCTGTCTCAGCCTCCTGAGTAGCTGGAATTACAGGTGTATGCTACCAGACCCGGCTCATTTTTGTATTTTTAGTAGAGACGGGGTTTCAGCATGTTGGCCAGGGTGGTCTTGAACTCCTGACCTCAAGTGATCCACCCGCCTCAGCCTCCCAAAGTGCTGGGATTAAAGGTGTGAGCCACGGCACCTGGCCTCAATCATTTTTATAATTCTTTTTTACATTCTAGCCAATGTGGAAACCCCTCCAGGCACAAAGCAGGAGACACCCCTCACTACTGAGGAAGGCCCTGCTGGCCCTGACTATGGTGGAAACGTGACTTCACCCCTCCTTCTGGCATACTTGTTAGGATCTCCTGGCATCAAGCGGCACCCTAATAATACCTTTCCCACGATTTCTACATAGGTCCTCTAAAAAACAGTAATTCACCTTTAAACCACCTGGCCACATGAGAATGTGATTAACAATTATTCCTAAACATTGTGGACAGGTAACCAGAGTTGGAAAAGGGTCTGTGTGGGCTGCCCCTCTCCACTGCACGCAGGAAGCTGAAAAAGCTGCACTGATGGAGGCTAGGAGTCCCCAAAAGGCATTGGAGATGGAATAAAAGTAGGAGCCATCAACAGCACTCCAGGTGAGATCCCTGGGGTCAAGAGAACGGCAGAAAGACAGGTCCCATCCTCCTTACCCAAAGACAGGAGGTCAAAGCACCTCTTTTCCCCAAACCCACTGGAAAAGGAACACATGCAAGAAAAAATATTGAGACCCAAGTTCCTGCCTGACATTGGTAACAAGACTAAGAAATCACCTGTTTTTTTTCATTCAGCTAACTTGGTCATAGTGCTTAGAAATAAGTTCCCAATTCAAATCAGCGAGGCTGAGAGACAAACCCCTTTTTTTCTCCTGGTGGATTGGGCCTGCAGAGGATCTTAAAAGACAATGTTATTTTTTTGTGTTGGGGGGACACTGAGTCAAGTGAATAACCATCCTTGCAGGTGTTTCCCACTGGGAAAAATGAAATCTGATGACCCCACTCCCACCCACAGGGACACAACACAAAGTCCTGGATGTGACTGTACTCCAGGGCCTGCTTACCAAGTCACCTGGGGCAGGACACCAACACCCCTGTTGGAACCCCAGGGCTGGGCCGGTGTTCAGTGAGGGTGCTTGTCAGGCCGTCTGGCCCTGAGCAGACCACGTGCAGCCTCACTGCTGCTGGTGCTCTTTCTCCTCCTCCTTTTTAGCCATTTTACTGATCATTAGTGGCAGTACCAGGAGGTGGGCAGGGGAACATAAAGGAGCTGAAATTCAAACCAGCCCATTTTACACCACTTAGGTGCCTCCCATAAAACCGGGCAAGATTTCATCATCCAAGAACTCCCTGTCCTCTGTCCTGTGGAGGTCTAAGCAGCCTGAGGGGTCAGGAGCTACACCATCTCCAGACCCCAGGATCAGGAGCCTCTATCTCTAATTATCATGAGCTCTTGACTGCGCATGGTATTTTCTGTCACTTCAGGGTTAACAGGCATTTCCAGCCATGAGCTGGCCCATCAAGTCAACGCCAGGAAACCTGCAGAGTGGGAGTGCTGGGGCTGCCCTCAGAACCGAAGCACACTCTCCTTGTCCCTCCAAAGTCCCCAGCACAATGGCAAGTTCACAAAGGAAGTGAGCCTTGCCAGACTGTGCTAGCAAATTCCCATAAATACTTGGGTCGGGGTAGTACTGCTTATGTAAAATGCTTCCCCATTGAGAGATGCTGCTTTATTTACATTCTTCACAACCCATTCATAAAAAGGAGGCCCTTTAATGTCGGGGCTGTTCGTATAATGCTCCATAAACTCGGCAGCTTCGCCTGGCAGCCTTAGTTCAACACAGGCTACTTCTCAACTCCAGAGACTTTTTTTCCTTAAGGTTTTTATTCTCCTTAATGACTCACCTTGCGACAGGGTGCTGAGGCCAGATGTTGCCGGAGCAAGGCCAAGAGGAATAAGAACAGATAAAATGAAAACACACAAGTCCTCCTGGATGCTGGAACAGAGAGGTGAGGAGGAATGAAAATAATTTTGAGAATTCCCCATAGAACTCCAATTTGAAGTATGTATGCTAGGAGGCTGAATTCCTTCCAGGTTTACTAAAACTTCCTTTCTGGATGTCAAATGTGCCCCAACTTATACCTCTAACCAGAGAAGGTGTGAAAGGGTTGTTTTTTTTTTTTTTTTTTTTACCCAAAAGGAGCTCTCTCTAGTTTTTAATTTGCACCGGGGATGAATAAATAAACAGAAATTTTCTCTGTTTCTTGATATAAGTGTTCCAGGGGCTGCTGGCTCCAGAAGGGGCACAATTTGCTCAGAGTGAAGAAACTCAGGCAATCCCCAGAAAGAGAGGAAGGACTGTGTTCTAGGACACACAGCAAACACAGCTAAAGGAGCTGAGAAGAGAGCCCAGGAGATGCATTCTGAGGTAGCTTTTCTCCTGCTACAGTAGAAGGAGGAGAGAAGTAGTAGGGATTTTTTTTTTAATTGACGGGGGAGCGGTCTGCATTGCCATGGCAACTGTGAGGGGTGGCCTTCCCGCGTAGAAGGGAAATGCTGGTCCATTAATCATCAAACTGGGGCACAAAAGGGAGGTTTGGGGGAAAGGGGATGGATGCAGAATATATTTTTTCACTATCTGGCCTCTAACCAGTCACCAGTCCTCTTTCCCGTTTCCCCCATGGTCCAGGGTTGATGGTGAACCAAAACAGAAGCCTGAGAGAGCAGGGATTGTAGCTTTCCTTTATGAGGGGTCCAATGTGGGGCTGATTGTGCCTCTTATGTTGGTGATGCCCCCATAAACACCTCTTCCAAACCAGCCCCAAAAGTCCCATCTATGGGCCAGACCCAGGAGTATTTTTCTTTTCTGTGCTCAGAATTGTGTTTTCTCCCTCATTTGCACCCGGTTTGAGAAGAGATAAAACATGGATTCATTTAGCATGAACAACAAGGAAAACTGCATAAGAGCAGCAAAGCTGGGTAGAAAGAATGGTGGTCCGGTGAGGTAGGAGGAAAACAGGATTACAGCCCTTTTCCAATGTCTATATGGTATCACATAAGCAATCCATAGGACTCTTCACCAGCAGAAATATTAGAAACAGCAGTTAAATTTCCCATTTACAGCACCCCAAACATGCCCTATCCATATGCCTTTGACAGAAAGGGCTGGAAATCTCCAAGGACTCCAATATGAGCATTTCTGGAGAAGCTGAAAGGAAGGTCTCCCCCTTGTTCCTGCCTAACTCAGCAACCAACCACATTTATTCACTCAACAAAAATGATGTGCACAGCACTGTACAAGAAATACCAGAATATTCACACACACACACACACACACAGAGGTTTAACACTCATATTGTTCCTGTCCTTAAGAAATTTCCAACCTACAAAACCACTCAAGAGGATACCACGTTAGAAAATCCAGAGTCATGAGCTCAGGCGGGGATGACTATGTTGGCCTGGAGTGGTCTGAGCAACAACCAGACTAAGGACAAGTGGGATTCAAGTGGGAGTAAAGGAAGGGGAGCGGCAGCAGTGAAGATGCAGGAAGAAAAAATGTGCATGGTATGGCTAGGGAAGAGCTGGAGGGGACACTGTCTAGGGTCAGACTGCAGGGAACGGGGAGCCATTGCAAGTCTGTGAGAAAGGGAGTGACACCGGGAAGGGGTGTTTTAGGAAGAATGACCTGGTAGCTGCATACAGACTGGATCAGAAGGGCCAAAGGAAGCAGGAGGGAAAGGGAGGCTATAACAACAACACAGGCCTGACACGGGGACAGCAGGACAACAGAAAGGAAGAAAGAGAGGGAGATATCAAAAAGAACCTAATCACTGGCTAAACTCTCCGGAGCAAACCCTCCTTAACACCAGATCCGACTGGCATGAGTCTCCTGCCAGGTAAGAGCCCTACCAAAGAGGGAAATGCTATTTGGGCAACTCCCCTTCATATTCCAGTGGCCAGACCACGTCATCCCCTTCTGACTGCCACCAAAAGAAATCACATGCCGTGTAGCCTCACAGAAGGCACAAAGGCCTTGAGATTCATCATCACTCTCTGGATTTTAGACATGCAATTAAATTATCTCAGAACAAACTTTAGCCTCCTGAGTGAGGTAATACCTACCTTTCTCACAAGCCTCAGCTCCATCCAGGCTGGGGTCTAGATCATTCCAGGGAGGTCCATGGGGGGTGGCCATGAATAAACTCCCATGCCCATGCTACCCTCTGAAGTGGCAGACAAGCAGCTTTCCCAGGTGGGATTACAGCCAACCACAGTTGAGAGCGGCTTCTAACCAGCCCTACCTGAGGTGGGACTCGAACTCAGATTCTCAGCAAAATCCACATTCTGAAACAGCCTGAGTTTCCCTGTCCTTATGATCCCAACTCTTCTTTTGGGTGTGGGGTTCACATGGAGGGCATGGGAGCTCTGAATGAGTTTTTCCAAGCAGGTAAACAACATCCAGCTCACAGCTGGTCACCGGGGGAGATGGAGGCACTCACAGCTTAAGCCAGTGGTTCCTAAGCATCCTCCAAGCTGGCCAAGGACAGTGGTGCCCCTCCAAGACATGTGGTCCCTCTGGGCCCTTTTTCTTTTTTTTTGTGGAAGACAGCGAGGTGAAGAGAGTAGGGAGGAAAGTCTCAGGTGGCACAAAGTAAAAGGACTGGAAAGCTTTTTATTTCATTATTAAATTCCTGCCTGGATTTATAAACTCAGCTTCTCATTTTTCTAAGTGGGTACCTTTGTGGCTAAGGAAAAGTGCTGGAGGCAGCTGCGGAGGGCTGGCGGGAGCCCACGGGGTGGGGTGTCTCTTGTCCTAATCAAACTAGTCTTCTGCACTTCTAACACTGTCGACAATGGGCGACTAGGAGATGTCCCAGGTGGGGTTAGACTTCTGCCTGTAGGCAGACTCTGCTTGTTGAAAAACCCCTCATTCTTGACAGGCTCTACAGCGGCTCACTGGGTCTGTCGCCTCGGTGAGTAGCAACCCCGTCGCCACCAGCCAAGGCACATCATGAGCATACACCCCCACCCCGGCCCCTCGGCCCCCGGCAAGTAGACCCCACTTCCCAGAGCCTCGAGGCCAACAGCGAGCGGCTAGAGCGGCAAGCCAGTGCCGCAGCTCCTCCCGGCGGGCGCCCCGGCCCCCGCAGTCCCCGGGGCAGAGTCCGGCCCCGTCGCCCGCCCCTCGGAGTGGGTGCCTCGGACCCGCTCCCCTCCCCGACGCCACCACCTGCGCCCGCTCCGGCGCCGCCTTTGTCCGGCGCTTCACCGCCAAGCGAGCCCCTCGGGCCCGACCTGACCCGGCCCCCAGCCCCAGAAGAGAGGCGGCGGAGCGAGCAGGGCAAGACCAGGCCGGGCCGCGAGCACAGGGTCCCGCTGTCACTTGGAGGCGGTCTGACAACTTCGATTCCCCCCGCCACACCTCGGACTCGGCCGCCGCCCCGCAAGGTCCCCGCAGGGCCTCCCGCGGCCCACACTCGCTTTTCGAACCGGTCCCCTTCCGTCTTCGGCGCCTCCCTTCCTCTCAGCCCGATCGAGTCGGGTCTACACTACTCCCCCCTGCCGCCCCCGGCCCGGCGCGGCCCTCATCCCCTGCCCCCCATCCAGCAATAACCGGTCAGCTCCCAGCGCGGGAGGGCGCCCCCCACCCTGAGCGGGCGATCCCGCGGCGCCGCCCCCGGCCGCGGCCCCTTGCCTCGGGGACCGCGATGGGGGAGGGGGCGCGGCGGGGGCCTCGCCGCCCGCGCACTCGGAGGCGAGCCGGCTCCGCCGCGGCGAGGAAAGACCGGCGTCCTCCCGCCCTCCGCAGCTCGGGACGCCCGCGCCGCCGCCGCCCGGCCGAGCTGCCACCCTGCGGCCGCCACCCACCCCGCCCCCGGCCTGCAAGGCGGGCGGCCCCCGGGGGCTGTCACCTCGAGGCGCGCCGCGTTCCCCGATGGCGGGACCGTGGTGCCGGACCCAGGGGAGGGAGGTGGCGCGAGCGGGCGGGCGGCCGCACCTGCTTCGCGTCGTCCGTCCGTCCGTCCCTTCCCGGGCTGGCGGGGGCGGTGGCGCGGCGCGCTCGGTGGGGCGCGCTGACGGGCGGCCGGTGCTCTCCCCCTTCGCTCTTCTGCCTACCTCGCTCGCTCCCTCCCTCCAGCTCGCCCCTTCCCCCTCCTCGACCCCGGCCCCTGACTCACCAGAACGGGCGGCGCGGACGGCGCGGCTCTGGGCGCCCGCAGGCCCCGGCCGGGCTGGAATCCGGCGGCTGGAACCCCCCGGGGGCGCTCAATTCCCGGGCTCCACGCTGCTGCGTCAGCGCCTCCTCCTGGGGGCCGGGGCCGGGCGGGCGGAGCGGGGACCGCGGCCGGGCGGGGCCGTCGGGGGGGGCGGGCGCGCCTGGCCGGGGCGGGCGGACGGCGGGGGCCGGACGGGCGGGGCAGGCAGCCGGACGGGCGGGCGGCGGGGGCCGGGCTCCGGGATCCGCTACGCCGCTCGCGGTTCCCCCACAAACTCCCCGAGAGCGGAGCCTCCGCCGCCCTCCTTCCTGCTTCCTCGTCCCCAGCCAATCAGCAGCGCGCCCCTCGGCCAGCTCCGCCAATCAGCCGCCCCGCCCTGCGCTGGCTCCGCCAGCCAATCCGGCCCTCGGCTCCCCCTCCCGGTCTCTGACCAATCAGAACCGTGGGTCGGTCGTCCCAACGCAGGGGGCAGCACGAGGCGGCCGGGGGAGGCGGTGCGGGGAGTGGTGGGGCCTTGGGGGAGGGGTGCCGTGCCAAGGGTGGTGGCAAGGGGTGATTTTCTTTGCCGGCTTCTTGGATTTTTCTCTTCGTCTTCAGAACCTGAGCCCGTATCCCACGGTGACTCGACCCCAATCTCCCAGCTGCTAGCCCCCCCGGAAAAATCTTATCTCCCCCCGCCCTGGCCATCACCCCTCCGCATCCCCTTTCCCCCAAATCCTCCCCAGCACGCGCTGGAGAAAACTGCGGGCCGAGGAACACCCCATCCTCGCCGGAGGCTGCTGCCCCCAGGGCAAAGCTTCAGGAAGACCAGCCGAAAATCAAGCGAGAACAACCCCCCTTTCCTGCAGAAAGGGCCCCAGACTCCTGCAAAAGGGCCCCGACTGCTGAGAAGCCCCTCCCGCCCTTGCCTCATCTTTCCGACTTCCCTGCCTGCCACGTCTCCTTTCCTTTCCAGCAAGGTCGGTCCTGGCTCGGTAACCCCTCACCCGCATCTCTTTTTCCTCTTTCTGCCCTTCACCTACCGCCCCCAACCCCAGCTCCTAATTCACCCTCTTCAGAAGCAGAGTGTGGAGCCCTCATCCATTTCCAGCTGACAGCAGAGCCTGGTCTGTGAGTCCTTGACACCCACACACCCTCTTCCACCACCGCGGGGAACATCAGAGCTCTCCGGGGGAGGGAGAAAGGGGCGGGCAGCCTGACAGGAGCGGCTGGACTCCCTCCCTCGCGTCCCCAAGCTACGGGAGAACCAAGTGTAGACACTTACCTGGCTTCCCCCTAGTCACCAAATGCTGTGGCTCCGTCTCTCACCCCCACAGACGTGCCCTCCCAAGCCCGAGCACGCTCGCGGGGTCAGTGGGGTGGGTGGGCACAGCAGGCTAAGGGCACAGAGAGAGATGGGAAGTCCCTGTTAGGTGCGGGAAGGAGCTGTGTCTTGGGCACCTGGTGGTGCCAGAGCCCGCCTAGGACTTCACTAAGCCCGGGATATGCACACAGTAGGTTCTCGAGAAATGCTGAGTTCACCCCTGAACAAAGCCTCATTCCCAATTCAGGCGGGGGAGGGGAGCTTTAGGAGGTAAAAGGAGCAGCGGCAGAAAGGGTAGTGTCAAGTCACCAGAGCGCTGGAGCAGCCCAGGGAGGGGCTGGGCCCCAGGAACGCCTTGGGCAGAGAGAGGCACCCAGAGTGCTGAGGCTGCCCAGGCAAGCAAGGAAAACCCAGCCTTGGAGTGTGGCCCAGGGGCTTCGGAGGGGCTCCTCCTGCACCACACACAGCGCCCAGCCTTTCCTAGACCTTGGGACTCCAGCGCTCACCCAGGCAGCCTTTTAAGACAATCAGGGCTGCTAGCCAATATGGCTGGGAAACAACCTCCCCCAGAAGCAGTTCCCCATCTGCCTCCAGAGCTGTCCAGGGGGCCCAGACTGTCTTAGCTGTTTGGGGGGACACACTTAAAGGAGGGGCCCCCTCAGCAGGGAAAGTGTGTGAATGGAAGCTAAAAGCTAAAACTGTGGCACGGAAATGTCTCGAAGGTCCAGGTTCTCCCACTGCCACTTCTCCCACCTCCCACCCTTGGGGAAAGCAAAACCCCAAAGCTGTAAAAGTAGGACGCTGAAAGATTTCTCCCCTTCCTGGACAGGACAGAGGTTCCCGGCAGCGCCCCCCCAACACACACCAGGCCAGCCCTACTCCCCACCTCACAGAATTCCCCCTCTCCCTGTCCCAGTCTGGCCCATAGGCAAATTAACCCCACGGTGGCCCCCACTCGTCAGAGATTGGTGGTGGAGGGTACAGCAGTGGTGGCCACGGGGGCAGAGCCATGCTACAGGCCAAGACAGAAGAGAGGCCGGGCTCCTGTCTGCAGCCCAGGCGGCGCTGACCTTGGCAGCCACTTCAGGCCTGATAATGGGCAGGGATGGAGGCCGGGAGGGCCAGAAGAGGAATGTACCTGGTGGCAGGGAAGGAGACCTAAGTGGCAGGAAGCCCACGTTCAGCCGAGGAAATGGCAGCAGGACGAGGTGGCAGGATTGGGTGTCTTCCTGGTGTTGGCATTAGAGGGCCCTGGGGTGAGCAGGGGAGTGTTGTCTTATCTGGGGTCTCAGTGGGAGGGAAAGGAAGGAATACCAACCGGAGAGGAGGCAGAGTAGTCATGACAGCCCACCAAGTGCCTGCCTGGCCGCTGGAGGAGTTCTCCCCTCAGAGCCTCCAGTGTGGGTGGCGGTGTCCGCTGCCCCAGGAGGCTCTGACTGAGTGGGCTATGGTGCGGGGACACGGGCTGGCTAAAGGCACTAAGTGTTCCTCCTGTGCCAGCTCACTGAGCCACCTCTGTCCCCCCTTCCTCCCTATTGCTTGTTAAAACAAGCCAGCAAAGAATAGGCAGGGGCTACACCCTGCCTGTCCCCCAAAGGGAACTTTTGGCCTCTCCTAGCCTCCTTCACCCAACTTTCAGGGACCTCTGCAACTGGGCCTCCTTCTTTCCCAGTCCAAAGCCCTTCCACAGCTGGAAAGGGCTCCACCTCTTCCTCCTTCCTTCGGTCCTGTAACCTTTCCTGAGTGAATGCTGCCTCCACCCCACTTCACTGGGCAGCTGTGCCAACGCCTGGGGCCCATCACCTTTCCTCTCCCTGGTATGTTTGGCAGCCCAGAGGTCTCCCACTGAAAAAAGGGTTTGGCACTTGGTGTAGAAAGAGGAATGGGTCCATCGGGTCTCCGGAGTCTTTCCCGGGCTGCTGCCAGGCAGGGGCTCTCTCTCCCCAGACACCTCCAGACCCATCGGGAAGGGTTAACTGCCTCAGAGGGAGATGCCCTAGAGTAAAACATCCAGGGCCAGAGAGACCACGCGGCGCACCCTTCCCCCACCACACACAACCAGACTGACAGCCGGGACAGACTGGCTGCTCGGTCATCTCCAGCCCAGCCCCAGCACCTCCCCGCCACTGCCCGCTGCAGTCCCCGAAGACCGCCTGGCCTGAGATCCAACCACCTGGCACCAGGCAGGGCACCCCAACGGCAGTGCAGTCCCTGCAGTGGTGGCAGTGACCACTTTCTCCTCCCTCCAGCCCCTGCCCAGGTCCCACCTTCTTTCCTGGAAGTGGGGCAGCCCCTGTCCCAACCCCCAGAGCACCTGAAGTCTAGGTCCCCACAATACTTACTGAGCCACCCGGCTCCTCAGCCCCACTGGACGAACTGAAGGGCACAGCTCTTTGGGGGAGGGACACCAAGGCAACAATTAAATGCGGCAGCAGCACTTGCCCCCTCCCCCATCATAGGAAGCCCCTGGGGGGTGGGGGAATAAAGAAAGCTGGACTTTTATAGTCCTTTTGCTGTGACCCACTCCCTCTTAAAGGGATTGGAACACCCCTCCTTAAAGGGATCTCCAGAAATTATTTGCCCCCCAGGCAAATCCTAGTGCAGAAGTCTGGTCTTTACCTGCGGGGGCCCTCTTCCCTAGGGATGAGGAGGTAGAAGTGCTCCTCCTGACTCTTGAGCTGGAGGGGCAAGGTACCCTCCTACCACCAAGGAGCCAGCTGTTGAGTGCCCAGTGAGGAACAGGACCTCTCCCTCCCCTGAAGGCAACTACGGCCCCGGCCTTGGGGGTGGGGAGGTCCCGGTGAGGTAGGGACTGTGTGGGACTCAGTCTCCGCACAAGAAGGAACAAGGGGGCTGCATGCGCTCAGACTTTGGGGAACACATGTCCATGGCGCTGTGTCCAAAACCCCCATCTGCCCAGCGCTAGCCTCCAGATTGCCGGCCAGGGGACGTCTTTGCAGTCTGCCTCTCCCCGTAAAAGCTGTTTCTGCATTCTCCTTCCCGCTCTCTGAATCCCGTCTCCTACCCTCTTTGGGGCCCTATGCCTTTCTCTTGGGGTGCATTCTCTGCCCCTCACCCCAGTCGCCTCCTCCGCAGCCCCAACAACTGCGGGCTACACCCTATTTCAGGCTGTCTCCAGACCTAATCGGAGTGTCCCCGGGGTCCTTCTCACCCCGCCCACACCCCCGACTACCGTCAAGTGGTGGGGGATGGGCACCCCCCAGGCTCCCGGGAGCCCAGCAGAGTCGCATCTTAGCCCTTGGGCTCACTTGGTCCCCAGTCTCACCCTGCCTCTGGGACTGCAGAGTTCAAGGAGGGGGTGGGTGTAAGTGGGGGAGGAGGTGTCCGAGGGTACTGCAGCCTGAGAGAGGGACAGAGTCGGAAGTGGGCACTCACTGAGGCCACCCCCCCTCTGCCCCTCCTCCCTTCGCTGGGGGAGGGTCGACGCTGCCGGGGGGAGAGGTTCCCCGGCGCTCAGGAGCCCTCCAAGGCCCCCACCCCTACCACTCCCTAGAGGAAAGACTCCCCCAAGGGCTGGAGCTCCAAGCCCTCCCCCCGGCAGCTGCGGCAGCCTCCGGCTGAGGTCAGGCTCCACCTCCTTTCTCCAGAGGGAGAGCGTGGAGGGTTGTTTGTTGTTGGGGTGTGAGAGAGAGAAGGTTCGAGATCACCTGGCCCGGTGGGCACGGCTCCGGAGCGGGAGCGGGAGCGGGAGCTGGGCCGGGTGGGCTGGCTTGGGCAGGAGCCCGCCGCAAGGGCGAAGGACTCCCCTCGCCCACCCCCAACCCCGGCTCCGAGCCCGCGGCCTGGGCGCCCCCTCGTCGCGCCCCCGCCCGGCTCTCCGGCCCGCGTAGGGTGCCAGGACGCCCCAGGCAGAGGGCCTGCCTTAGGGTTACCACGGGGAGCCAGGCTTTCCTGCTCTCCAGGAGCCTGCAGTCGGAGGCTGGGATGGGCTGGGGCTAGAGAGACAAGTAGACAGAAAACAGAGTGATAACTTTATGACAGCAACACGTAATGGCTGCTGAGGACGAGGGAAGGCTGCCAGGGTCTGCCCCTGGCAAGGGGCTGGGGTGAGGTGCGGGGACGTTCCAAGAAGGGGCTAAGCCGAGAGCGGAGCCTGAAGGAGCAGGCACTCTTCGGGCAGGCTGCCATAGGTAGGGGAAAGATGAGGACACCCCAAGCGCCGAGTACCAGTTTCAGCAAAGGTGCAGAGCTGTGGTATAGGGGTGAGGCAGCAGATGAGGCTGGAGAAGTGGGTAGGGCCACCTAAGCTTTGTAAACCCTGCCAAGGAGCTCTGTCCCAAAGACGTTGGAGAACATAGAAGGATTTTGAGGAAAGGAAGCTTCTGGTCTGAGATCCAAGAGGCGAGTTGGGGGAGCAGCACGCGGGGTGTGAGTTCAGGCAGGAGGATCTTGCATCTCAGTTCCCTCGCAGTGCTCACCTGCTCCAGGGACGTCTGACCTCGGGTCTCGCCCTCCCTCCCAGGTGGGTGTTGGGCGGAAAAGGTCTGCCCTAGGGGAAAGAGAGCCCTCTTTTAGCGCTGTCCACAACCCCAGCGGCTCCTGCCTGCCAACCAGGAGCTCTACCATCTCTTTCCCCGGGGAAGAAATGGAGAGACCCCCATGCTCCACTCCTCCCTCACTCGCTAAGATAGGCAGCCCTCCCAGAATCCGTGTCATTTCCGGAGCAGCAACAAGAAAGACAAACATGGGGACGAGCTTCGCTTCACCCTCCAGGTGCTTTTTCCCCCACCCCAGGTGGTGCACATTTCTCATAAAAACCATATAGGAACAGGGGCAAACGACATCCTATATTGGTTTCTCATTCTCGCCCCAATCTCAGTAGGTATATGCAATTACTATCGCCATTTCACAAATTAGGAAATTGAGGCTTAGGGCCATTAATGCCTGGCCTGAGCCACACAGGCAGGGCTTATACCCTAGCCGGAATTGTACCACTTGCCCAAGCCCCCAACACTGACTTCTGCAAGCTTGGAGAGGCTGACCCCACTGGACTTCTGAGGCCAGGGATGGCCAGGTTCAATAGTAAGGGGTGTGAGGGTGTCAGTGAAGCCTCATGCTATAGCCCTGCCCTTTCCTGTGAGCCTCTTCCCATGACACCGGGAAGCAGATTCCCTGGGGCTTTTCTTTGGGGTCTCCAGCATAGGTCGTGCCCATTCATATTTGTTTATGGATCTCCCAGAGTCCTCCAGAATCCTCATACTCACAGTCCAAGCCTGACTTCCTGGAAAGGTCTCCCGAAGCTCAGGTGAAACTCTCCTGAAGCTCAATTCCACCTTGCTCCCTGCTGCCCTGAACTCTATGCACTCCAAGTTGTCTCCTCCTCACACATTCCTGACCATCTGCTGCTTTGCCCGTAAGTCTTTATTTATAAGATTATAAACCCCTGGAGGGCAGGCCTATGGCTTTAACATCCTCTTTATGGCTTCCTGTGTGTCTAGCACAGTCCTGGCCCCAAGGAAGGATGGCATTCTAGGTCTCTCATAACCTGGCCCCAGGACATACAGCCCTCTACCTCTCCCCTTTCACAGGCACACTTAGGGCTCCCAAACTAATAGCCTTTGAGCAAAAGTAAGCAGGCAGACAAGTTCCATTTAACTGTCTATGGGGCTTTCAAAAAAGATTAAAATTAGGGGCCAATGCTGAAATTTTTGGAGATTCAAAATAAAAATCCAGGTTTACAGTTTCTCTTGAAAAAAATCAGAAGATTTGCTACCCCTGGCGCACATTTTCACTTGCAACAGTAGGTTGGTACTAAGTAGCAAATGCAGTCTGTATGGGGTAGGCATGCTCCAGTTTACCATACTCCCACCTTGCCCATGTGGGGCATTTACGGGACCTGAACCCTGAAGGTTTTCAGGTGTGTGATCCTTGCCCTGCACTGTGGCCACAGAGACATGGATGGGTATCGTGGTGCAGCCCTTTGCAGTGTCTAGTTCACTGGAACCTACTCAGAGAGCCCTGTTGCATTCTCATGCCAATCTCTAATAGTACCTTCATTATTGCCCCAGGAGCAGATGTTTACTGAACACACTCCAAGATCCATGGACCCAGGCTGGAGACGAAAAGGGAAATTAAACATGGTCCAGAGTTTGTGGGCTCTTCTAGGTGACTCCTGAGAACATGGCATGATACCTGGCAAATAGTAGTTGCCTAATAATGCTTGGTGAACTGAATAGTAAACAATTGGTAAATAGAAACTGAATGGATAAATACACAGAGAGGGGAGAATTATTCCAAGAAACATGACATTTCTGTGATGATCTAGGTTTGGGTTGCTTGGGACCTCAGCTTCCAGGGTCACCTCCTTTACTGTTACCAGAACACTTGTCCGCTCAGATATCAACTTGGAGTATGACTTCTCCCCTGAGGAACTCCCAGTGCTGTGGACTGGAAGACCAGGGGTGCATCCACTATGTTGGTTCCTTTATTCCAGACGTACAGACCCCTGGGAAGATGAAGAAATCCAGATCTGGAATGGGCAGTGTATTGAGAGCCTCCAAAGCCGGCAGGAGGTCCAGAGGGGGCAGGTGTCTCTTACAGAAGGCATGAACAGGCACTCAACATACGTTTCTTTATTTAACCCTCAAGAACTCTGGTAGGTAAATGTACTCTCAAATTTACAAACAAATGAGGAAACTGAGACCTGGAGAATCTAAGTAACTGCCCAAGATCACATAGGCTTGGAGTGGCTCCAAAACCTTTGCTTTTTTTTTCATACGGCATTTAACATATAAAATAGAGGTCTAACCCTTTATATGTCTAAAAGCTTTCTTCTTTCTACATTTCACATAGCGTAGTGGTTAAGAATGCAGACTTTCTGAGTACAGTCCTGGCGCTACAGTGTCTTAAAACATATAAAGTACTTAGAATAGTACCTGATGTAGCCACAAGTGCCCCCAGAACATTAGCAATTGTGAATCTATTTCATCATGCCCAAATCTGGCCATGCCTGAAGCCTGCCCTGCTTCCATACTGGAATCAGTCTTCCACCTCTGTTTTGTACTCCTTGTCTCCCATCTGGAGCTCTGACAATGTAGTGCCTGTGGCTGTATTCTGTCCACCCAGCAGTGGGCCCCACTCTGGCTTCAGTCAGGCAGGATGGCTCCCTTTGCTGGGTTTGGAGGAGAGGCCAGCCCCTCTTCCCATGGCTTCTCCATTCCATCCTCCCAAGGCCAGGGCCCTAGCCATTTCCCTCTTCGGGAAAGATTCTCTGTGGCATCCCTAAGCACATTCCTCAAGGTGAGGTAGTTCCATCTCCTACAGGCTCTCAGCCACAGCCACTGACCTCTCTAGTCTTGCAAAACCCAGAGCAGAGGAGAGAATCACCTGTGGTTCTTTTGCCATCTTCACTTAACCTCAGTGAACCCACAGCAAGAGCCAGGACCAGCCCTTTCCAGCAGACACCCTCTGGGGGGACTACAGTCTGGGCCACAAGTATGGTGTTAACCAACCATGGTGCCACCTGTGCTCTGCACTGTGCAGGCACCAAGAAGACTTGGGAGGCCATGCAGACAGCATTGCTTCTGACCTAGGAAAGCTACTCCACCCAGCAGAGGCGTGATCCTCAGAAACTGAAGAGCACATCAAAGAGTGTATGACCTAAGCAAGACTGGGCCAGATGATTAGTAACTGGAAAAGTGACATCAAGACTTAGATATGATAGGCCAGGCGCAGTGGCTCACACCTGTAATTCCAGCACTTTGGGGGGCCGAGGTGGGCGGATCACTTGAGGCCAGGAGTTCAAGACCAGTCTGGCCAATGTGGCAAAACCCTGTCTCTACAGGTGTGGTGACACGCATCTGTAGTTCCAGCTACTCAGGAGGCTGAGGCATAAGAATCGCTTGAACCTGGGGGGTGGAGATTGCAGTGAGCCAAGATGGAACTATTGCACTCCAACCTGGGTGATGGAGTGAGAATCTATCTCAAAAAAAAAAAAAAAAGACTTAGATATGAGAGGCCTGACAATTTTTCCCCTTGATTTGTGAATATTATACTATATTTAAAAATCTAATAAGGGCATTTATAAAAATTACACTTAGTTATATAGACAACAACTCTTCTTTGTTGAAAGGGATTATGGGAAATCAGCAATTGCCTTTTTCATTGCTTCCCTCTGTCAGGGTGTATTCTGTGATAGGTAATGTTCCTGGAGAGATTCCATGAGTTAGGCACTGTGTTAAGCTCTTTACACATAATCTTTTTTTTTTTTTTGAGATGGAGTCTTGCTCTGTAGCCCAGGCTGGAGTGCAGTGGCGTGATCTCAGCTCACTGCAAGCTCTGCCTTCCAAGTTCACACCATTCTCCTGCCTCAGCCTCCCGAGTAGCTGGGACTACAGGCGCCCGCCACTGTGCCCAGCTAATTTTTTGTATTTTTAGTAGAGACGGGGTTTCACCATGTTAGCCAGGCTGGTCTCGGTCTCCTGACCTCGTGATCTGCCTGCCTCGGCCTCCCAAAGTGCTGGGATTACAGGCGTGAGCCACTGCGCCCGGCCTACACATACTCTTAATCCCCAGCCAGTCTTATGAAATAGATAGTGTTATTATTCTCATTTTACTAATGAGAAAACTGAGGCATAGAGAGGTTCGGTAACTTCCCAGGGTCACATTAATAATAGTGGAGCCGGCTGGGCACGGTGGCTCACACCTGTAATCCCAGGTCTCAGGGAGGCAGAGGTGGGAGGATAGCTTGAGCCCAGGAGTTCGAGACCTGTCTGGGCAATAAAGCGAGACCCCGTTCTCCACAAAAAGGAAGAAAAAAAAAGACAAAAAAAAAAAAAGCGTAATAATAGTGGAGCCAGGGTTTACATCCCAGCCTTGTCACTTTTAATGATTTCTCCATCACTTCTTCCTAAATAAGCTTCCCCAAACAATTCTCTACTCTTATGTTTTCCAAATGTCTGTTAGCAACTCATTCAAATTTTACACATGAAGTTGCTGTGAGCAACATTCATCTCACTGTTAGATTGGGGGCAAAATGTTGCAAGTCGATTGTCATATTTCTTTATAAAAAGATATTCCTTTGGCAAAGCCGTTATCAAAAGTACCCTTTCCCTGCCTTCTGCACTCTCTTTGACACTGAAACATCAATATGGTCTTTCAAGAACATCAGATACACTTCAGCCAACTTCCAACTACAAGCAAACTCAGTGTTCTCCCAATGTTTCCACTGTGGGGTGCACTGGCAGTTTTAAGAGTCAAGAACCTTGGACTCATCCTTGGCACCTCCCTCTCCCTCCCAAGCCGCCACCCATAGCTAATCCATCACCACAGCCTGTCATTTACTGGAGTCTCCAGCCTCGAATCTCCTCCCACCTCTGTGATCAACCACAGCCCAGCCTCCCGCATCCACTCTGCCCCAGTCAGAGGGATCTTTCCAAAATAGACTGCCTCATAGCACTCTCCTGCTTAAACCCTTCCGTGACTCCTGCTTACACTCAGCATAAAGATCCAAATCTGGAACTGACTATTGTTGCCGCCCCAGCCAGGAGGCTCCTCTGATCTCATCTCTCGGGCTCAGTCACACTCCGCAACCTGCAATGCTCTCCTCCTAGCAAGCCTGGCAAGCCGGTGATTCCTGGCTAAGATCTGCCTCCCCGGCTAGGCTAGGGTGAAAACCACATCTGCGTCTCCCTGGGTCCTCCTGTTTCTCCATGGCCCACAGGGTACCTGCACATGATAGGTTCTCAGTAACAGCTACTCAGTGATGAATGAATGGCAGAGAAATCAAGCCTTTGCCTGTGCCGCAGCGGCTCTGCACCCTGACTGCTCTGCCAGGTGGCCACAGTGCTAGACTTCCATATTAGCTTAGAAAACTACCTCTTGCAGCCACACTGCGTGCCAGGCTCTGCCTCCCTACCTTTAAACACACCCATCCTGACCCAGTTTGCCTGTTTTCAGGAGTGATCACCAACATTTGTACTTTTTGTGACTTGTACATATTTTTACTATAAAATGTCCTGACCTGATTCATTCAACAACTGGATAACAATTGGTTATGGGTTTGACAAGGAAGACTCATTGAAATCTGGAGGCATAAAAGTTACAGTTCTGGCTTCGGCAGTCCAGATGGCTTCCCTGAGAAGCTAGAGGCTGCGGCCCCAGAACTCTGTTCTTTTAGCTGCCACTAAAAAGATGGAAGAATTTAGTTCAAGGCGAAGCCTTGAGATTCCCCCCTGCCCACTCCTGCCCTCCCAGCTCCAAGGCCGCCCTTGATGTTTTATTTAAATCTGATTTCATCTAGATAAGGTTGGTGGAGGGCGAAGAAGTTATCCTCCCTGCAGCCTGCCCCCGCCCCCTGCTTTGCATTCATTATGCAAGTATTTATTTGGAGGGAGAGGGCCTCCACTGAGCCAAGTGCAAAGTGCTGGGGATACGGCAGCAAACCAGAGACAGGTGGGCGTGTAGATGGGTTAGTGCTCATGCTGGGTCTTAAAGAATGGGTAACATTAAAATTGGAGTAATTGAGATGTCTCATAGTTTTTATGTCTATCTCCCCAACTAACTCGTAAACTTTTTTGGCCCCGTACTGTTACTAGTCTTTGAATCCCTGGCACCCTGGGACATAACAGTCCCTCAGCAAATGCCAGTTCTTAACTGAGCAGGGGATTGGTGGATGTGGGGGCAGGTCACTCGTGTGGGCTGATCCTGGGGTGTGCCAGCTGGGGGACAGGTGCCTAAGTGAGGACGCTGGCCATGCCAGAGCATCCACTGGCAGGGGATGGAGTGGTGGGCCACAGGGGCTTGGCAGACCCTCTGAGGCACAGAGAGATGAAGTTTCCATGGGGCAGCAGGGAAATGAGTTGTATGGCTGTTCCTGGTGAGTGGGCAGGCTGGGCGGAGGGATGGGACTTATCAGAGGAGCTTGTAGTGTAAGATGGCTGAGCCCACAGGAGTGGCCATAGGGAGTTTCCAGCCTTGGGGATGAGGGGAATGCAGAATTGGGACCGGGCTGGGTCCTCATTACTGAGGGAAATGCTGTTGGGATCCACACAATGTGAGCTCTGAGGCAGCTGCAGATGTCCCAGGCAGGGCTGAGGACCCTGCATTTCTCTGCCCGATCCTTCTTTGGGGAGGCCTCACAGTCAGTCCTACAGAGAGATTGTCTTGTTGCCCCTATTGGCAACAGGCTCCACATTCTGGGGCACTTCCAGGGCTCTTGCCCCACCCCCCACAGCCTCTCTCCAGGCTCAGGAGTCCCGAACAGGAGGTTGCAGCCCCCTTGGAGGTGTGGGTGATCAGGTGGGAGGGCAGAAAAACTGCAATACAAAGGTCTCTGACAGCCTGGAGGGCCAGTGAATGGGGCACCTGGATGTGTGTGGCCAGGTTCCAAGCACCTGGGCGGCTTGGCCATGGAAGGAGAAGACTATGGAGGGCCCCCACTTGCTCCTTCACTCTGGAGCCAAGCAGCCTCCTAGGGAGGGAGGGTACCAGGGGAGAGGGAGGTCCCAAAGGCCAGCCTATTTCACAACCACCTGCTTCTCCAGCCTCAAAGGACCGTAGAGTATACTTTGCCCGGGGTACCTGGGAGAGAGGGGCTGGGAAGAGGTACAAGAGGACCTGGAACTGGCTGGATCTCAATATCTAGGTGGTGATTCTGAACTGCTGCCAGCTCCGGGCCTTGGAAGCAGTCTTAGGAAGGGAGAGCAGATCTCAGCTCTCTCAAGCAGTCTCAAGCAGCAGTCATATAAAACCCACAAACAGTCCAGTCTTTTTTTTTTTTTTTTTGACACGGAGTCTCACTCTGTCACCCAGGCTGGAGTGCAGTGGCCAAATCTCGGCTCACTGCAACCTCCGTCTCCCAGGTTCAAGCAATTCTCCTGCCTCAGCCTCCTGAGTAGCTGGCATTACAGGTGCGTGCCACCACACCCAGCCAATTTTTTTATTTTTAGTAAAGACGGGGTTTCACCATGTTGGCCAGGCTGGTCTCAAACTTCTGACCTCAGGTGATCTGCCCGCCTCAGCCTCCCAAAGTGCTGGGATTACAGGCATGAGCCACCGTGCCTGGCAGTCCAGTCTTAATTAGCAACCTTGGACTGGTCTGACTCCCACCCTTCCACTCTGGGCCACTGGTGGGCTTCTGGAAAGAAAGGAGGGGCTGGGCAGGATGCAGGCCAGTTATGAAGGACATCAAGTCTTCCTTCACTACCCTTTTCTCATTTCAGGTTCCTCTTTCCCCCTATTTTAAATCTTAATATATCTTATAGTAAAGTTATCTTAATTTATCTTATAGTAAATTTCATTTAACTATTCTACTTCAACAAGTAAAGAGACCCACTGTATGCCCAGCCCTGGCCAGCCTGCAGCATCAGACAAGACTCAAGTATGAACTAAGGGATTTTGCTACTCTATTCCTGTAAATAGAAAGACTTTGCGGGAGGGGGCAGGTTGTCCTGAAAACACATGTCTTTGTAGAGGTTGCCTCTTGGGAACCCAGGCAGATGTGCAAGGGGACTCTCAAGGCAGGCCAGGCAGGCAGCCCCCAGCGCTGGGCTTATCTCCCACAAGCAGCTGCGTGTTCACGCTCCTTGCCTCTGCTCCTGCAGCGTGTCTGACAGCCTCTCTGAAAGTGTGTGCAGACGTATGCATGTCCATGTGCATGCTCACCCATGTTTGCTCCTGGACGGGCACAAGGCACAAGCTGTGTCTGAATGGATCTGGATCTGGAGCTGTGTCTCTCTCTGCCAGTGCGAGCGTAGCCCTAGTCTTCTTGCTTCCTTCCTTCCTTCTTCTGCCAGCAAGGGCAGCCCTCTGTACTTCCGCCACTGATCCACTGGCCACCTTTGAGGAGCGGAGGTACTGCCTGTGCTGAGATATTCCTGGGCCTGGAATACCTTTTTTTCTTCAAGAAAATTCCCACTTATCTATCCAGCCCTTACTCTCTCGTGTCTTCCAGGGCAAAACTGGAGCATCCGGCTGCCTGGCAGGGTAAATGGAAACGTAATTGTTGCTCTCTGAGGCTGGTCTGTGCTAAATCATTACCATCTCCCCAGCCCGTCGCCCAGTGCATGGGTCTTAGTAGCTTGCCTATAAAGGTTTGTTCAACATGTGGTTTATGGGCCTGGCTGGGGAAGCAGCGATGCACAGATGCACACTTTTGCCATCTGATTTCTCTCCCTTGCTGAAAATAAGCTCATGGGGTTAGCCCTGGGGCTGGCATTCAACTTTTGCCCCAAGTCACCTCTGGTGGCATCATTCTAATAGGCCCACAACTACTTTGGAAAACAGTTTTGAATTATCTAGTAAGGTTGATCAGGTGCATAGCCTACAACAGATAAATTATATTCCTGGGACTATGACTTGAGGAACACTTGCACATCTGTATCAGAAGATACCCACAGGAATGGTTTTTTCTTTTCTTTTTTTTTTTTTGAGACAGTGTATCGCTCTGTTGCCCAGGCTGGAGTGCAATGGTGTGATCTCGGCTCACTGCAACCTCTGCCTCCCAGGTTCTAGCTATTCTTGTGCCTCAGCCTCTAGAGTAGCTGGGATTACAGGCATCCACCACCACACCCGGCTAATTTTTGTATTTTTAGTAGAGATAGGGTTTCACCATGTTGGCCAGGCTTGTTTCAAACTCCTGACCTCAGGTGATCCACCCGCCTCGGCCTCCCAAAGTGCTGGGATTACAGGTATAAGCCACCGCGTCTGGCCAGGAATGTTTTAGAATAGCCCCAAACTGGAAACAGCCCAAATGTCCATCGACAGTAGAATGGACAATTAAATTGTTGTATTTCCACATTATGGAATACTACACAAGAAAAAAAATTGAAGAGATTACAGTCCTGCTCATTAACATGAATGAGGCTGGGCACCGTGGCTCACACTTGTAATCCCAGCACTTTGGGAGGCTGAAGCAGAAGGATGGCTTGAGCTCAGGAGACCAGCCTGGGCAACATAGTGAGACCCTGTCTCTATAACATTTAAGAAAAAAAAAAAAAAATAGCCGGACTGGGCCTTTAATCCCAGCTACTGAAGAGACTGAAGTGGGAGAATCACTTGAGCCCGGGAGGTCAAGGCTGCAGTTAGTCATGACTGCGCCGCTGCACTCCAGCCTGGGTGACAAAGTGAGGCCCTGTCTCAAAAACAATAAAAAATTTAAAAGAGCTGAGCATGGAGGCCACTTTGGGAGGCTGAGGCAGGCAGATCTCTTAAGCCCAGGAGTCTGAGACCAGCCTGGGCGACATGATGAAGCCCCATCTCTACAAAAAATACAAAAAAATTAGCTGAGCTTTATGGCAAATCCCTGTAATCCCAGTTACCTAGGAGGCCCAGGCAGGAAGATGGCTTGAGCCCAAAAGGTTGAGGCTGTAGTGAGCTGTGATCATGAACAGAGTGAGACCCTGTTTCAAAACAAAATGAAAAACAAACAAACAAAAAAACCAAGAAAACAAGAAAACAAAAACTATACAATGATGAGCCAAAAAGCAAGATATGGAAGAATATATATATATATATATATATATATAGTATGAGTCCAGCTATAGAAAGTTTGAAATCAGGCAACCTAAACAATATTGTTCAGGGATCTATACAGAGGCAGGAAGCCATTGAGAAAGGTAAGGGGAGGATTATCACCAAATTCAGGATGGTGGCTCCCCTGGGGAGAATATGTCAAGGAGGGGCACATGGGCTTGGAATACTGTCTTCATTGACCTGCGTGTTGGGTACACAGGAGTTTGTTATTTTTCACACTGCATATGTGCATGTATATACTCTCCCATATATACCATGCATTTCACACAAGAACACAAAGGCTGTGTGGCTCTGCTCTGCCCCTTTCCCCTTCCAGCTCCCATTCTCGTCCTCAGCTAGCAGAGGAGGGTCAGGGTCTTTTAGCACAGCTTCCTTCTGTCTCTGAGTGGGTCAGAGGAGTACGGGGATGAGGGCCTCCCTTCTGCGGCTGGGCTCTGGCCACTCCAGGGTGGGAAGGCCTGGAGAAAACAGGGCCAGGCAAAGCCGGCTGGCCCTGCTGTTTCTGCCAATGCTGGGATTAGGCCAGGGCTCTGGCCCACCTGTCATTTCACTCATTCAGCATGAACATAGCCACTGAGCACTTACTGTGAGCCCCGGGTGCTATTGGGAGAGTTCAGATAAGTGAGAGAGGGTCTTTGACCTCAAAGATCTTACAGAGAGGACCGTATACACAAATAACAGTATACCAGCAAAATGTGAGCTAAGTGTCATGTGACTACTCATCTACTCTTTCAATAAATATTTGTTGTGCACCTATTACATGCCAGGAACTGTGCTGGATGGTGATCATGTAAAGACAGTCAAATCACAGTCCTAGCTCTCAGATTCACAGCCTGCCTAATGCTGGGGAAACTGGAATAAACAACTGTGTGGCAAGCCCATCAGTGCAGATATGCCCAGGGAGAAGGAGAAAGGGGACCCATCCAGGATGGATGAGATGGAGACAGAGGAATGAGGGAAGGTTGGAGAAGAGAGGTCTTCCTGAAGGAGGCAGGCCCTGGCCTGAGGCTTTAGAGATGAGGAAGCAAGAGAAAGTTTGAAGGGCTGGAAGGACTTCCAGAGCTGCCCCAGACCAAAGGCACAGGGATGAGAAACATGGCAGTGAGGACTCCTTGCAACAAGAACACGAACATTCAGCAGGGAAGGAGGGAAGCAGCAGAAGGGGAAGGCCCAGGGGGATCAGAGTCATATTTGCCTTGCCAAGCCTTAGATCTTACAGGTGCTGGGAGCCACTGAAGAATTTGCGGGGAGCTTGATAGTTCACTGGTTCAGTGTAGAGGAAGGGTTGAGGGGCATGGCCTGGAAGAAGGAAGGCAAGTTGGCAGGATGTTAAGATCCAGGAAGTATTTAAGAGATACCAGGCTAGCCTCTGAGAGTGGCTGGGTGGTGGGTGAGGGAAAGAGGCCAAATTCTGGAACGGCCCCCTGCAAGAGTAACCAAGTGGCGCACACAGGGAGAGGAGAGCTCCCACTCGGCACTAGCGTGGCTGTAGGCTCTGGGTACCAAGTGTGGGCAGGGGTTGGGGACAGCCAGGAATGTGAATGGGGCTCTGCACCACCTGATTTCAGGGCTCCCAAACACTGGCCCGTGGACAGGGCTGGCCCGAGGAAGTGAAAAAAGTATGGGCATAACTTCTCATAAATCAAATGTATGCACTTTAAAGAACTATCCTTGGGCCGGGCATGGTGGCTCATGCCTGGAATCCCAGCACTTTGGGGGGCCGAGGTGGGCAGATCATGAGGTCAAGAGTTTGAGACCAGCCTGGCCAATATGGTGAAACCCTGTCTCTACTAAAAATACAAAAATTAGCCGGGCATGGTGGTGTGCACCTGTAGTCCCAGCTACTCGGGAGGCTGAGGCAGAAGAATCGCTAGAACCCAGGAGGCGGAGGTTGCAGTCAGCTGAGATTATGCCACTGTACTCCAGCATGGGCGAGAGAGCGCAAGATTCCGTCTTAAAAACAAAAACAAAAACTATCCTTAAAAGTGCTTACAATTAAATCAATAAGTAAGCATGTCACTTAGAGGTATGAAGTGAATTATCAAAAGAAGCCCCTTAAAGATTCAAAAGTGGTTTTGTCCTGGGAGTGGGAATGGGGATAGGAGGGACAGGGGACTTTTATTTTTTTAAATAAGCTTTTAAAAACTGTAGTATTTTTTAAAACAGTGAACATAAAGCATATACAAAAATTTAAGGGCTGGGCACACTGGCTCAACGCCTATAATCCCAACACTTTGGAAAGTGGAGGCAGGAGGATCGCTTGAGCCCAGCAGTTGAGCCCAGCCTGGACAACATGGTGAAAGCCCGGCTCTACAAAAAATACAAAAATTAGTCTGGCATGGTGGTGCACACCTCTAGTTCCAGCTACTGGGGGGCTGGGGGTGGGTGGCAAGGGGGAGGACTGAGGCCAGAGGATCCTTGAGCCAGGGAGGTCGAGGCTGCAGTAAGCTGAGATCACGCCACTGCACTGGGTGACAGAGTGAGATCCTGTCTCAAAAATAAATAAATAAACAAACAAATAAAAATCCTGGCCTAGCTGGGCGTGGTGGCTCATGCCTGTAATCCCAGCACTTTGGGAGGCTGAGGCCGGTGGATCAATTGAGGCCAGGGCTTTGAGACCAGCCTGGCCAACATGGTGAAACCCCGTCTCTACTAAAAATACAAAAATTAGCCAGGCATGGTGGCACATGCCTGTAATCCCAGCTATTTGGGAGGCTAAGGCACGAGAATCGCTTGAACCCTAGATGTGGAGGTTGCAGTGAGCTGGGATCGCGCCACTGCACTCCAGCCTAGATGACAAAGTGAGACTCCGTCTTAAAAAAAAAAAAAAAAAAAAAAAAAAAAAAAAGTCGGCCGGGCGCGGTGGCTCACGCCTGTAATCCCAGCACTTTGGGAGGCCGAGGTGGGTAGATCATGAGGTCGGGAGATCGAGACCATCCTGGCTAACACGGCGAAACCCCGTCTCTACTAAAAATACAAAAAATTAGCCGGGCATGGTGGCGGGCGCTTGTAGTCCCAGCTACTCGGGAGGCTGAGGCAGGAGAATGGCGTGAACCTGGGAGGCGGAGCTTGCAGTGAGCCAAGATTGCGCCACTGCACTCCAGCTTGGGCGACAGAGCGAGACTCCGTCTCAAAAAAAAAAAGCCTTTTATGAAATGATGGTAATAGAGGATAGGCTTCCCCCAACCCCTCTTCCCTTTCATGTCCTTATTGGCTAAAACAAAACGTCGTTGAGTCCTGAAATCCCAAACTGGGGGCCTTGAACCCCAGGCAAAGGCCATATAGGCTGGCTCCGCGCGTTTGCAACCCAACCCCGCGGGCAGCCGGCAGGGGTCAGGCGAGCTCCATGCGACACTCGAGCTGCGTCTGGCAAGCCAGTGCTGCGCTCGAAGAAGCGCGCTGCCTCGAGGGAGAGGGTCAGAGGAAGGACTCTGGACCTGCCCTAGGCTGGGGGTCGCGACAGATGGCCACCTGGGTCTTAGGTCCCAGCTCCCACCCGGCAGGCAGGGACTGGGAACCTCTCTCCAGACCGCGCGGTGTGTTGACACCAGGTCTAGTCCCATTCCACCGAGGGCAACTCACCTTACCGGTCTTCTGAAAGGGGGCCCTGCGCGAAACCTTGCCTCCTGCACTCGGTTGTGCAAAGATCAAGGATCTCAGACTTGAGAGGGTTACATGGGCAAGGGATTGTTATCACTAGATTATATGGATTTAGAATTAGGACTTAGGCTCCTGGGGAAGCCTGCTTTAGGACTCAGATGGTGGTTGTAGAAGATTGCCTTGCAGACTCACCCTTGGGGATGTGATTAGGTCTGGGGCAGGATCCAGGAACCTGCATTTATTCTAGGTTGCCAAATTTTGATAAGGGGTGTGCTCAGACCACGCTTAAAAAACATCCCAAGGTTCTGTTGCCCTCCCACAGGGCAGGCAGCATCAACAGCAGCGAGCTGCCCTGATAGTGTGACCTGCCTAAAATTGGAGTGGAGTAAGAGCCAGCCGCAGGAAGGAGCAGTGCTGGCAGCTGGTGCTGCAGATTTGCCCAATGCATGTAGGCAACCAAACACGCCCACAAGAACCAAAGTAGACGTGCCCCTTGTTCTTCCATTTACCACTCAGGCTGCATGGTTCATTTTGTTTTTTTTGCTTTTAATTTTAAAACATTTATTTTGCTTCACATATAGAACCAGGAAAGAAATCACCTCCCCAAGTCGACAGGGCTTAGACAGACTGGATGAAGCGCCCCATTTTGCCACATTGTCTCCAGGCTGGTCTCTCCAGCCACACATTAAGCCAGCAAGATGGCCCTTTTAGTCACATTCATCTCCAACATAGCAGGGAGCAAGACAAGGAAGTGAAAGGGACTGCCTATGAGCCCAGGATCTTGCCCTCAGGATGGGACGGAACTGGGGTTGGTGAGGAGCCAACCCCACCTGTCTCAAGCCTCAGGCTAGGAACAGCACTTGGCTGCAGGCCAGGACCAAGAGCCAGGATAGGTGCTGCTGGGCTGAGAACCAAGAAAACCAGTTCCCTCTTTTTGGAACTCGGAAGGGGTGGAACAACCCAGACCCATTCCCTTCTCAGATCACACTCTATCCAGACTGCTGTACAGTGCGGCCCAAAGCTGGAATTCTCAGAACACCCCCATTTTTGCCATGAGCAGATCTGGATTCTAGTTCGTTTTGACCTTGAGAAAGTCAAATTGTGTTGATCTTTTTAAAAACAAAGGGGCGGTTTTCAGAAATCTATAAGCTTCCTTCTGGCTGTAAGAACTTAGCACTCTGGGCTCCCTGCTTCCTTTAAAACTCACTGGGAGATCTGGGAAAGGGAGGCTGAGACCTCTCTCCTAAGGGCTGATTTTACCTTCCTGTCCCTCATGAAAGAACGGGCTGGAGGACAGGAATAGGACCTGGGCCAGCCACTCTCCAAGGACACAAGCTGGATCCAGACAGGAAGCAGCGGCAAGTAGATTGCTTCTCCCCAGATAGGTTTGTTTCACAATATATTTAATACAAAATGGCAGCAGCCACTGTGCAGTTATAACAAAATTAGCCATAGGGTATCTGGAGAAATGTACACAGGCAGCCTCAGCTGGAGTCATGCGAGCCAACTCCGGCCTGCTCGGGTAGGGCCTGTGCCTGCTGCCCAGTCAGCTGTGGGTGGTCACACGGCCAGGACTGGATGGTGCCCGTGGCAGGGCGGTGCACAAGGGCTCAGAGGTGCTGTACAGGAGGAGCCAGTCTTCCAACAGTACACAAAAGCACGCTGTCCTCTGCTCTGCCCCCCCTGCGGACTCAGCAGCATGTGTGTTCATTTATTTTATTATTATTTTTTGAGACAGAGTCTCACTCTGTTGCCCAGGCTGGAGTGCAATGGCGCGATCTCAGCTCCTGCAACCTCTGCCTCCTGCGTTCAAGCGATTCTCCTGCCTCAGTCTTCTGTGTAACTGGGATTACAGGCGCGTGCCACCAGGCCTGGCTAATTTTTGTATTTTTAGTAGAGACGAGGTTTCACCATGTTGGTCGTCAGGCTGGTCTCGAACTCCTGACCTTGTGATCTGCCCGCCTCGGCCTCCCAAAGTGCTGGGATTACAGACGTTGAGCCACCATGCCTGGCCTATTATTTTTTGAGACAGAGTCTCGCTCTGTCGTCCAAGCTGGAGTGCAGTGGTGTGATCTTGGCTCACTGCAAACTCTGCCTCCCGGGTTCAAGCAATTCTCTGCCTCAGCCTCCTGAGTAGCTGGGATTACAGGAGCCTGCCACCACACCTGGCTAATTTTTGTATTTTTAGTAGAGACGAGGTTTTACCATCTTGGCCAGGCTGGTCTTGAACTCCTGACCTCGTGATCCACCTGCCTCGGCCTCCCAAAGTGTTGGGATTACAGGCATGAGTCACTGTGCCCAGCCTATTTTTCTTTCCTTTTTTGAGACAGAGTCTCACTCTATGGCCCAGGCTGGACTGCAGCGGTGTCATATTGGCTCATTGCAACCTCCACCTCCCGGGTTCAAGTGATTCTCCTGCCTCAGCCTCCTGAGTAGCTGGGATTACAGACGTGCACCACCACCCCTGGCTAATTTTTGTATTTTTAGTAGAGATGGGGTTTCACCACGTTGGACAGGCTGGTCTTGAACTCCTGACTGCAAGTGATCCACCTGCCTTGGCCTCCCAAAGTGCTGGGATTACAGGCACACACCACCTTGCCTGGCCAAGCAAGCATATGTGTTCATAAGCTGCTAGGAGCTGATACCTCTAGAAACTGGAAGAAACAAGGGCCAGGGTTTTTTTGTTTTGTTTTGTTTTTTGAAGAGTTTTGCTCTTGTCGCCCAGGCTGGAGTGCAATGGCACAAGCTCGGCTCACTGCAACGTCCGCCTCCTGGGTTCAAGTAATTCTCCTGCCTCAGCCTCCTGAAGTAGCTGGGATTACAGGTGCCCACCACCATGCCCAACTAATTTTTTTCTATTTTTAGTTGAGGCGAGGTTTCCACATGTTGGCCAGGCTGGTCTTGAACTCCTGACCTCAGGTGATCCACCCATCTCAGCCTCCTGAAGTGCTGGGATTACAAGCATGAGCCACCACGCCTGGCTAGGCTAGGTTTATTATTTTTTTCCCCCAGAAAAGAGACTGAAAGTTGAATTTGCCTTATCCAAAATGCTTGGAACCACAAGTGTTTCAGATTTCAGGATTAGGGATACTTAACCTGTACCAAGTTCCAATTCATGGAGAGGGGCCATGATTCTGCTGTGCTTGAGCAGAGAGATCTCCTTGCCAGAGCCTCACCCAAGAGAAAGAGGTGGGTACCTGCATGCCCCCAGGTGCCTACCCTGGGAGGTGGGCACCTGCATGCCCCCAGGTGCCTACCCTGGGAGGTGGGCTCAGAAGTTAGAGAGCAAGGGCACAGAGTCACCAAAACCTGTCCCAACAATCCCCAGACAATATGCTTCCTGCTGAGTCCATTTTAAATCACACAACACTAGCCGTGGCACAGGCCCGGCTGCGAGGCCCATGATGCTTGGGAGCTGTTGTGGAGAACTCAACCTCATCCAGAGGCCAGAGGGCTGACAAGAGCAGCTGGGCAGGAGGGCCTGCTGTGGGCAGGGTGGGAAAGCCGCCACATCTCTACTTCCCAAGAAAGGCCACTAGGTGCAGGAAAAGGGGGCGAAGGGTCTCAGGACTAGTGAAAGTCTGCATTGAAGGCTCTGCCGATGACCAGCCGCCTCACCTCGCTGGTCCCAGCCCCTATCTCATACAGCTTGGCATCTCGAAGAAAGCGGCCCATGGGAAAGTCATTGATGTAGCCATTGCCACCTGCAACCAGGGTTTGGGCAGAGAAGAAAGGAAGTGATTGACAAAACAAAGAAAGCAAACAGAATGCCAAGTATATAGAAACAGGCCACAGGAGGAGAGGGTGATTAAAGAAAAGCAGCAAAAGGTAGCAAGAGGGAGGGGTGTGGGGAATACACTAGTCCTTCCTTATCCTTGGAGGATACATTCCAAGACCCCAGTGGATGCCTGAAACCGTAGATAGTACCGAACCCCATATATATGTTGTTTTTTTCCCTATACATACATACTTATGAGAAAGTTTAATTTATGAGCTAGGCATAGTAACAGATCAACAATAATAACAAATACTAAAATAGAACTATTATGACATGCCAGCATCACTACTCTTGCAATCTGGGGCCACTGAGCAAAATAAGAGTTACTTGAACACAGGCACTCTGATATCAGGACAGCTGATTGGATACCCTAGGTGACTACTAACGGGCAGGTAGCCCACATAGCATAGATAGGCTGCACAAAGGGACGATTCACGTACCAAACATGACAGAGCAGCATGGCACAACACTTCAAGCTATTCAGGATGGTGTGGATTTGAAACTTATGAACTATTTCTAGAAATTTCCATTTAGCTTTTTTTTTTTTTTTTTTGGAGTCATGCTCTGTGGCCTAGGCTGGAGTGCAGTGGCATGATATTGGCTCTCTGCAACCTCCGCATCCAAGGTTCAAGTGATTCTCCTGCCTCAGCCTCCTGAGTAGCTGGGATTACAGGCGCGCACCACTGCACCCAGCTAATTTTTGTATTTTTAGTAGAGATGGGGTTTCACCACGTTGGTCAGGCTGGTCTCGAACTCCTGACCTCAGGTGATCCACCTGCCTCGGCCTCCCAAAGTGCTGGGATTACAGGTGTGAGCCACCGTGCCCGGCCTTTTTTTTTTTTTTTTTTTCCGAGACGGAGTTTCACTCTTGTCACTCAGGCTGGAGTGCAATGGCGCGATCTCCGGTCACTGCAACCTCCGCCTCCTGGGTTCAAGAGATTCTCCAGCCTCAGCCTTCCAAATAGCTGGGATTACAGGCTCCTGCCACCACACTTGGCTAATTTTTTTTTGTATTTTTAGTAGAAACAGGGTTTCACCATGTTGGCCAGGCTGGTCTCAAACTCCTGATCTCAGGTGATTCACTGGCCTCAGTCTCCTAAAGTGTTGGAATTACAGGTGTGAGCCACTGTGCCCAGCCACATCTCCCTTTCCCATTTCCTAGCATCTATGAGGCGGGGAGGATGAGAGGGGGGTGTTGCCGAAGGCAGCAGCAACTCCTGGCATCTAGCAGTTTTCTCATTTGCTTTCCATTTCCTCCTTGTAACTGGGACAGAAAGAGCCCGAAGGTCCCAGCTCAGCTGGGCCTAGCATAAGCACATAGTGAGGAGTGGAGAAGTGGAGAGGAAATTGCTTTTTTTTGAGACAGCCTCTCGCTCTGTCACCTAGGCTGGAGTGCAATGGTGCAATCTTTGTTCACTGCAACCTCTGCCTCCCGGGTTCAAGCGATTCTCCTGCCTCAGCCTCCCAAGTAGCTGGGATTACAGGCATGCACCATCATGCCCGGCATGCGGTTTCACCATGTTGGCCAGGCTGGTCTTGAACTCCTGACCTCAGGTGATCTGCCTACCTCGGCCTCCCAAAGTGCTGGGATTATAGGTGTGAGCCACCACGCCCGCCCTGAAACTGCTTTCTGAAGCAGCCACAGGCCCCAGGAGTGAGGGAGCCCCGGGACTGGGAAGTGGGGATCACTCACCAAAACACTGAATGCCGTCCAGGGCTACCTGTGTGGCACACTCAGCTGAGTAAAGAATCACACCTGCACAGTCCTACGGGAGGAAGCTGGGGTCAGCAGGGCCCTGCGAGGCACGCAGACAGCAAGTCTCAGCAGCTGGTCCACTGCCCCCGCCTCTCCCCGACTGAGGCTGGCCCTCACCTTAGCAGTGCAATGGCCCTCATCGCAGGCCTTGGCGACATTGTAGACATACTGCCGACACGCCATGAGGCGGGTGTACATGTCAGCCATCTTCCCCTGCATCAACTGGGCACAAAGGGATGTCACAGGTCAACATGCTGGAACACTCTCTCAGTTACCAAAAGCAGGTCAGCAATGGCAACAAGACAGCCAAGGATGAGGAAGCAGGGGCATGGAGAGGAGATGGGATTTACTCAGGATGATGGAGATGGGGGCAGGTGTGGGAGTTAGGGCCACAGAGTGGCTGTTCCACAGCCCGCATGACACCCCGAAGTGGCCATCACTGCCTCCGAAAGGCATGGCTCCCAAGGCACCATTTACTCCAATGCTTATTACCTTCCAGCAGCTTCTTCGGACCAGAAGGTCTAACTACAAATAGCAACCTCTTTCCCTTCTGCCCCCACAACTTGCACGCTTTGCTCTCCAACCTTACAATGTCTAGTTCATCCACCTCACACAGGAATCGAGGTGGCAATGTGGTGAACTTCCTGATGACTTCCAGAGTCAGGCTGCATGCTGAGGAAGACTGCATTCCAAGCAGTCAAGCTCAATTTGCTAGAGGAGACAGTAACCATCCACGGTGCCCACCTCACTTCCTCTCTTTTCAAAGAAAACTTTAGCCCAGTTGAAGAGTACATGTCAGCAAAAGCACTCGGCTCACCTGGAAGTGGCCGATCTTCTGGCCAAAGGCTTCCCTCACGTGCAGGTAGGGAATGGTGTGGTCCAGGACCGCTTGCATGAGCCTGTCAGAAAGGAGAAAGGCCCCGTGGGCACCTCCTCATCCCACCACCGGGTGTGGTGGCAAAATGCTAGCGTGGGAAGGCCAGAATCCCAGGGAGGAGAAAAGCAACTTCAGAAAGTCTTGCCACAGTTACGGCACTGACTGGCCAGAGGTGCAGGGGCGTGACAGCCCAGGTGTCGTTTCACAGCCGAGTAAGCCACCCTGCTCCTCAGGCCTTTTGTCTGTTACTTAATGATATTTCCCCACTGTGGGAAGAAATTCAACATGGGAAGAGGAGGTTCCTTTCATCTCCCAGGAGAGAGCAGGGCCAAGAGGCAGCTCCCTTTGGCCCCGCAAGGGGAAGGCTGCTGCTGCTCATGGTGGGTCACCTGCCGAGGAGGCCGACAGAGCCCAGCTTCCCTCAAGCCTCTCACACTTACCCAAGAGGCCCCCCGGCCAGCACCAGCCGCTCCAGGTCCAGCCCACTCATCAGCACGTAGACACCCTTATTCTCATGGCCCAGGATGTTGGCAGCTGCCAGGATAAGTGCTGGTCAGAGGGAGAGAGCTGTCCACAGCCTCCTCACTTTTATCAAAGGTACTAGATTTGGAAACATGGCTCTCAAGTAAGGCACTAAAATATGTCACTTGACCTTTATTCAACTAAGGTTCCAGGTGAAAGAAAAGGATCAAGTGAACCCCTTCCAGTCAGAAGTGGAGCTGCCAGGACTCCCACCCCATCCACGAGGCCAACCACAAAGGCTAGAGTTGTTAGATCTTTCCCTTCCCTCTCTGGACTCCCTTGGATGGGAAAGAAGAAAAGTTAATTGGTCTAGAAGTCACCCAATCCCTCCCTGACTCTTTCTACACAGGCACCTATAAAGAAACCAGAGAATTACTCTTTCCCCCAGGTGGAGTCAGCTCTGGTCCAATGTCACCTCCCTGCAGAGTAGTCCGTGAAAGCTTCTTTGTCCAGGAGACAGGCCATTCAGAGCTAGTGACAGAAGCTGCTGAGCACCTCTCCACCCAGTAAAGCCAGGAGACTGGATGGCCTTGGGAGGTGTGGGCAGGAAAACAGGTTGACACTACTGACCTGCCTTTAATGCTAGCTGAATTTTTTCCTGTCAACAAAGAAGGAGCTGCACAGCTCCCCCTCCCTGGATGCTCCCTGTAATTAAAGTACACTTTTTTGGGCTGTCAGTGATAGGCGTGGTATATGGCTGAGGCAGACAGCAAACCTAACTGTTGATCAAATCCATGCCCCTGGCCAGGCAAGGTGGCTCAGGCCTATAATCCTGGCACTTTGGGAGGCTGAGACAGGTGGATCACCTGAGGTCAGGAGTTCGAGAGCAGCCTGGCCAACATGGTGAAACCCCATCTGTCTCTACTAAAAATACAAAATTAGCTGGGCGGTGTGTGCCTGTCATCCCAGCTACTCAGAAGGCTGAGACAGGAGAATCACTTGAACCCAGGGGGCGGAGGTTGCAGTAAGCCAAGATCGCGCCATTGCACTCCAGCCCTGGGCAACAAGAGCGACACTCCATCTCAAAAAAACAAACAAAAAATTTAGCTGGGCAGGGTGGCGCATGCCTGTAATCCCAGCTACTCGGGAGGCTGAGGCAGGAGAATCACTGGAACCCAGGAGGTGGAGGCTGCCGTGAGCTGAGATCACGCCACTGCACTCTAGCCTGGGTGACAGAGCCAAGACTCCTTCTCAAAACAAACAAACAAACAAACAAACAAAAAAAACAAAAAAAAACCCCAAACAACAAATCCATGCCCCTGGTCTGGTTAGTACATGATGGCTGTGCTGGCTCTCCCACAGTGCTCCACCATGTCAGATTTCAGTTACACCTCAGGGGAGAAAATACTCATACTCAAGCAGAACTGCCTTCTCTCTACTGAGTCGGGATTCCATCAGTGGATTCAGATGTTTTGTTTTTTTTTCTTAGCATCATTAATGCTAAAAATGAATAACTCATTTTTAAAATATTTTACAAAAACGTGAGTTAATGAGTTACTCACATGCAGTGGATGGGCGAAAGTACAGGAAGACTGAAGGACATCAATGGGAAAGGGTAGGTCTGACCCTTCTCCTCCGGCTACTGAGTACAGACCCTATGCGGAGTGTGTGATGCCAGTTAGGCATGCCGCTGCAGGGCCCTGGCCAGGAAGGAGCGCTGTCCAGCAGCCCCAGCTCACAGCCTAGCCACATGTCACTGAAGCGCTAACAATGCCAAGCCTCTCTAACCCAGAGGCTTTCTCAACTTGAGAACAGCCAGATCAGCCTGGAAGGGGGTCAGGAGAGGGGCTCCCCGATTCCCGGTGCTACTTACCAGGAATCTTGCAGTCTTCAAAGATTAGCTCACAGGTGTTAGAGCCCCTCATCCCCAGCTTGTCCAGCTTCTTAGAGGTGCTAAAGCCAGGCATACCCTTTACAGGAAACAAAAGGTGGTCCTGGTTACAGATTAGCCCCAAGGGGGCCTGGTAAAGGAAAGGCCTCTGGGAAGAAGGCACTCACCTTCCTATTGAGTCCCTGTACCTGCACAGCATGGCAGCATCCTAGTCCCATGCTCCCCCCGGGACCTTCCGGTGCTAACGCCCCAGATTGATCCCAGCCTCCTCTGCCACTAGCTTGTGTTCTCCCCAGTTCTCATGGGGACACTTCTTTCTCAATGATATGCTCAGTTCCCTGAGCCCTCCCGACCCCCCTGGCCTTATTTCCCTCCCCCAGGGGACATTACTTCCAAGACACTGTCACCAGCCCGGTCAATTCCCTTATCCTCTGTTGTTCTCCTGTCTGTACCCAAAGGGATCCCACTAGGGCTGAACTGAGCCCTCTGTACTTTGACCTGGACTACTGGGTTGCAGCATGTTTTGGCAAGTGACCAGCAAAGTGCTGGCACATGCTGCCTTCAGCCTGTAATGAGGGTGGCATCACGCAACCTTGAGATTTCCAATCTCAGCCAGGTCCCTACTGCTCCAACCCTAGACAGCTACTTTCCCCCTCTCTATGGAGGGTACCGCAAACCTTTACAATACTCGCTCATGAAACTCTTGCCAACTCCCCCACTCGTGGCCCCAGCCTTCACAGGGCCCCTGGCTTCCTCCTCATGATCGTTAGGCAAGTGGTTCCTGCACCATCACCTGTAACCCATCCTTCTCTCTTCTGCCCCAGCTCACCATTGTGTTCTGCCCACTCATTCCCACACTTTTCAATTTCTCCCTCTATTTTCTTTTTTCTTCCCTTTTTTTTCCTTCTGACCAAAAAATCTGCTCAGTTCTCTCATTTCTAAAAACAAACCCAAACTCCTAACTTTTCATTGGAACTCCTGCTCTGCTTCCTTCTTGCTTCTGTTGTCAAGGCTGTTGCAGGGGCAGTCTCCACTTGCATCCCACCCACACCTCAGTCTCCCATGGCCACATTCATCAGATCCACCAATGGTACCCTGACCGTCATGTCCTGACCTCCTTTTAGTCCTCCCCTTTCTAGACCTCTTTGTGTGGCCTGGCGCTGAGGACGGCTCCACCGTCTTCAGAAGTGACCCATCTGCCCTGGACTTCCTGGACTTTTGGTCACCCTCCTTGCAGTCTGCTCTCTGCCTCACCCCCACCTCTGGGGGCCTTGCAGAGCACACAACACTGATTCCATTTGAGATCAGTGAACGGGCTATCTCTGGTACCACTGTCAGGAGGCAGAAGCCTCCTGGCCCTGCACCCACCTATACTCACCTTCTCCACAATGAAGGCTGTGATGCCCCGAGAAGCTGGCACAGCAGCCAGATCTGTCTTGGCATAGACAATCAGGACGTCAGCATCAGGGCCATTAGTGATCCAGAACTTGTTGCCATTCAGGATGTAGTGATTTCCTAAGGGCAGGATGTTGGCTATTTGCTCAAGCCATCTTGGCCTGTCTCAGCCAGGCCATAGACCTTCTGCTGAGCAAGAAGCTGTCCACCTTTGAGAAAGTTCTGGAAACCCAGCAGGGGCCACCCACAATTGTTGCTCCATTATCCTGATAATGTCTGTACCTCTGCCCATTTTGGCTCCCAAGTTGAGAGTGGCCTCACCTTTCTTTTCCGCTTTGAGCTTCATAGAGACAACATCAGAGCCTGCATTGGGCTCACTCATGGCCAGGGCTCCGATGTACTCACCACTGATCAGCTGCAAGGAAAACCCCCAACAGGCCTTGTTACAACCTCAGAGTACCCTAGAGCAGCTCACTGGTACTGCCTCTTCCTGTCCACATTAAACCCCTTCAAACTTCGCTCTCAGACCAGGGTGTCGGTAAAGTCCTAGAAGTCTCTTCTAAGCCCAATGGCTACAAGGCTGAAAATGCCTCTCCTTTTTCCATTCCCTTTGCAAAGGAAGCTAGTCCTACTCTTCCATTTCTTAGAGTTCTCTTCAAATGTTGTCTGTCTGTTGTTCAATGCAAGAGTTCTGGTCCTATTTTTATTATTTTTGGCTCAAGTATTTTAAAGCAATCCATGGCCCCTTCCTAACCACATTTGGTTCATGGCAGCATGCTACAGAAAGCAGGTCTGACTGGCCCCCAAGGGGAGAGGGTATCTTTTAGTTGGTGGTTGCACTGTGAGATTAGCGTGTATTACATTTCCATTTCCTCACCTTCGGGAGATACTTCTCTTTCTGGGCCTCATTCCCATTGCGTACAAGCTGGTTGATGCAGAGGTTGGAGTGGGCACCGTAACTGAGCCCCACTGCTCCGGAAGCTCGGGATATCTCCTCCATCACCAGCACATGCTCCAGGTAGCCCAGGCCGGAGCCGCCATACTGAACTGTGAGTGGTGTGGTACAAGGGAGTGGAAAACGCAGCCCAGATTAAATCGGGACATTCATTAAGAATCTTACATTTGACGGCAGAAGGGAAGCACCTTGTAGCACCTACTCCAAATTCTCTCTAGCAACAAGAATAAGCTGATGCCACAGACCTGCTTACAAGCTCAGTGGACTGGTTTTGCCTGCTGGTGCTCCTCAGCTGAGGGGTGATTCAGAAGGCAATCATTGCAACTTCTGCTTTATCCCAGACAGACTTCTTGATGAAGATACGTGAACAACCTGAGCACCCACTACTCAGAAAGTTACAGAAATGCAGAGGCAGATGAATAAATGAAGAAAGAGGGCCTGGAGAAAAACAAAGGCATTGGGGTGGAGGTGGTGTCCAAAGCACCAAGAACAGATACAAAGCCAGAGGATCTGATGTGTCTGCAAAAGGCCTGAGGAAGGTGAGATTTTATAGCATAGGGCTGAACCCAAAGAAGCAGGACTGGAGGCCAGGCATGGGGCTCACGCCTGTAATCCCAGCACTTTGGGAGGCTGAGGTGGGCAGATCACGAGGTCAGGAGATCAAGACCATCCTGGCTAACACGGTGAAACCCCGTCTCTACTAAAAATACAAAAAATTAGCCGGGCATGGTGGCGGGCGCCTGTAGTCCCAGCTACTCGGGAGGCTGAAGCAGGAGAATGGTGTGAACCTGGCAGGTGGAGCTTGCAGAGAGCCGAGATCGCGCCACTGCACTCCAGCCTGGGCGACAGAGTGAGATTCTGTCTCAAAAAAAAAAAAAAAAAAAGAAAGAAGCAGGACTGGTGACAGGACAGGAGAGCCACAGCCTCAGGGAAAATCTTGAGGTGAGCTGTACAGCAGAGGGCAGATGAGATGCTGGCAGAGAATTTCAGAACTCCTCATAAAATATACGGTTTTTCCTTGGCAGCAGATCCAAACTCCAAGTGGCTGAGACACCTGATACCACCCCCAGCCCTGCTGATTGGGTCAAGCCTAGCAAGGTCCTATACACATGTTCACTCTGACCAATAAGTCAGGCTCGTTCTAGGCTCTAAGGAAACCTTGACCTGCCCCTACAACTGCAGGAAGGAAAGCCTGAAGGCAGGTGACATTAGAAACAGCCACCATGACATCATGCAGAAACCAGAACTTGTAACCAGCTTTCTTTTTCAGGTTCCCTTGAAAGAGTTTTCATCTGATTTCTTTTCTTTTTTTTTTTCAAGAGGCGGGCTCTCACTCTCTTATCCAGGCTGGGGTGCAATGGTGTAACCATGGCTCATTGCAGCCTTGAACTCCTGGGCTCAAGCGATCCTCCTGCCTTGGCCTCCCGAGTCACTCGGATTATAGGAGCCCACTACCACACCTGGCCATTTTCATCTGATTTCTAACTGCCTCTTTCTTCCGTAAAATACAATCTGATTCAGAAGCATATTGTCTGCAGGGAGTGGGGTACATAAACCCCCAAAACACAGTAGGAGAGTCTTGCTTAGGAGTACCCAGCAGCCTTTCCCCTAATGCTTTTACATTAAGATGGTTTCAATTAATCTTCAAGTGGTTTCATTTTATGAAAGGTGATATAACTTTCTAGGATGTAAGGAGAAGTATATTGGGTTCCACTCATACTCTCATGCCCAGAGTGAATACAGGCCCAAGCAGGCTGGGCTTTTTTTTTTGAAACGGAGTTTCGCTCCGTTGCCCAGGCTGGAGTGCAGTGGCACAATCTCAGCTCACTGCAACCTCCGCCTCCCAGGTTCAAGCAATTCTCCTGCCTCAGCCTCCCGAGTAGCTGGGATTACAGGGATGTACCACCATGACCAGCTAATTTTGTATTTTTAGTAGAGACAGAGTTTCTCCATGTTGGTCAGGCTGGTCTCGAACTCACGACCGCAGGTGATCCACCTGCCTCGGCCTCCCAAAGTGCTGGGATTACAGGTGTGAGCAACCACGCCTGGCCTAGGCTCATCTCTTTACCGGGCACTGCAAGCCAGTCTGGGCCTCTTTCAGACGTTAATATCATCCAAACCAGAGCCTGCTAGCTCCCTGCCTTCTCCCTCCGGACAGCCTATTAAACACATCATCTGGCCACCTCACCTGGAAGCCCAGATAGACATCTCTCTCCCCTGCCCAGCCCCTACCCTACTCCCCCCGCTATCTGCTCCCAAATGAGCTCCAAGGTTTAAGCAGAAGAGGACACAGGCAGTCCCTGCAGGGACACACCTGCCCAGAGTGTTCCTGCCGAGAGGCCACTGGTAGGACAAAGCTTATAGGGATTAGGGGAGGCAGTAAGACTGAGGTACTATGAAGACAACCACTTGATCCAGAGTTTTCTAAACTTCCCAAATCACCTGGGTGAGCCTATTAAGTATGCAGAGTTCAAGAGTTGGACTGATCCTGATCCAAGTGAGCCACAATGACCTAATTAATCCCTCTGCCTTCTCTACATCACTGTCTAATAAAATAGAAGAGTGTCCTGTTCTCTGGGCTGACAATCAATGGGTGCTTTCACAGGTCCAAAAGATGCAGTTCTGGGTTTCTTTAAGCACAATCTTTCCCTTCCCTTCCTGCTTCTTTTGGGAACTGTCTTAAAGGGCACATAAGAAAAGTTCTTTTTAGGGAAAGACACTATACTCACCAGGGGCTGTGATGCCCAATACGCCCAGGTTCCCCAGCTGCTTCCAAAATTCCTGCCAACAGAATGGAGCAGAGTGGAATAAGTGTTGAGGGGAAGGCAGCCAGTCACATGTGGCTGGAACAATGAGACCCAAACACTTCAGAGAGAGGGGCTGCATTCTTAGAGAGGCTTCATTTACCAGAAAACTGTGTGAGCTCTTCCAGGCAGCAGTGCAGCTCAGCCCCACTCCCTGACTGCCCCCGACTGCCCGGACCTCCCAACTCACTCGCAGGTTCTTGAACTCATTGCTGCGATCGATCTCCTGGGCCTTGGGGGCCAGGTGCTCCTGAAGGAACTTAGCCATGGTCTGACGAAGCTAATAGGAGAGAGGTAAACAGATGCCACTGCAGACAGCATCTCCACTACCCAGACACATTCAAGAGAAAAGGCCACAAGTAACTTCCCCAAACAGCATCAGACTGAAACTGAGAGGCCTCAGTAGTTTATGCCTCCTCAGAGATGATCTTCACCCCTCTTTCTTAAGGTCTTCAGCCTAGACAGCTTGATGGTAATTTTTAAAACGTCACACTTTACATAAAAATCATTCCATTGGTTTCCACTGTACTTAGAATAAAACACAAGCTTCTCACCCAGGCCTACTAGGCCCTGCAGGAGCTGACCCCAGCTGACTCTCCTAGCTTCCCCAGCACCTTCCCACCTCCCACCCTCTGTGCTCCAGCTGCATTCCAGGCAGCTGCCAGATCTCAATAGTTGTCAGGCTCTTTTAAGCCCCCGAACCTTTGGCTAAAAGGGTCTGATTACCCAAAGAGATTAGAAACGCCTCTTGGCGGCTGGGCATGGTGGCTCATGCCTGTAATCCCAGCACTTTGGGAGGCCGAGGCAGGAGGATCACCTGAGGTTGGGAGTTTGAGACCAGCCTGACCAACATGGAGAAACTCCGTCTCTACTAAAAACACAAAATTAGCCGGGCGTGGTGGTGCATGCCTGTAATCCCAGCTACCTGGGAGGCTGAGGCAGGAGAATCACTTGAACCCGGGAGGCGGACGTTGTGGTGAGCGGAGATCGCGCCATTACACTCCAGCCTGGGCAACAAGAGTGAAACTCCGTCTCAAAAAAAAAAAAAAAAGAAAAAAGAAAAGAAACTCCTCTTGCCAGGAAAGCTTGAGAATAGGGATTGAACCCTTTCCACTTGAGGTGGTTCACGGAAGCTCTGAGCGCTCGCTGGCTATAAACATAAACTACGGAGTTGCTGGGAGGCTCATACCTCCGCCAACTCCATCCAGCCTCCAAGTGAAACCTCAGGAAGGACTCTGGTTCTGCTCCATTTGTAAATACTACTTCGTCTTCTTTTCTATTTTTTATGAGATGGGGGTCTGGCTATGTTGCTTAGGCTGATCTCAAACCCCTGAGCTCAAACAATCCTCCCACCTCGGCCTCCCAAAGTGCTAGGATTACAGGTGTGAGCCACGGCGCCTGGCCTCCAACTACTTCTTTCAAGTACTTGTTCAACTTTTGTGTTTTGACCCAATGGGCTGAAGAGCGACAGGAGAGCTCACTGTGGCTTTTTAAAACCCCCAAACTGTTTATACAAAAAAGACTCCCTGGTGATTACGATGACCACCCAGGTGTGAGAAGCATACCTCAGCCTGTTCAGGTGTAAGTGAACTACATACAGATTGAGGGCCCTTGTGCCACAAGCGGTAGGTAGCCTGGCCAATCCTCCACCAAAACACCATCAGTCTCTCAGGAGCTCTCCCAGCCTCGACTCCTCCTCTCTACTTCCAGCAGTACTGTCCCACGGTCTCAAATCTTCACTCCACAGACGTGAGGCCGAGGTCAGAGGACTGGACCCGAGGTCGGAGGCCCCGCGTCCCGCCCCCGCGCTGGCGCTCCCAACGGCCCACGGGCAAAAGCCAAGGCTGGGTGGGCGCTGGGCCGATGGGGACCAGGCAGGAAGGAGGCCTTGGGGACCAGGCAGGAAGGAGGCCTTGGGGCCAGGAAGGGGGTCAGTCTCCTCACCTGCCTCTGCTCCTCGCTTAGCCCATTGATTGCATCGTCCACGGGCAAAAGCGAGTGGGCCCGCTGGGAAACGAAGCCGGCAAGCGGCGGCCGCAGCCTCCAGCTCGCCACACGCCACCCCAGCAGCCGAGTCGCAGTCGCCATCTCTGCCATGCACGAAGAGCCAGCGCTGAAACTGAGCCAGCTCTTAGCTCCACCAATCCAGGCTTCGCCGCCCACCAAACCGGCTAGGGGGTGGGCTGCAGCAGCCAATCACCCTAGGCGGCCCGCCGAAGGCGTTGCTGCCCTTGGACCGCACCCGAGCCAATCAACCGTGATCGCCTGCCAGCTTCCAGCCAGTGCAACGGCCGCAGGCCGAGTGGCCCTGCCCCGAACGCTGCAAATGCTGGCGTGCTCCCTAGGATGAGTGTTTTTAGCGGGGTAGAAGAGCAAGTGTTTTTTTCTTTTTATCTCCCTGCGTTGAAATAGCAGCCCCTAACTGCGGAAATCTCTCTGTGGGAAAGCAGAGTGTGGAAACAGCAATCAGAAAACTGCCCACGTACCCAGTAAATTGGTCAAGCATCTCTGGAATAATTAAGATCGGAAAAGTAGTGCTTGCTCTAACGTGCACACTGATCATAACAGAGTACATCTTGCTTTATTATATAACAAGGTTTGTAGATTTAGATTCATGTTTTATGGGAAAGGGGTTATTAAGGAGTAGCTGCCTTCTAGATTGGAGATGCGCCTCGATTTACAGTGGGGTTACTTCTCGATAAACCCATCATAAATGGAAAATATTGTAAGTCAAAAATGCACTTTGAAAATACACTTAGGCCGGGCATGATGGCTCACACCTGTAATCCCAGCACTTTGGGAGGCCGAGGCGGGTGAGTCACCTGAGGCGGAGAGTTTTAGACCAGCCTGGCCAACATGGAGAAATCCTGTCTCTACTACAAATACAAAAATTAGCTGGGCGTGGTGGTGCATGCCTGTAATCCCAGCTACTCAGGAGGTTGAGGCAGGAGAATCGCTTGAACCCGGGAGGTGGAGGTTGCGGTGAGCTGAGATCACGCCATTGCACTCCAGCCTGGGCAACAAGAGTGACACTCCGTCTCAAAACAGAAAACAAAAAAACACCTAACCTACCAAACATCATAGCTTAGACTAGTGGACCTTAAACGTACTTGGAACACTTATAATAGCTTATAACGGCACAATCATGTAACACAAAGCATATTTTATAAGACAGTGTTAGATATCATTTATTGAATATTGTACAGTTTCTATTCAATGTCTATCACTTTCACACCATCATAAAGTTGAAAAATCTTAAGTTGAACTATTGTAAGTTGGGGACCATTTGTATTTAATATGTGTTAAATATTAAATAGTACATATTTACGTATTATACTATATATTAAATAAGATGTATTAAATAGGCTGGGCATGGTTGCTCATGCCTGTAATCCTAGGACTTTGGGAGCTTAGGTGGGAAGATCGCTCGAGGCCAGGAGTCCAAGACCATCCTGTGCAACATAGGGAGACCCTGTCTCCACAAAAAATTTGAGAAAACAAACAACAACAAAAGATGTATTAAATAGTAAATAGTATGTATTTAATACACCAGAATAATAGCAGTCAGGACTTAGAAACACGGGTTCGGGACACAGGGAAAGGAAGAGTGGTGAGGGGAAAGAGGGGAGCTGATGGAATTAAGTCTCTATCCCCTCTCCACTTGCTCTATTTTCCTCCTCCATGTTGTGTCAATGTTATTTTTAAAATTTAATTAATTAATTAGAGATGGGGCCGGGGTGGGGGTGGGCAGTCTCACTATGTTGCCCAAGCTGATCTTGAACTCCTGGGCTCATGTGATCCTCCTGTCTTGGCCTCCCAAAGTGCTAGGATTACAGGCATGAGCCACGGAACCCAGCCAAGTCAATGCTCTTGAACAACTCATCTCAGGTTGGTACCCTGAGTCCAGGAGTCTATGCAATCCCACTACATAGCTGTGGGACTTTCGGCAAGTTTCTTAGATCTTTTCAGTCACTGTTTCATCATCTTTAAAACGAAAATGATACCAACCAACTTTAAGGCTACTATGAGGAATAAAAGAGATTGCATACTTAATGATTCAGCACAGTACTTGGCACATTGCTCTCATTTTTAGATCATTCATACCACATCCAACTTCCCTGCACCCATTCCTCAGCTTCTAACTCACCCCCTCACCATAATTTGAAGTACTACTGAGAAGTTAACACCCGATCATAGCACTGCTTTTTTGTTGTTGTTGTTGTTTAAGACGGAGTCTCACTCTGTCGCCCAGGCTGGAGTGCAGTGGCGCCATCTCGGCTCACTGCCAGCTCCGCCTCCCGGGTTCACACCATTCTCCTGCATCAGTCTCCCGAGTAGTTGGGACTACAGGCGCCTGCCACCACGCCTGGCTAATTTTTTGTACTTTTAGTAGAGACGGGGTTTCACCGTGTTAGCCAGGATGATCTTGATCTCCTGACCTCGTGATCCGCCCACTTTGGCCTCCCAAAGTGCTGGGATTACAGGCGTGAGCCACCGCGCCCGGCCGCTTTTTTTTTTTTTTAAATCAGGTTGAAATTAAATTTTTTTTTTTTTTTTTTTGAGACAGGATCTCTGTCACCTAGGCTGGAGCACAGTGGCACAATCATGGCTTACTGCCATGACTGGACTCAAGCAATCCTCTGGCCTCAGCCTGCCAAGTAGATGGGACTACAGGCACATGCCACCGGCCTAATATATACATCTATACACATATACATACATATATATATATATGTATGTATATTGTAGAGATGAGGGTCTCACTATGTTACCCAGGCTGGTCTCAAATTCCTGGCCTCAAGCAATCCTCCTGCCTTGGCCTCCCAAACTGCTTGGATTACAGGCATGAGCCACTGTACCAGCCCACCTTTATTAGTTTCTTAAATATTCCACAGTTTTATGTAAATACAAGCAATTATGAATATATATTCTTCTTACACTTAACAATGTATCTTGGAGATCTTGGCATATCACTATGTTAAGAGCGTCCTCTTTTTTCTTTTTTTAAAGACTATTCCATTGTATAGATACAACTTAGTTTTTCTTCTTATGAATGAGGTGGAGGATTTTTTCATACCGAAAGCCCTTATTTTTCTGTGGACTGTCAGATCATGTCCTTTGCCTATTTATGTGTTGCACTGTTGGCACTTTTCTTAACTCAAACCTACAATAAATGTGTAGGTTCACTGGAAAAGAATCAGGTCTGAGAGGAAAGACTTTGAGCTTGTTTTGGGCACAATTATGTTTGAAGCGCTTTTGAGTCATCTTAAGAGGTAATGTGGGCCAGGCATGGTGGCTCACGCCTGTAATTCCAACATTCTGGGAGGCTGAGGCAGTAGGATCACTTGAGGTGAGGAGTTCGAGACCAGCCTGAGCAACACAATAAGACCAGTCTCTACAAAAAATTTTAAAAATTAGCCAGCGGTGGTGGGTTGTGCTTGTAGTCTCAGCTTCTTGAGAGACTGAGACAGGAGGATGGTTTGAACCCAGGAGTTTGAGGTCACAGTGTGTAATGATCAGGCCACTGTACTCCAGTCTAGGCAACGGAACAAAACCCTGTCTCTAAAAAAATTAAAAACAAAAAATAAAAAGATTAACAAAATTAAGCTGGGTGCTGTGGTACATACCTGTAATCCCAGCTACTCAGGTGGCCGATGCAGGAGGATTGCTTGAGCCCAGGGGTTGGAGTCTAGTCTGGGCAACATAGAAAGACCCTATCTCCTAAAATAAAAAGAAGATTTTAAAAATTGATAAACCGCTAGCAAGACTTATCAAGAAAAAAAGAGAAATTGCAAATGTCTGATATCAAGAATTAAAAAGGGGACAGCTCTCAAATCCTACAGATATGAAAAAGATAAGGATATTTTGAGCAATTTATGCTAATACATTTGATAATGTAGATGAAATAGACAAATCAAACTGACACAAACTGACATAACAGAAAATCTGAATAGTCCTATATCTACTAAATAAATTGAAATCCACAATGAAAAACTTTCCATGAAGAAAACTCCAAGCGTAAATGACTTCACTAATGAATTCTTCCAAATACTTAAGTAAGAAATATGGGTATAGGCCGGGCGCGGTGGCTCACGCCTGTAATCCCAGCACTTTGGGAGGCCGAGGCGGGCGGATTACGAGGTCAGGAGTTCAAGACCAGCCTGGCCAACATAGTGAAACCCCATCTCTACTAAAAATACAAAAAATTAGCCGGGCATGGTGGCGGGAGACTATAGTCCCAGCTACACGGGAGGCTGAGGCAGTAGAATCGCTTGAACCCGGGAGGCAGAGGTTGCAGTGAGTGGAGATCACGCCACATCACTCCAGCCTGGGCGACAGAGCAAGACTCCGTCTCAAACCAAAAAAAAAAAAAAAGAAAAAGAAAAAAAAATATGGGTATAAACCTAAGAGAGAATAAACAAGAAATAATACCCGGTGGCTCAGCCTGTAATCCCATCACTTTGGGAGGCCGAGGTGGGCGGATCACAAGGTCAGGAGATCAAGACCATCCTGTGAATGGTGAAACCCCGTCTCTACTAAAAATACAAAAAAAAAAAAAAAAAAAAAAAGTAGCCGGGCGTGGTGGCGGGCGCCTGTGGTCCCAGCTACTGGGAGGCTGAGGCGGGAGAATGCCGTGAACCCGGGAGGCAGAGCTTGCAGTGAGCCGAGATTGCGCCACTGCACTCCAGCCTGGGCAACAGAGCGAGACTCCGTCTCGGAAAAAAAAAAAAAAAAAAAAAAAGGAAATAATACCAAACTTATTATTTCAACTCATTTTATGAGGCCAATATAATCCTGATACCAAAAATCTTACAAGAAACATTACAAAAGAAGGCCGGGCACGGTGGCTCATGCCTGTAATCCCAGCACTTTGGGAGGCCAAGCTGGGCGGATCACGAGGTCAGGAGATCGAGACCATCCTGGCTAACACGACGAAACCCCGTCTCTACTAAAAATACAAAAAATTAGTCGGGCGTGGTGGCGGGCACCTGTAGTCCCAGCTACTTGGGAAGCTGAGGCAGGAGAATGGCGTGAACCCGGGAGGCGGAGCTTGCAGTGAGCCGAGATTGCACCACTGCACTCCAGCCTGGGCGACAGAGCAAGACTCCGATTTCATATGATACAAAAGATTAGAGGTAGATAATAAACCTTAATATGAAAGGTGAACAATAAAGCTTTGAGCAACAAAGTAAGGTAAAAATCGAACAAATGAAAGTATAAAGTAAAAACATAAAATACTGCATGTTCTCTCCTATAAATGGGAGTTGAGTACATTGAGTACACACAGACACAAAGAAGGCAACAGCAGACACTGGGGCCTACTTGAGGGTGGAGGGTGGGTGGAGGGTGAGGATCAGAAAACTACCTATCGGGTTCCATGCTCGTCACCTGGGTGACAGGCAGTTTACCTATGTAACGAACCTGCACATGCACCCCTGAACATAAAAGTTGAAAAAACAAAGTAAAAACTTGTTCATACAGGCCAGGTGTGGTATATAATTACATCCATAATTCCAGCACTTTGGAAGGCCAAGGTGGGCAGATCACCTAAGGTCAGGAGTTTGAGACCAGCCTGGTCAACTTGATGAGACCTCATTTTTGCAAACATACAAAAATTAGCCAGGCAAGGTAGTGTGCACCTGTAGTCCCAGCTACTCAGGAGGCTGAGGCAGGAGAATCGTTTGAAACTGGGAGGCGAAGTGGCAGTGAACCAAGATCGCAACACTGTACTCCAGCCTGGGCCACAGAGCAAGACTGTCTTAAAAAAAAAAAAAAAAAAAAAAAAAAAGAACAGAAAAAAACAAACATGTTTATATTGTTATAAATAAATGGGAGGGAGAAGGCAGAAATCCTCCTTACAGAAGAATTCCAAACAATATAGACAGGTAGATAGTTCTTACTCCCCTTGAGAGTGGCTGGAATTAGTGATGACTTCTAAAGAGAGTATGGAAGGAGTATAACAGTAACTTTACAGTGGAGAAACCCGGCTAACACTGCCTTAACCAAGTGATCAAAGTTAATATCACTAGCAACAAGTCAAGTTGATGTTATATACCTGTAATATCGTGTGCAAAGCTGGTTCCTTCTGGTGGGTTCTTGGTGTCGCTGACTTTAAAAATGAAGCTGTGGACCTTCGTGGTATTACAGCTCTTAAAGGTGGCATGGAACCAAAGAGTGAGCAGCAGCAAGATTTATTCTGAAGAGCAAAGGAACAGCTTCCACAACCTGGATGGGGAGCCGAGCTGCTAGACACCGCTGGCTGGGGTTGGGGGGTGGTGGCGGGGCTGGGGGGCAGCTTTTATTCCCTTATTTGTCCCCGCCCAGATCCTGCTGATTGGTCCATTTTACAGAGCACTGATTGGCCCATTTTACAAGGTGCTGATTGGCGCATTTTACAAACCTCTAGCTAGCTACAGAGCACTGATTGGTGCATTTTAAAATCCTCTTGTAAGACAGAAAAGTTCTCCAAGTCCCCACCCGACCCAGAAGTCCAGCTGGCTTCACCTCTCAATATGATGCGTTGAGTACACTTTACATATGTGGTATTCTTCCCTAAAACACATAACCACAGTCTAATCATCAAAAAAAAAAAAAAAAAAAAGAAAGAAAAATCAGACAAATCCAAATTGAGGGATATTCTACAAAATATCTGACCGCTACTCCTTGAAACTGTCAAGGTCATGAAAAACAGAAACAGATTGAGAAACTGTCATTGACCAGGGGAGACTAAGGAGACATAATAACTAATGACAAAATACAATATGGCATCCTGAACGAGATCCTAAAACAGAAAAACTACATTAGTAGACAGACCAATGAAATCCAAATAAAGCCCAGGGTTTAGTTAATAATGATCTACTGATGCTGGTTTCTTAGTTTTGACAAATGTGCCATGGTATTGTGAGATGTTAACATTAGGGGAAGCTGGGGAAGGGGTATATGGGAATTCTCTGGACTATCTTTGCAACTTTTCCATAAATCTAAAATTATCCCCAAATATATAAATTATTACTATCTTTTGAGACACGGTGTCACTCTGTAGCCTAGGCTGGAGTGCAGTTGAGATAGATCAGGTAGGTTGGTCACAGCCTCACTTAAAGGGGAAGAAGATACTTGCCAAACAGACAGATGGAGAGCACAGCTCAACGCTGCACAAACCGCATCAGGAACTCGTGGTCAGAACATCCTGCTGCAAGGAGGAAAAAGAGTAAAAGGGGAAAAAACCTCGAGCTTGCACAGGGACAGAAACCCTTGGTCAGTGTCTTTAGGTTGACCTATACTCATTTAACAGTAAAAACACACCCCAGGATGGAGAATTACAATGCTAATGAGACATGCAATGTATATACTGGCATGTATAGCAATAGTGTGTGCTCATCCAGAAGACCTTCCACAACATGCTTAACAGCAACACTCATTCCCACCCTTTAATGAATAATTATATAAGCTTCTCATAAAGGTAATTTCCCCAGTGTAGGATGGGGCTGTCTCATTCTCAAGTAGCCCTCTCTGGCCCAGCTATCAAGAGTGTACTTTCACTTTGCAATAAACTACTTTGCCTACTTTTACTTTGGATTTGCTCTCAAATTCTTTTGCTCACCAAAGTCAAGAACCTGAACCGGCCCACCAACAACACAGTGGAGCTTTCACAGCTCACTGCAGCCTCGTTCTCCCTGGTTCAAGCAATCCCCTCACCTAAGCCTCCAGAGTAGCTGGGACTACAGGTGTGCACCATCGCGTCTGGCTATTTAAAAAAATTTTTGGTAGAGAAGAGGTCTTGCTATGCTGCCCAGGCTGGTCTTGAACTCCTGAACTCAAGTACTCCTCCCGCCCCAGTCTTCCAAAGTGCTGGGATTACAAGCATGAGCCACTGTGTCTGGCCAAAATATATATTTCAAAAAAGACTGACTAAACCTCCAGCTCTCATACATTGTTGTGGTGGTATAAACAGGTACATTTATTTTGGAAAACTGAGTTGCTTACCCTCCGACTCAGCAGTTCTATTCTTGGGTATCTATCCAAGAGAAACCAGTGCACTTTTATTAATAGCCTAAACATAGAAACAAATGTCCACTAGCCAGAGAATACTGATACATTCAACGATACAAATTATAGAGACATGTTGAGCTAAAGAAACCAAACACAAGAGTACATTCTCGGCTGGGTGCAGTGGCTCAAACCTGTAATCCTGGCACTCTGGGAGGCCAGGAGTTCAAGATCAGCCTGGGCAACATAGTGAGAGCCCCCAGCTCTACCAAAAATTTAAAAATTAGCGAGGGGTGGTAGCATTCATCTGTAGTACTAGCTATTCAGTTGGCTGAGCCCAGAAATTCGAGGTTACAGTGAGCTATTATTGTGTATTATTGTGCCTCTGAACTCCGGCCTGGGCAACAGAGCAAGATGCTGTCTTTTTTTTTTTTTTTTTTTTTTTTTTGAGTCAGGAGTATCACCATGTTGCCCAGGCTGGTCAAGAACTTCTGGCCTAAAGCTATACTCTGGCCTTGGTCCGTCTCTTAAAAAAAAAAAAAGGGGAGCTGGGCTTGGTGGCTCAAGCCTGTAATCCCAGCACCTTGGGAGGCCGAGGCAGGCGGATCGTATGAGCTGAGGTGTTGGAGAACAGCTTGGGCAACATGGCAAGACCTCATCTCTACAAAAAATACAAAAATTAGCTGGGTGTGGTTGTGTGTGCCTGTAGTCCCAGTTACTTGGGGGGCTGAGGCAGGAGGATCACTTGAGCCCAGGAGGTCCAGGCTGCAGTGAGCCAAGATGGCACCACTGCACTCCAGCCTGGATGACAGAAACCCTCTCTCTCTCTCAAAAAAAGTATATACTATGAGTCCATTTATATGAAATTCTTGAAAGGACAATACTAATGGATGTGATTTTGTAGAGTAGTGCTCACTTCCACAGCAGCAACAGTAACTTATGAACCTGTACACTTAAGGTTAGTGCACTTTAAGCCTCAAATTAAAAAAAAAAAACAAACTGGTTAAAGTTTGCCATTTCAACTATTTTATTTATTTATTTATTTATTTATTTATTTATTTATTTAGAGATGGAGTCTTGCTCTTGTCACCCAGGCTGGAGTGCAGTGGCACGATCTTGGCTCACTGCAACCTCCGCCTCCCGGGTTCAAGCGATTCTCCTGCCTCAGCCACCCAAGTAGCTGCGACTATAGGCACCCGCCACCACAACCGGCTAATTTTTGTATTTTTAGTAGAGACAGGGTTTCACCATGTTGGCCAGGCCGCTCAAACTCCTGACCTCAGGTAATCCACCCACCTTGGCCTCCCAAAGTGCTGGGATTACAGGTGTGAGCCACCGCACCCGGCCTCAACCATTTTAAAGTGTACAATTCAGTGGCATTAGGTATATGCACAATGTTATGCAACCACCACCACTTTCCATTTCCAGAATGTCATCATCCCAAAGAGAAACTCCCCTCCCCTCCTGCTCAGTCCCTGGTAATCTATATTCTACTTTGGATGGATTTGCCTACTGTAGCTACATCACATTAGTGTTTCTGTGTACTTTGAAGCCAGATTGGCAGAGAAAGAAAAATGGTAAGGAAATAGCTTCTTGAGATATTTGGCTGTGAATATAGTATATGTGGTAGCTGGAGGGGATAAGGGTGGGGTTTTGGCTTTATGTTTTAAGATGGTTGCAATTTGAACTTAAGAGTCAAAGTTGAGAGTTCCCAAGTCAGAAGGAAGTTGAATAACTGAGGCCTGCAAAGGCATGGTAAGATCAGCGACTGTGTTTTGGGGTGGGGAGAAGGGGGCACTGGAATAGAAGTTTGGGGTGAATTTATGAAGGGAATCTTTTGCCAGGATAAGTTTTAAACTTTAATAATATCACCACCAGGATTTGAGTACCTTTGCCAGGCACTGGGTTAGGTACTGGACATAATTCTCTTTTATAACCACCCAGCAAGACAGGTATTATTGGTATGAACTTATTCATACTTTTTTCTTTTTTGAGACAGAGTCTTGTTCTGTCACCCAGGCTGGAGTGCAATGGTGCCATCTCGGCTCACCGCAACCTCCGCCTTCTGGGTTCAAGAGATTCTCCTGCCTCAGCCTCCCGAGTAGCTGGGACTACAAGTGTGTGCCACCACACCCAGCTAATTTTTGTATTTTTAGTAGAGACAGGGTTTCATCATGATGGTCAGGCTGATCTCTAACTCCTGACATCGTGATCCACCCACTTCAGCCTCCCGAAGTGTCAGGATTACAGGCATGAGCCACTGCACCCAGCCTGTTCATACCAGTTTTATTGGTATGAACTCAGTTTGAGAGAATTTGCCAAAGACCAGTTTTTAGTGGATAGGCTCAAAATATTTGAAACATAACCAACTTTGTGAATGTCTGTATGAGAAGGCAAACAATTTTGGCCCTTTAAGCTCAGGTTGGAGTGTTACTGGCTTCACTGAGTGTCTCTGGGCAGCCTTAAAGATGCTGAAGGGTGGGGGTGGGAGGGTTTGGAGAAGAAATTAGGAGGTGCAGAAAGAACAGGAGATGGCCAAAGTCAGCCTAGTTTGGTTAAGAAAAAAATTTGGCCATGCCTTTGGTAAACCGGGGGGAGGCCTGTCATGGACTTCAGGCCATGTACTAAAGGATCTATTGGACCAGGCCTAGGATTGGCTGTGCAAAGCAAACAGCAGGCAGATAATCATGCTTAAGAGTGCAGGGAGGGCTGGGCGTGGTGGCTCACGCCTGTAATCCCAGCATTTTGGGAGGCTGAGGTGGGTGGCTTACTTGAGGTCAGGGGTTAGAGGCCAGCCTGGCCAACTGGGCAAAACCCCACCCGACTCTACTAAAAATACAAAAATGGCAGGGTGTGGTGGCTCATGCCTGGCCTCAGCACTTTGGGAGGCTGAGGCGGGCGGATCACTTAAGGTCAGGAGTTGGCCAACATGGTGAAACCACGCCTCTACTAAAAATACAAAAATTAGCTGGGTGTGGTGGTGGGGGGTGGGGTGCCTGTAATCCCAGCTACTCAGGAGAATTGCTTGAACCCAGACAGCGGAGGTTGTGGTGAGCAGAGATCGCACCACTGTGCTGGGCGATAGAGTAAGCAAGACTCTGTCTCAAAAAAAAAAAAAAAAAAAAAGGCCGGGTGCAGTGGCTCACACCTGTAACCCCAGCACTTTGGGAGGTCGAGGCGGGCGGATCATGAGGTCAGTAGATCGAGACCATCCTGGCTAACATGGTGAAACCCTGTCTCTACTAAAAATACTAAAAATTAGCAAGGCGTGGTGACATGCCCCTGTAGTCCCAGCTACTTGGGAGGCTGAGGCAGGAGAACTGCTTAAACCTGGGAGGTGGAGGTTGCAGTGAGCCGAGATCACGCCACTGCACTCCAGCCTAGGCAACAGAGTGAGACTGTGTCTCAGAAAAAAAAAAAAAAAAAGAGTGCAGGGAAAACATGGGCAGCAAGTGGCCACAGACCTGGTGAAACCACTGCTACAAATGGGCAACACCCTCAGGAGACTAGCCAATGCTCTTGGGAGACAGAGGGACTAGCCACAGGACTCTTAAAGAGTAGCAGAAAAATATTCTAGATTAAGTCAGAATATCTTGGACTTGTTAACTAAATTAGTTCAATAATGATCAACTGACATATCTAGGTTAAAAGGCTATTTTCATTCCTCAATGTTACAGTCAGAATATTTACAGAAGTATTTATTTTAAAAGTAGACTTAAAAAAGAAAAGTAATTTAGATTAAAAGATCCAAGGTGTATTGTTTCATGTAGGTGTTACTGCTACCTATACTTTCACCCCATTTATTAAGCCCAAAACACTTCAAGCAACTTCAGGTTCATAAATTAATAAGGAGGTACAGAAGCCCAACCAGGATGGGAAAGAATGTGTTTCAGGTTAGAAGGGGACAGCATGGCTCCTCAATGATGTCTTGTATGGAACATTTGTGCTCCACTGTAATGAAGATTTTCTTCCTGAAAATCTGAATGTGACATTTTAGATCCTCTGGTTGTTGGTTTAGTCTCCCGATTGTAATGGTGTGCTGAAGTCAGGTGGTTGACTAGAAGGTCAATCCAAGCTCCTAGGCTCCCCTCTCTTGTAGGCCTCAATTATCCACCTGTGAGGCTCAGGAGGGCTGACCAACCTGAAGGTTGGGAAAACTTGCTTAAATGAGGAATTGCCATTTCAGCATAAACTGTCCTTAAGTCTACTGTAGAAATTGTTTTCATTCTGGAGATGGTGAGTCCCAGAAGATCATGGCCAAGATGATGTCCTAAGTAGCTTCCTCTGAGATTTTATGCCCAAGAGGGAGCCATCTGGCCACTTGCTTCTTCTTACATTTCTAATAGCTGCTCCATTTCCTTAAGGGCTGTTGTTAAATCATTTACTTGATTGTTACATAAGGTTTGCTGTTCTAGGAATCGGACTCTTTCCTCTTTCATCTCCAGCTTTACCTTTAAGGCCTGCATGGAAAGACATTCCAAAAGAAAACAACACATACACAAAACTCTTGACTAACAGGAAACACAATTCCCACATCAGAACATTATGCTCCTATTCCACTAAGGAAGACCACTGGAGTATCAACAGACTGTATCTTCTATTTTAGATTTTATTTCTATGCACTGGTTTTAGGAATTGTCCCTCTAGTAGTAGAGAGGGACTAGACTCCTGTATCTAAACTGGAACGATGAAATCCTCTACATTTGGTGCAATATCCCATGATTCATCCAAGCAATCTGAAACAGTCCAGACCAAAGAATCTGTGCTTACTACAGGTCTTCTCCTTGAGTTATCAAGTTTCCATAGAATGGATTACATATAGTTCTCAATTCCCAACTCTGAGCAACCTACTGTGTTACACATTGCCTCATGCCTTGGTGATGTGAACATTTGCAAGAAGCCTCGGTAACAGAAAAAAAAAAATTAGTGGAAAAAACTGCTAAAATCCAAATGAAGACTTGGAATATAGTTAATAGTAATGTACTGATGTTGGTCTGTTTTTTAAAAAATTTTTTTCCTGCCGGGTGCAGTGGCTCACACCTGCAATCTCAGCACTTTGGGAAGCCTAGGCGGGCAGATCACCTGAGGTCAGGAGTTCGAAACCAGCCTGGCCAACACAGTGAAACCCTGTCTCTACTAAAAATATAAAAATTAGCCGGTCATGGTCGCAAATGCCTGTAATCCCAGCTACTTGGGAGACTGAGGCAAGAAAATCGCTTGAACCCGGGAGGCGGAGGTTGCAGTGAGCCGAGATCACGCCATTGCACTCCAGCCTGGGGGACAACAGTGAGACTTTATCTCCTTGCCCTCCTGGGCCCAAGTGGTCTTCTTGCCTCAGCCTCCTGAGCAGCTGGGACTACAGGTATGTACCACCACGCCTGGCTATTTTCTAAATTTTATTTTGTAGAGATGGGGTCTTGTTATGTTTCCCAGGCTGGTCTCAAACTCCTGGCTTCAAGTAATCCTTCCACCTCAGCCTCCCAAAGTGCTGGGATTATAGGCGTGAGCCACCATGCCTGGCTGATTTCTTAGTTTTGACAAATGTACCAGGATAATGTAAGATGTTACTATTGGGGGTGGAGGAGGAAGTGCATCAAGAAGAATAGCTAATGGATGCTGGGCTCAATACCTAGGTGATGGGATGATCTGTGCAGCTAACCACCATGGCACACGTTTACCTGTGTAACAAGCCTACACACCCTGTACGTGTACCCCTGAACTTAAAAGTTGGAAAAAAAAAAACACGTTACTATCAGGGTAAATTTTCTGTATTATCTTTGTAACTTTCCTATAAATCTAAAATTATTTAGAAAGTTTATTAAAAATAAATAGAAAAACAGAAAAGACCCCACTATAAATCTACCTATCATGGTAGGAAATGGTCAGGGTGATGTCTGCCTCTCACCTGTAACTCCTCCATCTGCTTTTTGGCTGTTTCGTTAAAAAGCTTCAGCTCCTCTTGCAAAGTTTCTAACAGCAACTAAGAGGAAAGCACAATGTAGTAAACAAATCTTCATATAAAACCAGACTTGCATTAGATGATGGCTAACATCCTTTCCACACAGTTCTCAACAAAGGAGTCAGGAGAGAAATTTGATAAAGTATAGAACAGAAGAACGAGAAAGCTCTCTCTACAGGTTTACCTATTATGTGTTTTAAATTTTCAATTCAGACTCACTTATATTTGTAAGCACAAAGCTACCTTTCAAGTAAAATATGCTATTTTGAGTACACATCCCATTTCTCTTTTCTAGCATCACAGATAATCAAAGGCTGTTTCTTGGAGTTTATGGAATATATAGCAGAGACCTTCTTAGATTTACAGAGCCCCACAGTCACTCAGCCCTTGCGCCCTTTCACACCCATGCCCTCACCATAGAGTCCATGTGATCAGTAGTGGATTCTTGTCGTGATGCCAGGGTCTCACTGCCTAAAGCTGATGGATACAACAAAGTCAATCTCACTTAGGGAACTACACACCCTAAACAAAAGAAAATAAAAACCCTCCGTGGACAAGTACAGAAATATTCATGAGGGGAATTTCTCTTAAGTGTCTCATCCTGGACTTTCTCCTAAGTTTTCACCTTGGCAGGGTCACCCATATCTGCCCTGCAAAACTGTATTTTATCTCCTTTCAATCTAGGTTTTGATATGGCCAAAAATTCGGTATACTTTCTCCTTAGGTCAGTGGACAATTTGTCCAAAGGAAATGTATAGGTTGGATTTTTTTTGGTTTTGTTCACAATTCACAAAGCTATTTTTAAGAGCCTTTCAGGCCTTAAAAAATTATTACTTTCGGTAATATCACATGCATGTAATAAACTAAAATCATACAAAATATTTATGGTGTCGGATGTGGTGGTGCACACCTGTAGTCCCAGCTATTTGGGAGGATTGCTTGAGCCCAGGAGTTGGAGGCCAGCCTGGGCAACATAGCGAGATCCCATCTCAAAAAAATAAACAATTTTAAATTTAAAAACATATATATTTATGGTGACTATAAAGAATATCCTAGGCTGGGCATGGTAACTCATGTCTGTAAACCCAGCACTCTGGGAGGCCGAGACAGGCAGATCACTTGAGGTCAGGAGTTTGAGACCAGCCTGACCAACATGGCAAAACCCCATCTCTACTAAAAATACAAAAATTAGCTGGGTGTGGTGGTACACGCCTGTAATCCCAGCTACTCAGGAGGCTGAGGCAGGAGAATCACTTGAACCCAGGAGGAGGAGGTTTCAGTGAGCCGAAATCACACCTCTGCACTTCAGCTTGGGCAATGGAATGAGACTTCATCTCAAAAAAAAAAAAAGAATATCCTCAACTGTAACCTAAAGATTAACCAGTAACATTCAAAGTCAGTATTCCTTAATACAAAAAGGCCTGGGCCCCTTTCCTGGGCATTCTCTGGCTCTTTGACTCAGTCTGAGGCCCTCTTACAGTCTTTGGGCAATTCCTTCTTCTGCTCTCTTTGCTACAGATACTGCTTTCTGGGGGACAGGGTCAGAATAGTAGTCATATTTTAGTCACTGTAATTCTGATGATTAACCAGGTTTAAGAATGCTTGAAATAGTATTTTCTTTCTCTTCCCATTTGGGATTACTAGTATGCTTGAAAGGAAGAGCATGTTCAAACAAAATGTTCCTTTCAAGCACACTAGTAACTTTCCCAAATAGGAAGAGACAGAAAATGTTCTCCCTTGAAAGGAACAAAGTGTTTCTCATCTATTTGCAAGGTCATACCTGTTGGCACTAAATGAATGGCATAAAGTGTTCAGGTAAGAAAGAGATAACCCTCTCTCTATAATCATCTGAAATCCTATTGGCCAGGCAAAAATCAACATCACATGAAAACAAACAGAAGCTTTCCAAAATCTTTAGGGCTTTATGAAAGTAACCCCTGCACATACTGGGCCAGCTGATGCCATGCTGCCAAGATCAACCCCGGAAGGGGCACATGCACCAATTCCTTCAAAGGAGGCTAGCTGTGTGCTGTCTCTTACCTGGATCAAGGCCCTTGCTCTCCAAAATTGCCAAACAGTTGTCCCGAAACTTCTCCAGCAGCTCTACCTTCTGGGTCAGGTCCTTCAGCTCTCCCTATTGGAGCACAGCACAGACAGATCAGGAATTGTCCAACTCCCTAGGGGTGGTTGCCCTTTCTTGCCCTTGCTCTTGGACAGCCATAGCAAAAGCCTGGCTTTTTTTTTCTGCCCTTGGGCATCTGTGCATTAACAAGCTTGCTCATCCAAGGGGCCACCCATCAGGATTCCATGTGGATCGCCCAGTGGCAGCTGGTAACAGAGCTCTGGTGGGTCTCTTACCTGAGTTTCAGTCAACTTCTGGTGCAACTGCTTGTTGACGGCTTCTAACAGCTGGTTCTTGTCCTTGAGCTCTTCCTCTGATTTTTGCTTACTCAGTGGTTTGTAGCTGTAATAATAGTTGTACTTACATGAAAAGATAAAAGGGTTAACAGTATGGCCCACACCAGGTGCGGTAGCTCATGCCTGTAATCCCAGCACTTTGGGAGGCTGAGGCAGGCAGATCACCTGAGGTCGGGAAATCAAGACCAGCCTGACCAAGATAAGAGAAACCCTGTCTCTACTAAAATTACAAAAGATTAGTCAGGCGTGGTGGCGCATGCCTGTAATCCCAGGTATTTGGGAGGCTGAGGCAGGATAATCGCTTGAACCCAGGAGGCGGAGGTTGTGGTGAGCTGAGATTGCGCCATTGCACTCCAGCCTGGGTGGCAACAAGAGCAAAACTCCGTCTAAAAAAAAAAGAAAGAAAAATACGGCCTACAGAGTTACACAAACACGTCCCATTCTATCCTGGCTATTACACAGTGGTATATGACCTTCAGTGAGTTGCATAACCTCCCTGAGGCCTTGTTTCCTCATTTTTGAAATCAGGACAATACCCACATCTCATAGTATTATTATTATGAGTAATAAGAGAGAAAACACGTGTGCATTTCTTAGCCCAGTAGCTGGGCTATTATCTAATGTTAGTTTATCATCTAATAAACTCTAATATCACCAATTGTTGGGAGCAGGCCCCCCAAATCTGGCCATAAACTGGCCCCAAAACTGGCCATAAACAAAATCTCTGCAGCACTGTAACATGTTCATAAAGGCCCTAATGCCCATGCTGGAAGGTTGTGGGTTTACGGGAATGAGGGCTAGGAACACCTGGCCTGCCAAGGGCGGAAAACCACTTAAAGGCATTTTTTTTTTTTTTTGAGATGGAGTCTCGCTCCGTCGCCCAGGCTGGAGTGCAGTGGCGTGGTCTCGGCTCACTGCAAGCTCCACCTCCTGGGTTCACACCATTCTCCTGCCCCAGCCTCCCGAGTAGCTGGGACTACAGGCACCCGCCACCATGCCTGGCTAATTTTTTGTATTTTTAGTAGAGACGGTGAAACACCATAGTTAACCAGGATGGTCTCCTGACCTTGAGATCCACCCGCCTCGGCCTCCCAAAATCCTGGGATTACAGGCGTGAGCCACTGCGCCGGCCCTTAAAGGCATTCTTAAGCCACAAACAATAGCATGAGCAATCTGTGTCTTAAGAGCGTGTTCCTGCTGCAGTTAACTAGCCCAACCTATTCCTTTAATTCAGCCCATCCATTTCCCATAAGGGATACTTTTAGTTAATTTACTATCTATAGAAACAATGCTAATGACTGGTTTGCTGTTAATAAATACGTGGGCAAATCTCTGTTCGGGGCTCTCAGCTCTGAAGGCTGTGAGACCCCTGATTTCCCACTTCACACCTCTATATTTCTGTGTGTGTGTCTTTAATTCCTCTAGCGCCGCTGGGTTAGGGTCTCCCCGACCAAGCTGGTCTCAGCAACCAATATTAGAGTTTTTTCTTAAAGTTCTCAGTCTTTTTTGCTAGTATTTTGTCTTCAAAACTTTTTTATTTTTGTAAGTCAGAGTCTTGCTCTGTCACCCAGGCTGGAATGCAATGACGTGATCTTGGCTCACTGCAATCTCTGCCTCCCGGGATGAAGTGATCCTCCTGCCTCAGCCTCCTGAGTAGCTGGGATTACAGACATGCGCCACCATGCCTGGCTAATTTTTGTATTTTTAGTAGAGATGGGGTCCCATCATGTTTCCCAGGCTAGACTCGAACTCCTGACCTCAGGTGATCCACCCACCTTGGCCTCCCAAAGTGTTGCGATTACAGGTGTGAGCTGGTGTGCCCTGCTGTCTTCAAAACTTTTAAGATATGCCCAAATAATAGATCTGGAACTAAAACCTATTTGTACAGACTTTTCAGCTTATTATTTCTATTTCTGATAGTGCAAAACTTCCAAACTAGCCTCAAAGATGAGACATGAATCCTTCTCCAGGTTTTCACCACCACCACCACCAGAATCTTCATCTCGAGATCACTAACTACATACACCCAGCCCTTCCTCTCCTGAAGGCTTTACCCTCCTGTTGATGGGCCATAGCTAAGTGTGATTTCCAATCAGCAGTGGTCCTGGCGTGGAGTCCAAAAAGCTCTTGCTTGAGACACAAGATAGTAGCACCAGTGATTCTTGCACTGACAATGGTTCTTACACCTAGCTGTGCCTCACCCCTGAAAATTCCACTCAGGTTCCTGAGGTGGAACCCAGACCCTAACACAGTAAACAAGTCCCACAAATGATTCTGATGCAGAACCAAGGATTGAGATCCACTACCCTAGAATAGTGGCCAAGTTGATTTACCCTGATGCTCACCCTTTTCTGACATTCCTTCTGGTGGCAGTGTCAGTAGCTTTCATTTGCCTAGGAGGGCAGAAACAAAGAAATGAATCAGAGACTTACAGTACTGTTAAGTGTGCTGTGAACAGGCAGAACAAAGAGCTTGAGTTTCTGAGGAAAGAACCAGACATAAAAGGCAAATGGCACAAGCTTAAGAGCTCTGAGAGACTATGCATTACTGCTTCGGCACAGATTATTGAAAAGGCTTTTTAGTAGCAAAGGGGCATGCCTCCGACCACCCTAACAACCTGACAGAGCTGTTCCTCTCAAGATGGCGTGGCTATCTCATGTCAACCTCACTCACCTGGAACTGACTGCTGGCTGGGGACATACACACACACTAGGGCTGGACTGTGTGGTCAGAGCAGCAACCTAGGATAACAACTAGTCCCCACCCTGCATGACTACCCCTCAGGGTTGCTGTATGACTACAGTGCTGCCACTTGTATGCTCAGAGCAAGCGATGAAAGAGGAAAGAACACCTCTTATAACTCTGGCTGTGTCTCTTCAGAAAGATCAACACAGAGGGTTCTGGCACAGAGCTCAGCAATGCTGCACTGCTCTGGGCCACTGATTGAAGGCCAGTTGTTCAGGAGACTTGTGTTGTCCAAAACTCTGTTTTCTAATTCTTTGTATTGAGCAATTTCTAGGAAGATGTTCTAACTGGATACTAATGATCCGTTCTCACCCATTCTCTCGTCTCAGTTTGGTGATTTTTGTAACATCATTCTCTGGACCTCCTGAATGAAGCTGTTTGGAAACATCGACTTCTTTGGACCTAACAGGTAAGAGACTCTTAGAAGTGGCCCGAGTTTGTGTGTCTGCAAAGGAAAATGAGAGGTAAAGCTTCTGGCATCATGACCCGACAGTTGCAACCCTGTAACAAACAGAGCCCCATTCGAAGTTGTCATAAATCTTTATTTTACTTTATTTTAAAAAGTATTATTTATTTTTTTGAGACAGAGTCTTGCTCTGTGGCCCAGGCTGGAGTACAGTGGTGTGATCTTGGCTCACTGCAACCTCCACCTCTTGGGTTCAAACGATTCTCCTGCCTCAGCCTCCCGAGTAGCTGGACTATAGGCACCTCAAATATGTTTTAAAATTTTAAAAATAGAGACAGGGTCTCACTATGTTGCCCAGCCTGGTCTCGAACTCCTGGGCTCAAGCAATCCTCCTGCCTTGGCCACTCTGGCGTGAGCCACGATGCCTGGCCAAATCTTTATTTTCATTCTGGCAAATTTCAACATGTGAAGATTAATTCAAAAGAATAAAACTTCCAGGCTAATTGGCAATAAAAACCAAAATTATTTAAACGTGACAGTACAGCATGTTTGAGGGTAGCCAAAAGTTTCATTGAACTGAAAGGTGTAGGCTGTAAAAGTGAACATGGAGATGGACACCAGCAGAGAGCAGGGTGGAAGTTAGCAGGTAAAACATGCCTGAATCCTTGTACCATCTCATTAAGCTCCTCCAAGCACTCTGCACACTCTCCTAAGGCATGACTGAGCTGCTCTGAGTTTTTTTAAACCGTTACTTCGTTGTTTTTACTAGAATGTCTTCCTAACCATTCTAAGGCATCTTTGTGTCCCCATCACCTAGGAAAGTATCTGGCATATGAACAGGGGTTCAATAACTGCTTGTTGAATAAATGAAACACTTCACAGTTCCATGGGTTGTTTCACAGACCATCTCTAAACCACCTGTCTGGTCCCTTCCTCTTCCATGCTGCCTGCCTCTACCACTAGCCCTTTTGTTTACCCTTTGTTAAGTTTAGAGTTTCCCTATTAGGCATTCTAATCTGATCTTCTTGCCAGATAACCAGAGAAATGGCCCTGCCATAACACTCTTCTTCCCCAAAGGAGAGCATTTTCCTCTATCCTTGTGCCAGCCCCGCAACCACACAATCTATCATTTGTGTTCTACAGCAAATTCAAGTAACTTATCTGGAGTTAAGCACCCCCACCCTCACATGCAGGCTTTTCTGGACTTACTCTCACTTTGTTCACTGTAAAATGGCCCCTTTAAGTTTGACCTAACTTAAGAGCCATTACAATCAAATCAAATTGAAGAAATGCAGTACAAATGAAGTATTAAAAGGGTTCTTTCTGAGGTGTCTGTCTGAAGAAAAAGGTAATCTTGGAGGAATATCATCTTCTCCTCTCTCAAGTATTAGTAAGTTTTAAACAATAACAAATCTACTCCATGTAAAATGGAGTTAACAGTCAATTGATCAAAATTAACACTCTTCATTGACTAGAATTGGTTCCAATAATTTGTATTTGCTAAAATCTAGGATTGCACTGTAGGAAAAATTCAGTAGGATTTAACAAAGCTGTCTCTTAAAAATGGGAGACACTGGGAGAGGAACTGGATGGCTGGTGTCAAGGAAGGGAAGGAAACTTGTTTATCATTGTATATGGTTTTCCACCTTTTTTTTTTTCACATGTGCATATATTACTTATCCAGCCCACGCTCAAAATCAAAACAAAAATCCTGGGAGGCAGCCTAAAAATTTGAAACTGTTCCAGTTACATATGATCATAAAGCTGGGACAGAGATAGAAATCAAAGAGATGAACACTTCCAACTTGGCTGAGAGAGCTAGTCACTGCCCACTGACTCAGGGGCACCGCATCTAAGGGAAAGACACAGCAGCTGAGAGACCTGGCTCCAGTTCTTCCAGCAACTCCTAGTCCCCGCTGGTGCCAGGATTACCATTCAGGTGTTCTGCGGCAACACAAGACAACAAACAACCCATTAAGCCTTTGGAGAAAAGCCTATTTACTTCAGAGCTCAATCTTTTTTTTTTTGAGACGGAGTCTCGCTCTGTCGCCCAGGCTGGAGTGCAGTGGCGCAATATCGGCTCACTGCAAGCTCCGCCTCCCGGGTTCACGCCATTCTCCTGCCTCAGCCTCCCAAGTAGCTGGGACTACAGGCGCCCGCCACCACGCCCGGCTAAGTTTTTGTATTTTTTAGTAGAGACGGTGCTTCACCGTGTTAGCCAGGATGGTCTCCATCTCCTGACCTCGTGATCTGCCCACCTCGCCCTCCCAAAGTGCTGGGATTACAGGCGTGAGCCACCGTGCCTGGCCACTTCAGCGCTCCATCTTGCCAAGGTTTATGTACCAGCTGAGTGGAATCATCTGGGAAGGGATCATAAATAGCTACTCCATAATCTCCCACAACAGTTTTCTGATGTCTGAAGCTTACTCTGTACTATAATCTCTAGATTAGGCAGTTCCCCGACTGCAGACCCCATGAGATGACTTTCAACCACAAGCAAAGCAACACAAAGCAGATGGCAAAGCAATTAAAAACTATTTTTAATCATGTCTCTCTCTTCGCCCAAGTTTCTCAAATACTGTGCCTAGGTCTAACCCCTCTCTCCCACTTCACTCAACAAACGTGTATTGAGAATGTGGTAATGAGAAACACGGTGCAGATATAAAGGTGAACAAAGAACCCTAAGTATCCCACTTCTCAAATGATTCTCCTCTTTCCTCCCTGAAAACAAACCCAATCCCTCAAGATAGCCCAAGTCTGGAAATAAGACGATAACCGATTAGAAGGGGATTCCTAGCTTAATGGGAATAACATTGTACAATAACCAACAACTTGAATCTAACTGATGAATACAGTACACATGCGGGCAGAAAAGTGCAGAGCACGTCTAAAATCCTACCACATGGTCCTTCCCTTAACTCCCATCATAAACCTACATAGCCTGGTTATAGGGGGCTCACAGGTTTTCAGGGCCGACGGGACGCCCTTCCCCGTGCCCGCGCCACCCATTCGATCTCCACACTCCCGAGACCATCCCCGGCCAGGCCGCAGTGCCCCGGGCGTGGCTTGGACCCTCACCTGCCGGCTGGCCGCCGCTCAGCGCAGAGGGGGGCTGCAGGCTATACACTGTCTTAACCACACTGGTCATCGTAACGAGGCGGCACGGCTGAACCCTGGAAGGTACAGGATGAATGTTACCCAGCGCTGGGCCACTGGGCCCGAGAGAGTGGAGGGCCCGGGGATAGCGCGACCCGACAGGCCCCGGCTCGGGGTTGGAAAAGAGAAAATCCTCCTTTCCCAGCTCATTCCGTCCTTCCTCCCATCCAGCCCAGTCCCTCGCCCCGGGAGAGCCGAACCCAGGAGCCCGCCGGTCCTGCCCGCAGTCCTTCTCGCTCTCGTTTAAAAGATTCCCTGCAGCAACTGTCGTGCCACCGGCTAAGTCGGCCGCCTGGGTTTCAAATAGAAACTTCCGGTAGCTAGGCGGAAGTGGGTGGGAATCGCACTCTGTAGACAGCCATGTTGTACGGAAAACTCTGTCCAGGGGCGGGGCTTCGGGAGCCGCCATACTGTACGGAAGGTTCGCTCAGAGGCCAGAGCCAGACCTAGCGAAAGGTGTTGGAGCCCCCAGGTCTGGGCAGAGGAGGAGGGTGATGCAATTTGTAGGCTTGAATGGAGCTAATGAGCTACCAGCGTCATATTCCGGGATGGAGACGCAAACGTGGCGACATTTAGGGTCCATGTCACAATCCTCTTTATTTAGTTTGGGATTGTTAGGGATATTGCCAGGAGCACAGGTTATTTGGATGAAAACTACACGTTACAGGTGGAGAGTGGCAGGTGAGGCTTGAAGAAAAGGACCTATGGGCTGAGATACCTGAGGCACCTACCTGAGGTCCTAATTTTAATAGCACTTATCCAGATTTTCAGTAGTGATTCAAAGCTACTCCCAATAAACAGGGTAGCTTCCATTACTAAATGCACTAGCTCATTCATTTCATCTGGCATTTATTGAGTACCTGCTGATTACCCAACAGTGTTCTCAGTGGGTGGAAGGGAGTGAGGGAGGGCAAATATCAAGATTGACCTTGGCTCTGCCCTCCTGGAGTTTACAACTTAGAAAACAGACAGTGAACAAATAATCACATAAATAAATATATATTTACGGATTGTGGTGAAATTGTGAAGAAGGCTGGGCACAGTGGCTCACAGCTGTAATTATAGCACTTTGGGAGGTGGAGGCGGGTGAATTGCTTGAGTCCAGGAGTTTGAGACCACCCTGGGCGACATGGTGCAACCCCGTCTCTACAAAAAATACAGAAATTAGCCAGGTGTCGTGGCATGCTCCTGTAGTCCCAGCTACCCTGGAGGCTGAGGTGGGGGAATTATGTGACCCTGGGCGGGGCAGAGGTTGCAGTGAGCGGAGATCGCGCCACTGCACTTCACCCTGGGTGACAGAGCGTGATCTCAAAAATCAAACCAAAACACACACACTATGAAGAAAAAGTACAAAATCGTATAAGATAGAAAAGCAGGGAAACTTAGATTATATTGGGGGCTCAGGGAAGACCTCTCTGAGATGATGTTTGATTAAGGAAGGAGAGGGAGTTAATTTCATTGGGGAAAGGGGAAAATGCAAAGTCCCAAGGCAGAAATGGGTTCTTCTATAGGCACAGAAAGATAGGAAGAGAGTGGTACAGATAAAGCTGGAGAAATAAGCAGTCAAAAGACAGATTTTACAGGCCAAGGTATAGAGATTAGATTTTATCTAAAAGTAATGGAAAGCCACTGAAGTATTATAGCAGGAGAGTGTCATCCAATTTATATTTTATTTTATTTTATTATTATTTTTTGAGACAGGGTCTCACTCTGTTGCCCAGGCTGGAGTGCAATCATAGTTCACTGCAACCTTGAACTCCTGGGCTCAGGAGATCCTCCCACCTCGGCCTCCTGAGTAGCTAAGACTAAAGGTGCCTGCCACCAGACCCAGCTAATTTTTGTAGAGATGGGGTCCTGCTATGATGCCCAGGCTGGTCTTAAACCCCTGGCCTCAAATGATCCTCCCACTTCAGCCTCCCAAAGTGTTGGAATTACAGGCATGAGCCACTGTACCTGGCTCAATTTATATATACTTTATATATATATTCTTTTCTTTCTTTTTTTTTTTGGAGACGGAGTCTCACTCTGTTGCCCAGGCTGGAGTGCAGTGGCACGATCTCGGCTCACTGCAACCTCCGCCTCCTGAGTTAAAGCGATTCTCCTGCCTCAGTCTCCCGAGTAGCTGGGTCTACAGTGCCACCACCACGCTTGGCTAATTTTTTATATTTTTAGTAGAGACGGGGTTTCACCATGTTGGCCAGACTGGTCTCAAACTCCTGACCTCAGGTGATCTGCTCGCTTCGGCCTCCCAAAGTACTGGGATTACAGGCGTGAGCCACCACGCCCAGTCCTTTTTCTTTTCGAATAATTGGGCTTGAATAATTGTGTGGATAGAGTCACTATTTTCTGCTGGGGGAGATTGAGAGTTGGGTTTTGAACGTGGAAAACCTCGACATATCTTTGAGGCATTCCGGTGGAGTGGTCAAGTAGGCAATTGGAAATACAGGCCCTGAGCCCAGAAGAGAGCCTGGATTGGAGATACACCCTTGGGAGTTGTTGACATATGAATGTACTTAAAATCTTGATATTTAGGAGTTCGAGACCAGCCTGGCCAACATGATGAAACCCCGTCTCTGCTAAAAATACAAAAAAATGGCCAGGCACAGTGGCTCACACCTGTAATCCCAGCACTTTGGGAGGCTGAGGTGGGATCACTTAAGGCCAGAAATTCGAAACCAGCCTGGCCAACATGGTGAAACTCCATCTCTACTAAAAATACAAAAAACTAGCCAGGCATGGTGGTGCATGCCTGTAATCCCAGCTACTTGGGAGGCTAAGGCAGGAGAATGACTTGAACCTCAGAGGTGGAGGTTGCAGTGAGCCGAGATGGTGCCACTGTACTCCAGCCTGGGTGACAGAGCGAGACTCTGTCTCAAACAAAATAAAATAAAAAATAAAATAAAACCTTGATATTTGATGAGCTCAAGAGAAGAAGTGTGCAGAGAGCCTTTGGGCCAAGGACAGGGACACCTGCATTTAAAAGTTGCAATGGTAATAAGGTGCTTGCCAAGAAACCTGATAAAGAAGTGCCAGAGAGGTGAGAAGAAAACAAAAAAGGGTGGTGTTCCAAAATCCAAGGAGGAAGTGGCAAGCTGCTGAAGGAGGGAGTGGTGAACTATTGAAAATAGTTGAAAGGGCAAGCAGAATGAGAACGAAAAGCATCCAATGAATTTAGCAACAGAGAAGTCATGATGAGTCTAGCAAGAGGAATGCTGGTGGAGCGTTTGGAGTGGCAGTCACATGGGCATGGGTTGAAGAGTACGTGGGAGATGAGGAAGCAGAGATGGCAGAACTCCAGGCGTCTGTTGCAAAAAGAGCAGAGCAACTGGGCAGTAACTGGAGATGGGTTATGGGGGTCAAAGGAAGCTTTCCTTAAAGCTGTGGATATGTGTGCTGATAGGAACGAGCCAGCAGAACAGAGGGAAAGGATACTCAGGAGCAAGGAAGAAGGAAGATGGGATCCAGAGTAGCATCTTTAAATTCCTTTATTCATGCGCCCCCACAAAATAAAAAAATAAAAAAACCCTCTTGCCTGTTTTCACTTGATACCTAAAATTTAAGTTTACTTTTATTTTTATTTTTTTAGAGGCAGGATCTTGCTATGTCACCCAGGCTAGAGTGCAGTGGCTATTCACAGGTGTGATCATAGATAGCGTACTGTAGCCTTGAACTTCTGGACTCAAGCCATCCTCTCACTTCAGCCTCCTAAGTAGCCAAGACTGTAGGCATGCACTATCTCACCTGGCTTAAATTTTTTTCATAACTTTAAATCATTGTAAAGGACATACTTTCTGCCTGTTGTATATTGTGTATACTTTTTTTCTTTTTTTTTGAGATACGGTCTCGCTTGGTTTCCCAGGCTGGAGTGCAGTTGTGCGATCATAGCTCACTGCAGCCTTCAACTCTTGGGCTCAAGCGATCTTCCTGCCTCAGCGTCCCAAGTAGTTGGGGCTATAGGCACGTGCCACCATGCCTGGCTAATTTTAAAATTTTTTTGTGGAGATGAAGTCTTGCTATGTTGCCCAGGCTGGTCGGGAGCTCCTGGCCTCAACTGATTCTCCCACCTTGGCCTCCCAAAGTGCTGAGATTACAGGCATGAGCCACCCACCTGGTCACATTGTGTATACTTTGTATTCTTTTCTTTTTTCTTTTTTTTTTTTTTTTTGAGATGGAGTCTCATTCTTTTGCCCAGGCTGGAGTGCAGTGGTGCCATCTCGGCTCATTGCAACCTCTGTCTCCCGTACTCAAGCGATTCTCCTGCCTCAGCCTCCTGAGTAGCTGGGATTACAGGCATGCACCACCACACCAGGCTAATTTTTGTATTTTTAGCAGAGACAGGGTTTCACCATGTTGGCCAGGGTGGTCTCGAACTCCTGACCTCAGGTGATCCGCCCGCCTCAGCCTCCCAAAGTGTTGGGATTACAGGCATGAGCCACTGCGCCTAGCCCTTTGTATTCATTTCTAAAATTCTTTCTCTTGGTGTTTTTTGGATAATTTCTATTGTTATGTCTTCAAGTGCACTACTGTTTTTTCTGCAACGTCTAAACTGTTGTTAATTCCATTCAGTGATTTTCCATCTCAGACTTTTTTTTTTTAATTTTAAAAACACTTTTAAATTCTTTATTTTGGAATCGTTATAATTGACAGGAAGTTACAATGATAGTATAGGGAGGTCCTTTGGACTCTTTACCCAGTTTCCCCCAATGGTTTTGTTTCAGTACAATTTTAACAGCTTTATTGAGATATAATTAACATTCCATAGACCACATATTTTAAGTGTACAATTTGATAAGTTTAGAAATTACATATACCTGTGAAACCATCACCACAATTAAGATAATAAACACAGCCGTCATCCCCAAATCATTCCTCCTTCCCCTTGGTACTTCTTCCCATCCTCCTCTTTCTGCCTACCCCACCCACCCCATCATCTCAGACATTTTAGTTTTCGTCTCTAAAATTCAAAGTGGGTATTTAAAAATATCTTCCTAGTCTCTACTTAGTACATATGGAATACAGTTATAATAATTCTTTTAGTGTCCTTGTCTAATTCTCACATAGGTGTCAGCTGTAGTGGTTTCAACTGATTTTTCTCCTTATGATGGGTTATAGTTTGCATGACTGGTAATTTTTTATTGGAAAACCAGCCATTGTGAATTTTACATTTTTGGGTGCTCGTTAATTTTGGATTTCTGTTAATGTTCTTGGGTTTTGTTCTGGGATACACTTCAGTTACTTAGAAACAGCTTGATTCCTGAATTCAGGTCTTGCTTTTGAGATTTGTTAGGTAGGTTCCAGCAATGTTTAAACTAGGGCTAATGAATCCCCACTACGAGGCAAGGCCCTTCTGAGACCTCTGACCAATGCTCCATAAATTTGAGGTTTTCCAATCTGGCTGATGGGGACAGGCGTGGTCCAGGCTGTGTGTGACTTCTGGCTACTGTTCCGGCCCATTGTTTTGGGTGGTCCTTTCCTTTGTCTCAAGTGGTTTCCTTACACTTATATGATGAATCATGCTCTGTGGAACACTCAAGGGGGGCCCTTTGCAGATCCCCAGAATTCTCTATATATCCACCTTTCTCCTCTCCAGTACCCTGTCCTGAGCACTCTAGCCAGCTTGGCTGCTCCACACTCCCAGCTATCCCCTCACCTCAGAGTCACTTGCTTTGCCTGGGTTCTCCCTCCGTGAAATACATCCTCTCAAGCGGTAAGCTGGGCAACCGAGGGGTTCTCCTTGTTTGTTTCTTGCCTCTGAGAGATCACTGTCTTTTGTTACCTCATGTCCAGTGTCTTGAAACTCATTATTTCATGTATTTACTGTTTGGTTGGTTGTTTCAGGCAGGAGGATAAACTTGGCCCCTGCTCCTCCATCTTGGCTGGAAAGGGAAGTTGTATCTGTACTTTCAGTCAAAAATTTTTTTTTTTTTTTTTGAGACTCTGTTGCCCAGGATGGAGTGCAGTGGCGCAATCTCGGCTCACTGCAAGCTCCGCCTCCCGGGTTCACGCCATTCGCCTGCCTCAGCCTCCTGAGTAGCTGGGACTACAGGTGCCCGCCACCACGCCCAGCTATTTTTTTGTATTTTTAGTAGAGATGAGGTTTCACCATGTTAGCCAGGATGGTCTCGATCTCCTGACCTCGTGATCTGCCCGCCTAGGCCTCCCAAAGTGTTGGGATTACAGGCATGAGCCACCACGCCCAGCCTTCAGTCTGTTTTTGTTCAAACTGTGGAGCTGCAGATTAAAGTTATTCCATTTTAGGGAAAATGTCCACCATACATCCTACTTGCAAAGACTATCCTCTCTGTCAAACCTGTGAGCCAATTCTGACCTTCTAACAGAAAAAGTCTGATTTTATTTTTCCATTCAAATCAATGTGGTTAATATGTATCCTGTGTCAACCATCTCACTTTCAGTTTAAATTCTTCTTTATTTCTTTTTTTAGAGTTAAGGTCTCGCTCTGTTGCCAGGCTGGAGTGCCATAATGTGATTATGGCTCACTGTAACCTCGAACTCCAGAGTTCAAGTGATCCTCTTGCTTCAGCCTCTGGAGTAGCTGGGTCTACAGGCGCATATCACCATGCCCAGCTAATTTTTATTTTTATTTTATTATTTATTTATTTATTTTGAGATGTAGTCTCGCTCTGTCACCCAGGCTGGAGTGCAATGGCATGATCTTGGCTCACTGCAACCTCTGCCTCCAGGGTTCAAGCGATTGTCCTTCCTCAGCCTCCTGAGTAGCTGGGACTACAGGCATGCTCCACCACGCCCGGCTAATTTTTGTATTTTTAGTAGAGACAGGGTTTTGCCATGTTGGCCAGGCTGGTGTTGAACTCCTGACCTCAGATGATCTACCTGCCTCGGCCTCCCAGAGTGCTGGGATTACAGGCGTGAGCCACCGCGCCCGGCCCATGCCCAGCTAATTTTTAAAATTATTTTTTGTAGATACGGGATCTTGCTATGTTGCCCAAGCTGGTCTCAAACTCCTGGCCTCAAGCCATCCTCCCACTTCAGCCTTTCAAAACACTGGGATTATAGGCATGAGCCACTGTGTCTCACCTGAAGTTGAATTATTTTTAAAAATTTTTATTATTTTTTCCTTTTTAATATATATTTATATATTTTACAATATAACATGTCAATGAATTTGAATTCTTAAATGAAGAAGGCACAGAACTGAGCCACAGGGCTGCCCCTGTGAACTTTCTCAAAGAAGCTCTCCAGGCTTTGCTCTTTCAAGGACTTCCTCAAGCAGAGCATTCTCAAGTGGCCCTTTTATTTGTTTTTTACAGCGCAGAGCAAGGAGCCAGAGTAGGATTCAGAATGAGGGAGGGGAGGCAACTGGGAAAGTGGAAGTTGGGAAGGACAGCTGTCAGGCCTGTGGCTTCTTAGGCCCACCAATATAAGGAGGGGAACATATGGAGAAGGCGGCTCTGGAAACTGATTACTTTAAAACTATCTGTGTCCACCTACCTTCTAGAAAGTCTTCATGTCCTTGTAGGGGAGTGCAAACCCTCGTGTGAAGGCCTCTGACACCAAGTGTGAGAAGCCATTGATGGAGCCATTACTGCTTCCTTCGTTGTAGCAGAAGGGATGGGGAGAGGAGCAGGCAGGAGCGGGGGTAGGTAAGTTGTGGCTTTGGTGCCTTGAAGGTGAGGAAATTTCTATTTGAAGGCTTCAGTTTTCTTCATGAAGAATTTTTTTTTTTTTTTTGTCCACTGAGGGGTGGGGGAAGGTGAGATATTTGAGGAAGGTGGAGAAAATATAAAAGAGTCAATACAAATAATCAAAACTAGTAGCTAGAATGAATACTAGCTAGGCAGAGCTGAGGGTCCAGTTAAGATAGGTGGTCATGAATTCAAATCTACATCAATCTGCTCAGCTGTGTGATTTTCTTTAGCAATATTAAAGCTCTTGTTTGTTTGATGGTTGTGGATTTGGTAAAATGCTGATCTTTCCCCTATATTGAGAAAAATGTGAGTAATCACAAAGAGGCCCGATAATAATTATGAGAAATTTATCAAGGCCCTTCCAGTGTTCCTCTGCATAAGGTGGCTTTGGATGGCCAGACATTTACATAGCACATAGTGGCTTTCTTTTGTTTCTCATATTCCTGGTGAATTGAACTACGATTTCTTCTCCTAAGCATAAATACCTGCAGACCTTAGTTACAGTCATCCCTGTGAACAAGGGTGTGGGTAGAAAGGGTGAGGAATGTCTGTCTTTCCTATCACCAGGTAAATGGGATCTTGATGCTTGGCATGGGGTCCCAAGAGCTTGCCATTACCCATGTGTATTATCAAAAAATGAGATACTGCCACCGTCAAAGAAAAGATCAGGGCCGGGTGTAGTGGCTCACACCTGTAATCCCAGCACTCTGGGAGGCCGAGGTGGGCGGATCACAAGGTCAGGAGATCGAAACCATCCTGGCTAACACAATGAAACCCCGTCTTTACTAAAAATACAAAAAATTTGCCAGGCGTGGTGGCAGGTGCCTGTAGTCCCAACTGCTCGGGAGGCTGGGGCAGGAGAATGGCGTGAACCTGGGAGGCAGAGCTTGCAGTGAGCCAAGATCGTGCCACTACACTCCAGCCTGGGCGACAGAGCAAGACTCCGTCTCAAAAAAAAAGAAAAGATCAGAAACTCTCTGGACGATAGGCAAAGGTTGTAAACCAATGTATCCTCTTTCTTAAAATCTGATTTAAAGCCTTCTTCCCTGTCCTGACATGCACTGGGAGAAGGACAGAATGAGTTGGAGGGGGCTAGGGAAATTTTGGCTTATAACTCTCTTGAGAAATGTCTTTTTAAAAATTGTCTCGGCCAGGCGCGGTGGCTCATGCCTGTAATCCCAGCACTCTGGGAGGCCGAGGCAGGCGGATCATGAGGTCAGGAGATCGAGACCATCCTGGCTAACACTAAAAATACTCTACTGTCTCTACTAAAAATACAAAAAATTAGTGCAGTGAGCCGAAATTGTGCCACTGCACTCCAGCCTGGGCGACAGAGCAAGACTCTGTCTCAAAAAAAAAAAAAAAAAATTGTCTCAAGCTGGAATATTGCCCGCATATCATGGTATGGGATATGCTATATATCAGTAAAATCTAAGATTCAGCCAATAAAATCAGTCTGTCTAACACTGTCACTCTAAAAGTCCCCAAATCACCACAGCCATGGAAGGATGGTTTTCCCATGGTAACAGACTATATCAAGTTTACATATATATATATATATATTTTTTTTTTTTAAGATGGAGTCTCGCTCTGTTGCCCAGGCTGGAGTGCAGTGGCGCAATCTCGGCTTACTGCAAGCTCTGCCTCCTGGGTTCACATCATTCTCCTGCCTCAGCCTCCCGAGTAGCTGGGACTACAGGCGCCCGCCACCACACCCGGCTAATTTTTGTATTTTTAGTAGAGACGGGGTTTCACCATGTTAGCCAGGATGGTTTCGATCTCCTGACCTCATGATCCACCTGCCTTGGCCTCCCAAAGTGCTGGGATTACAGGCGTGAGCCACCGTGCCCGACTTATTTATTTATTTATTTTTTGAGACGGTGTCTTGCTCTGTCATCCAGGCTGGAGTGCAGTGGCACGATCTCGGCTCACTTCAACCTCTGCATCCCGGGTTCAAATGATTTTCCTGCCTCAGCCTCCTGGGTAGCTAGGACTACAGGCATCCCCCACCACGCCCAACTAATTTTTGTATTTTTAGTAGAGGCGGGGTTTCACCATGTTGGCCAGGCTGGTCTCAAACTCCTAACGTCTAGTGATCCACCTGCCTCAGCCTCCCAAAGTGCTGGGATTACAGGCATGAGCCATCATGTCCGGCCTCAAGTTATATTTTAATAGCATACAGGATACATACTCGTACTCAGAATGTGAGTTCAAGGATCAGTGGCACAAATAGGGGAAATGACCTCAAGTTCCAAATGTTAATGTAGTTCTATTAGAGTGTCTGAGTGGGGAGAAATCATTTCTTGAATTTTGCAGGGCAAGCATAAGTGCTTTGACTCATTTTTGTACGCCTCACAGCGTGCTTGTAAGCCATGTCTCCAGGGCCATACACTCATTGTAAGTGCCCCTAATAATAATAAAGCAAAGGATCTGCTGCAACTCAAAGGAAATAGGAAGTGCTTTAAGTTCCACATTCCAAAGTCAGGGCTAGAGAGGCAGGCTGGATTTCCTGCTGATGTGGATTGCCTGCTGTTGGTTTGGGCCATTCTAGGTATAAGGTAATGTTTTAGATTACTGCTGGGTTCTTCTGGGCCTGGCAACATAAAGAACAAATCTAATCAATGCATCAGCTGCTATGGCTCATTCACCTTCCTGAAGTGTTGTGTGGCCACAGCCTGCAAGAATATGACCTGGAAATCCCCAGGTAGGGCCCTCGGGTGTGCTCAGATCCCTCATGCCCACCCATCCACCCCTCTGCATTCTAACATTTCAGTGGTTATGTTCAGGCAAAGTGTCTTCTGCTCATGCTTGGGAGGAAGAGTTCCCTTAACCTCCCTGTGGCTCATTGTCCCTGAGGATACCAGGGCTCTCTCAGCCTGGCTGCATGATGACAGAGGGACACCATTATCAGAGAAACCAGGGCTGATGAGCAGCTCTAGGTCAGAGAGGCCGAATGCTACCTGGACATGAAGAGAGAGGTCCCAGCAGACCCCCTGGGGACAGGTTCAAATTAGGTTCCAGCTTCCCCTTCCTGGTGTCAGGAGTTACTCATCTTGATTTACTTATCTTGCAAAGGAGCCAAGGTATCCTGCCGTACCTGCCTATTGCCTTCTGTCTCTTCCACAACTCCCATGTCTCTTTTCGGTTTCTGCTCCACTTCTCATGGGCTACTTGGAGTAGGAAGTAGGTCTCAATAATAAAAAACTAAATAAAACAAAAACATCATCTGATTTGCCTCCAGCTCTGCCACAGACTATTTGGCCCTAGAACAATCCCTTCCCTTTCCTGATACTCCTCTGTAAAATAGCCTGGATCAGTAGCTTTCATATTACATTCTGTGAAGCTGCCAGGAGCCGGAGGGGTTCCCCAGATACCCGGAGAGGCTGCAGTGGAAAGACAGGCTAAGCTGACTCCACCCCCAACACCCAGCGCCCACCAGAGTAGCTGCCTTTTACCTGTTTTATATATTGTTTTTCCACACAGAGCTTCTTTGAAGAAAGAGTCCTGAGGCTACAAAATTTGAAAACTGCTGGAATAAACGATCGCCAAGGCCCCTTCCAGTCTGAGACGCTTGGTCTTCTGAAGCCCAGCTCAAGTTTTTCCTCCTCCAGAAAGCCTTTCTTGTTACCCAGTCCTGGGTACTTGAGCTCCAACAATAATGATGATGGCAGGCATATGGTGCCGTCCGTGAGCCATCCGATGCCTGCATGTGTGCATAAGCTGTCTCCCCAGCTAGAAGGTGAGCTCTTTGAGGGTGGTGTTCAATTTTTCTTCCACACCTCTGTCCCCTTGTAATACCATATGCAAAGTAGGTGTTCAATAAACATGTTGATGCCACCTGGTGTCATGAGCTCTCACATGGGATAAAACTTCCCTACCAGGAAGTTTGGGAAGGAGGAACCAGCCTTTGGTCTGCTTAACGCTCCACAGAGAGACTTGTCCTTAAAAAGCTGGGGACCCTAACCTGGGAAGCAGCTTCAGACTCATACACTTCCCAAAGGGCAGGTCTGAGTTCCTGCCTTGATTGGATTTGGCTTCACCTCTTCTGCCCCTCAGTACCTCTTCTGGTGGGGCCTCTTATACACTGTGGCTGTAGAAGAGGCACGGTCCTGAAGCCTGGGAATCAGGTCAGCTAGGACGCCCCAGGGCCAGCAGACATCTCAGCCAGATTCCAGAGGGAGGCACGGGGGAGATGGAGAGGAACTCCTGGGTTTTTTTGGAATACAGCTCTCTCAGGAAGTGGAGGCCCAAAGAGGGTGGCTGGATTCAGTCAGAGACACCAGAGAAAGCAGATTGGAGGAGGGTGCTAGCGGTGAAAGAAGGCAGGTAGCCAAAGGGAAACTGGAGGTTGTAGTGGTGGAATGAAACCGCTCTGCCATTTAGTGGCTAAGTGACCCTGAGGTCAGTTCATCTTACTTAGTCTCAATGTCTTTACCTATAAATTGGGTGTCAAAAGAACCTGACCAATGTCAGGCTACCCTGTAGTGAAGTAGTGAGATAGATTCCAAGGAGACTAAAATGTGCAGAGATGGAAAGGATTATTACTGTTTATTAACACAGGAAAGCACAGGAGCCTGCTTCCAAAGAGGGACTGTCCCGTAATTGAGAGATGCTCCAAGGCTGACCATCCTCCTTCTCCTGCTGCACACCCAGCAGCCATCTATGGCTGGATTTGGAGAATTTCTGGTCAAACCGGTGAGTATGAGGAGAGCAGGGCAGTTGGGGAGAGAGGTCCCAGCCCAATTCTGCCCAGAGAAGCTCCCAAAAGAGAGGGAAGTGTCCTGATGAAGAGCCCATGAAAGGGGTGAGACCCAGGAGGCTGTGGAGATTGCTGCGGGCTCCTCTGGTCAGTAAGGAACCCTGACAAGATCCCTAGGATGGGGGTCCCTTAGTCTCACTGAAGTTCTTGTAACTTGGGATGGGGGCCAGGTCAGCCTCCTCTGATACCCGAAGCTACACATCTGGCCTTCCCCACTTCTAGAGGAGGGGTCTTAGATGGTGCTGTGGGAGCAGACAAGCCCTCAGCAGGTCGCAAGCAGGTCCCCTCCAAAACCCCTCCTGCTGGAATCCTCCAGATGTGAGGAGTAGGAGCAGACAGATCAAGGCTGGGACATCTGGCAGGGTTTAACATCCACAGCTGGAGGGTGAGACCTCTCCCTGTGGATCTGGAGAAATACCTTCGGGCTCCAGCCTATTGCTGCCCTTGCCTTGTCATCCATGACAGGGTTCCGCGCCCTGTCCAGCCTCCCCGGGTCCCCCTCAGCTGCTATAGCCTGACGTGTGAGTGCTGGGCCTGCGCAGCCAAACATCTGGCAGGTCTGGCTGGCTATTGGGCAGCACCACAGGGCTGCCATCCCCTGGCCCCCCTCGGCCCTTCCAGGACAAGCTGCTGTGATGGGAAGCGGGCAATGATGGGTCATACACTGTCTCCCTCAGCGCCAGCCACAGGGTGTCCCGCTTCCCATTGAGCTGGCCTCGCTCAAGGACTGGCTGCCCAGTGTCATCCAGGTCATCTGGGGACACACCCACGGAATCTGGTACACGGGCACTGGGCTCAGAGGTGCTTAGGCAGGTCTCATCAGAGACGCTGAGCCCCTCCAGGGTGCTGGCTGAGGAACAGAAGCCATCAGGAGGATCTGCAGCCTTGGCCTTAGGAGAGTGGGCTGGGGCTTCTGGTGAGGCTGGCAGGGGCTCAGCCTCCTCCCCTTGGGAGTCCTGCCTGGCCCGGGTTTTGGGGCTGGGGCCAGCCTGCTTATAGGGGGAGGAGGTCTGCAGGGCAGGGCACTGGCTGAAGACTGCCTGGTGGTCCAGCAGCAGCTCCCTTGGGGAGGCAGGGGCTGGTGGGGGCCGGGAACAGCACGGACCATCATGGAGCTGCAGATCCTCAGAGAGTACTGAGGGCCGGTGGGACAGCTTGCTGGTGGCTGTGCTGGTGTCAAAGCTGGGGCTCCGACGCCGTGCCAGGGGCTGTAGCTCATATTGCTCTGAGCAGGACCCGGGCATCCCTCCCACTGACCCTGGTCGTGGGCGGCCTGCCTTCTCCCCACCAGGGTCCCCAGTACCAGCATCCCATGGCAGGTGGGCACAGGGCCAGAGGATCTGCCCACAGTTCTTCTCTGGCCCGAAGAAACAGCAGAGAGATTGGAAGAAGAAGCTGGCAAAGCCACAACTGACGCATTTGACCATCATGAGGATGATGCCCAGCTTGCGATAGAGCAGCACTGTGGCAGGCAGCATGAGCACGCCTGCCGCAAACAGGGCTGCAGCCCCCACGGCTGTGGCGCAGCTGGTCTGGCGCAGAGAGAAGGCCACACGGCTCAGGCGGTCAGGGTGTGGGCACAGGTGATAGGAGATGCAGTAGTTGACAGTGAAGTCTACTGAGAGGCCCACTGAGGCAGAGAGAAACAGGGCCTCGGCAGTGTTGAGCTGCCACTCGAGGAGAACCAGGAGTCCTACAGTGAGCAGCACGGTGCCTGCCACAGCTGCCACGGAGAATAGGCTGAGGGGAACATTCCAGGTGCCCAGGAGCAGTGTGGCAAAGGCCAGCGCCAAAGCCAGGCCCAGCACCACAGCAGGCTCAGTGCTCAGGCTGTGCTGCAGGCTATACAGCTCTAGACGGCTAGTGAACCAACCACGGCGGAGGCCTGGAGGTGCCATGCCCAGCTCCGCTGCCAGCCAGTGGCTGACCTCATTGTAGAAGAGCTGGGTCTGGTTGTAGTCCGGACTGTTCCGGAAGTTGGTCTGGAATTGTAGGACCAGGGCGGCCAGGCTGCCATGGGCATCAAAGCGGAGTCCCAGGTCCTGGGTGCCATCGGGGCCTTGCTCCAGAGCCATCATTTTCAGGCAGTGCAGGAAAAACTGGGGGGCCCAGGGGAAGTCCGAGTGGCCGCAGCAGAGGTCAGGCCCCAGGCGGGCGCAGCTGGGGCTCTCCATCCAGCGCTGGAGGGTCTCCACGAAACACAGCGTGGGCCAGCCTTCCTGCAGGGTGTCGAAGAAGCTCTGATTCCGGGCCCGGTGACAGAGTGCCAGCAGCCAGCGCTGGGCCTCAGGGCCGCTGGCCGAGAAGGCAGGGTCCCTCACCAGGCTGCTGTTGCTACGAGGGTCCAGAGGGTCGCCAGTGTCCACAGGCAGGACGCCCCACACCAAAACCACGGGCATGTGGCCGCCCTCGCCCTGCGGCAGCTGCTCGAACAGGAACAGCTGGCGATACTCCGCGTCGAAGCGCTCGAAGGGGTGGCTGGGCCGGAAGACCTGGCCGCCGGGCGGCGGCAGCGTGGGCAGCCGCAGGCGGGGGCTGACTCCGGCGATGTAGGCGCCCCCTGCCGCCAGTGCTGCGAACCAGCAGATCCAGATGTAGCGGAACTTGATGACGCCGCAGGGCAGCAGGCGCTGGAAGAGCAGACGCGAGGTGCCAGCCGCCGCCCTCCGCAGGCCGCGGAGCCGCCGGTGCAGCGCCAGCAGTAGCCGCCGGGGCGCGCTGCCCTCCCACCGGCCCCGCGCCCGGCGCGCACAGCCGCGCGCCAGGTAGCGCTCGTGGAGCACGGCGGAGGCGGGCAGCCAGACCAGCGTGAGCGCCAGGTGCACCAGCACAGCCGTGCCCATGAAGAGGGCGAGGCAGCGAACGGCCGGCAGGCGGCTCAGGTAGCTGGCATAGAAGGCCGCGCTCGTGGTGAGGCCGGAGACCAGCAGCAGGTAGCCGAAGTGGTGCATGGTGCGGCCCACGCGCTGCGCCAGCCCCCCCGACGGCAGCTGGCTCTTGCTAAGGCGCCACAGGTCGAAGAAGATGAGCGTGTGGTTGGCGCAGACGCTGCTCAGCAGGAGGAGGGCTGCCAGATTGACGAAGGGGAAGTAGGCCATGCGGAAGGCCACCTGGTAAAGGAAGAAGGCCACCAGCAGTGAGCCCAGCACCCCCAGCAGCACCATGAGCGTGAGGAAGAGTGAGCGCAGGTACAGGGCCATGCCGAAGAAGATGGCAACCAGAGCCAGCAAGGGGTACACCGTGTCCTGGACCAGGAAGTGCCTCAGCAGCTCCTGCTTGAGGCCCAGGTCCATGCCAGTGACAGAGGTGTAGTTGTCAGCAAGCCCCCAGGGGGTGGCCAGCCGGTCCAGGTAGATGTCCATGAGGGAAGCACCCTTTGGGGTGGGCAGGAAGAGCAGGCTGTACTTGAGGGAAGGCACCTGGTAGTCAGTGGTCTGGGGACTCAGAAAGTCCCTGTCAAGCAGAAAGTGCAGGAGTTGGTAGATGGCACTACTCTGGGAGCACTTGGTGGGAACCTGGGCACAGCGTGGGGACTTGTTCTGCCCAGGTCCCAGACAAGAGGGCACCAAGGCGCCACTGTGGTAGTAGAGGGCACAGGTCCGAAGCAGGGCCAGTGTGCGGGCTGCGTCAGCTTGGGTAGTGTCCAGGCAGGAGGAGCGGTTGGAGAGCACAGCCAGATAGTTGCCCAGGGACCAGCTGGGGCAGCACTGGTTGGCTGCTGTCCGCTGGCACAGAGCCCCGAAGCTGGTATGGGAGCGGATCTGTAGGGCACACGCAGGAGGGGAGAGTTCAGGGGCAGCCCAAGGGCTCAGGTTTTCCCAGTCCTATACAAGGCTCTCTCATCTCCTTTCACACTACAGGGCAAGCGCAGAGAGGGATCTTGACAGCCTGGTGAGATAGGCTTGTCTCCCAGCTGCCTTTGGCTCCTGGCCCAGGTGCCAGCAGCTACATCTTGACTTCATCAAAGAGGAGCCTCAGGGATGCTGCCCAAGGCTTCAGCCTCAGAGACCCTGCTGTAAGGGCCCCTGTAGGTCACACACCCCAACTCCATGTAAAAGTGGAGGTAGCAGCCACAGATAGAACAGGGCCAAGGGTCCAATGAGCTGAAGCAAGCAATGGGAAGAGTGGAGGCCAAAACATTCCAGGTTCAGGGTCACTGCCAAAACCCAGCTCCCCTCTGTCCACTGCACCGCTTAAACCCTCTTAGGCCCAGGGCTGTTTCTTTTTCAAATCTCATGCCTCCTTTTTTCTCCTTTCCTGTTGTTGACATCACAACAGCTGACGTAGTACAGAGAGCACTGACCTGGGAGTCAGAGGCCCTTGCTCTGCCACTAACTGGCTGCGTAACCTTGGGCCTGAGATCATGGTGGCAACACAGTACTTATTGAGAGATTACTATTGCCAGTCATTATGCTGTATTTTTTCAACTTCTATCTCATTTAACTGTCACAACATCCCTGTGAGGAAAGTACGTTTATCATCCCCATTTAGCGCTTATGAAGCCTGAGGGACTAAGACGTTAAGAAACATGGCTGAAGTCACATAGCAAGACAGCCTTAGAGCTGGCCTTGAATTCAGACATCTGACTCTATAATGCATGTTCTTAACCAGTCTTTTGGTACTTGGGATATCCTCGTGTGAAGTGGGGGGCTGGGCTGCTGCGTGGTTTTCACACCATTTTCAGCAGCAAACCTTTCTTCAGATGTTATTGTATATGATTCTCCAGTTAGCATAACTGGATTGGCACTGCTCAGGTTGATGGGGGCTGAGGCCTTGAAGCCCACAGTCTCAGCTCCCTGGGCCAGGGCCTCCTCACCCGCTCTGGAGGGCCCTTTCAGGACCTTTTGGAAACCCGCAGTCCCTGCATGGGCTCGCTTCCAGCACTTCTATCTTGGCTCTTCTAAAAACAGCCGACTCTTCTTTTCCCACCCCAACCTGGAGCCTCTCAGCAGGGTTGGAATAATTTTCTAAGCAGGGAATGCTCTTCCCCAGTCCACCCCCTGGCAGTCCTGGCTCAGCTGTATTTCCTTGGGATCAGTTCCCTCATGTCCTTAGTTCCCCCCAAACCCCTGGCACCTCCCCCACCAGCTCACCTGGTCCTGTTCCATGCGACACATGGAATGGATGGCATGCAGGTTCCATAGGCTGCCCGAGGAGGTGGACATGAACACCAGCTTTGCATAGCTCTTCTCTGCAACATACCCCCGCAACCTGGAGCTCAGTCCTTTGGCCCCAGGTCCTGGGTCCTCCAAAGGGAAGATGCTTACCCAGGGCCACATGAGGTTCAGATTCTCAGGCATCTCAAGCCTGTGCATGGACTGCCTGATCCTGTCCCTGTGCCTCACCCCAACCCAGCTTGACCCTGTCTGGCTGGAGCATCTGAGAACTCCCCTATCCCAGCTGTAACCCGGCTTCCTTGGCTTGACTGTGGCCAGCTGGCCACCTTCCCTTTCTGTCTGCCCAGATTTGTTCTGGGCCTGCCTGTCCTACTAGGTGGGGTGGGGACCACTATTAAAACCAGGAACTGGCCAGGCTGCAGCTTACCAGGGGGGCCACAGAAGAAGTTCTCTTGCCTTCTGTCCTCCAGGGGCTCCACCATTCTCCGAGGCCGGACAGCGCTCTCCTGGGCACTGCCTCTGGGTGCAGGCCTCAGAGTGTTGTGGGAGCTCGAGCTGAAGTGGAGAGAATATCTATGCCAGGCACCATTAGGGTTGGAAGACTCAGAGGAGGCCAGAGACCACTCCCCAGGGAGCCTTCCTTGGCAAGCCCCTCTGACCTGCCTTGGGGTGGGTCACCCAATGTCCCCTTCCTGAAGATCTCATTCTTCCCTCTGCCACCCACAGTGAAAAGATGAGAGCCTGTTACCTGTTCAGCTCAAGGTCTGGGGAAAGGAAAAGCAGCTTCCTGGGGCCTGTGAGGGCTTGTAGTGCTCTCCAGACCACTAACTTGCTCCCAATGTCTGTGTCCCGTGGCTCAAAGCCCTGCAGGGAGGAGGGTGGAGAAGAACAGGTGGGCAGGGTAGGAGTTCTCCATTTGGGTGCTTCTCAGCTCTGCCCCTTTGACTCCTCAGAGCAGGGAAGGCCAGCCCGCCTGCCTGAATTGTGGATGTGAGTCTGAACTTTATACCATCTCCCCAACTCTCTCTGGAGGTCAAGAGCCTACCATGGCTACCCTATCCCCAGGCTACCATGGCTACCCTACCTCCAACTTTCTGCCCCAGGCTGGGTCAAGGTGGCCAGGCCTGGGGACCCCGTCCCACCCCTTGGTTCCTCACCAGCAAAGGCTTGGAGAAGTCGGGCAGCCGGGCCCCCAACAGTCCAGCCAGGGTGCAGAGGAAGATGACAGCCAGACACAGCATCAGCACGGCCACTGGCCACTCAGCAATCAGCTGGGAATAGCTGGGAAAGAGGGAGGAGTCCACATGAGTTGGGTGTGGTAGCAACGGGTGCTGAGCTCAGGCTCCACCCAGAAGGGGTGCTAGATAGAGCAGAGAGCACGGGGAACAGGGCTAACTGGGCACCAGCCTGGTCACCCCTAGAGGTCCAGGGAAGGCCCAGGCCTACCTCTTTGGCATCTGGAAGGCTCGTTCCTGCCTGTGGAAGAGAAGAAAAGATGCTTGCTTGCCAGAGTTCTCTTGCAGAGGGCGTGTGTTGGGGGTGGAGGTGGGGTGGGAGTGGGTAGGTGAGGGATAACCCATGGTATTAACCCTTTTAGCGCTTTGCCACTCCCAAGTTCCAACCCTTACTTCCTGTTGCATCTGGTTGCCTCCTAAGAAAGGAGTCTAGAGCCCCGGCAGTCTGCCCCACTCTTAAGCCCCACCGCATTTTCCAGTGGCAGCTGGCAGGCTGCTGGACCCCTCCTTACCTGACGCTGACCACATGGTGCTGCACAGCGGGTGGCTTCCAGGTCCCATCGCGCTGTGAGGGGGCTGGAGAAGGGCTGAGGCTGGAGCCGTGGGAGCAGAGAGCTGCCCGATCCCCAAGTCCTGGCAGGGAACTGCCCCCCTGGTATTCCTGCAGTGCCCGGGGATAGGTGAAGTGGGCAGGGGCCAAGGGGCTGGATGGACCCACAGGCTGGAGGGTGGAAGTTGTTGGTGGGGGTCCTGAAGAGCTGGAAGGGTCCTCCAGGGGGCAGCTGTGGAGGGAGCAGCTTCTCTCTGGGCTTGCCTCAGGGGGCACAGCCTTGGTCTGGGTGCTAGGAAGAGAGGAGACAAGGAAGATTGGGGTGGGGGATGGTGGTGGGCCACCCCATGCCCCAGCATTATTCAGTTCAGTAAGACAAGACAAGGGGACAGGGACTCAGGGTTGATTTATTAGTCCTGGGGGAGAAGTGAGAGGTGAGGAGGCCAGGGGCTCGAAGTCTGCGCCCTCAGCCTACCTCATGGAGACCATTCTCTCATTCACTCATTTTCCACACTCTCAAAAAACAATTGGCAGGCTGCTACATGCTAGGCCCTGTGCTAGACACTGAATGTGCTTTCACATATATGATTTTTTTTTTTTTTTTTGTGATGGAGTCTCGCTCTGTCACCCAGGCTGGGGTGCAGTGGCGCTATCTCAGTTCACTGCAAGCTCCGCCTCCCGGGTTCAAGCCATTCTCCTGCCTCAGCCTCCTGAGTAGCTGGGATTACAGGTGCCCGCCATCACGACTCGCTAATTTTTTTTTTTTTTTGTATTTTCAGTAGAGACGGGGTTTCACCGTGTTAGTCAGGATGGTCTTGATCTCCTCACCTCGTGATCCGCCTGCCTCGGCCTCCCAAAGTGCTAGGATTACAGGCGTGAGCCACCGCGCCCAGCCGATCTTACTCACTCCTTATAAAACCTCACAGAGGAGGTATTTTCTTCAACTGATAGATTTGAAAACAGGTTCAGTGACAGATGAAGAGCTGGTACTCAAACCCAGTTCTTCCGACTTGCAGTCCTGTGCTCTTTCTGCTGCAGTCGTCTGCTCTTTCTCTTGCCAGACAGATTATTGAGCACGTGCTGCACTCCTAATTCCCATCTTAGAGCCTTGGAACTTTCTCTTCCCTCTGCCTGGGTTGCTCTATCCCCCCCGATAACTGCATGGCCCTCTTTTTTATTCTGGTCTTGTTTCAACTAGTACTACCTCAGAGAAGCCTTTCCTGACTACTCTCTCTAAAATAGTCACCCACCAGGTCTCAATCTCCCTATCTTGCTTTATATTTTTTTCATAGCATCTGTTGCAATTGAATATTATATTATAGAGTCGTTATGTTTATTGCCTATCTTTCATGTGGAATGTGAGTGCTGGGAGAACAGGGGTCTGTTGCATTTGTTCATCTCCATATCGCCAGTGCCTTGGTAGTGCCTTGCACAGAGAAGGCGTCCTGGAAATGTTTGTTGAATGAGTGCTAGGCTGGCTGCTAATAGTGGTGCTAGGATGAAGAAGACCCGGTCCTTGCCTTCTAGGCACTCACAGTAGTTGGGAGGTGTTAACAGACCAACATGTTGAATGCTGTGAGTGGAGAAGTCACAGAGGGCTGAGGGAGCTCAGAGAGGGCCCAACTTTGACAGGGGGTGGGGTGGTCAGGGAAAGTTTGTGGAAGCAACTGCCATCCCTCCACCTACCCTGTCATGGGCCATGGAGCACGGAGCAGAAGATTTGCTTTGTAAGGATGTGCACAGTTGGGAGAGGGAGTTGGGACACCCCCTCACCCCAAGGAACTTGTCAGAAAAGAGTTAGCAAGAGTCTTCTCCCAAAATTACTCATAAGGGCAATACTCTGTGCATGTGTGCAGCCCCACTCCTTGGGTATAGGGAGAGGTAGAGTCTCAACCCCAGTGGCAGGATTGCAGACCCAGATTAGGAAAAGGTGGCTACAGAACAGAGTGCCCAGGGCCATGGGGGGTTCCCAGAGGGGTTCTGGACTGGTCAGCCTTGCAGAGCCCTGTCTTCTTCTCCCCTGCCTCTGCCTGGCTCACCCAGCCTGCTCACCAGAGTTTGTGTAGCTCCCAAGGAGAGTCAGACCTATGCGGAGCCAACCCTGGCTTCCAGTCCTGGCTGCTGCACTGCTGAAGGGGCTGTGAGCTGCAGTCCCAGCCTCAGTGGCAGATGGGCATTGCCCACAGAGGCTGAGTTCAGCCCAGAGACTGAGAAGAGGAACTAGGAAGGAAAAACATGCTCTTTCTTTCTTTCCCAGAAGGATGGCAGGCTGGCCCGGCAGTACAGGAGAGAATGACCTTCATGCTGAGGGTGAAATGGGGGAGCAGTGGAGGTGGGCTTCTGACTCAAACACCCTTTGGCTCTGGGGCCTTGGGAAAGACACACAATTCTTGGAGCATTGGCATCCTTGTCTGTTGAAGATATGAGATAATGCCCACCTCTTGGGTTTGGTGTGGGAATTAACTGATGTAACATATGTGAGGTTCCTGGCACAGGGTCTGTCACGTGGAAGACACGTTTGCTTTCCTGCCCCTTCCCACGGTCAGTGCAGCAGGGAGCATATACTTTTAGAAGTGTGTTTGTATTTACAATTTGTCCTCTTTTGGCACCTCAGATAATATATCTCCATTTTAGAACTTCTCACACCTTGAGAATCTCACTACCTATATAAATACTTTCCTTCTTGTTATCCAAAAGCTGCATTAAAATTTGATCTCATGATTTTAATCACTGATACTTATTTTTTACAAACTCAACATTTAGGAAAATAGGAATTTGACCAAAGTTGTTCTAAAGCAAGACCTCAGATGACTCCATAAAGTTAATAACGTAAGCAGCCAGTGTCCTGGCAGATAAAATACTCTGTAGGCCAATCCCTGTGGGCCAGTGAGAAGGTGGATAAATGGCCTAGGTTGTGTGTGTAAGTGTGGACATAGACCTCTTTAAGATGTTAAATTCTGCGGGTTTTTCTTGAGCACTGTCCTGTGCTTTAGCATTGTCCTTGCTCCTAGAGGCCTGAAGATGACCCATCAGCCTTGGTCTCCCTCTTCAGAGCAGGGCTTGCCTTCTAGAGGTCAGGAGAGTGGGGCAGCCTGGGTGGAGGTGGGGGGCCTGTTCCAGCTGCCCATGGCCTTAGATAACTGATCACTGGGCTTGTCTTAGGAGCCAGGGCCCCACTTGGAGTGTTGGTTTCTTTTGCATTAGGGGAAGCCAGCATTCCAGAGGATACGGGAGAAGAGTGGGTGCACTCTTGGTTACCCAGTTTTCTAAAACCTCCCAAGTCCACCCTTTTCCTTAGCTGGCTCTTGTTCAAGGGGGATCTTAGCCTCCACCACTGGTTTGCTTCTGCTGGAGTCTCCCTGGCCCCAGCTCCTTCCCTTTAACTCCTACTATTCCTCTTCAGGGACCTAGGATCAGCTGCCCCCAATCTCACCCTTCCTGACTGTGCCCACCATTATCAATGTGGCAGAATTTGAAACCTTCCATATTCTGACTGCTGTAGAGCCAGGCCTTTTCTTCAAAACTCCCATGAGAAAAACCGACCTCCACTCTTCTCAGAATAAAAGCTTTCTCTTGTCACCTCCTGCTGCCCTCTGATCTCAGGAGGCTCAGTAAAATAGGAGTTAAGCACCCCAGGGCTACACAGGGGTTTTTTATTCTCACTCCCTCAGTTCCATGGCCCTCACTGGGATGAGTAACTTCCAGGGTTGCCTGCCCGGGCCTGCAGGCCTGTACGCCAAGTGAGTAGGGCAGGCAGGGGGATGGAAAGTGGGGATGCAGGCCTCATTTAAGAGGCCAGCATCCCAGCAATCAGGGCCTGGCTGACAGGCTCCTAGACACAGAGACCAAACCTGGAAGCCCCATAAGGGGCAAATGTATATCGCATTAACTATACCCCCAAGCCCACAGACACACAGCCAGGTGAACATCAGTGTGATCCCACAGAGTGGCCAGGACAGATGGGGAAGCAGCTCATATCACTAGGAAAATAAAAAGGTAATTTTAAAAACACAAAGTGTGAACTATTTCAAATTCCTCTCTAGCCAGTGTGTGTGCACATGCGCATGTTGTGTGTGTGAGTTATTCACTGTGTATCTATCCCCAGAGTGCTACTCAGGTCAGCAGGAGCATTTTTGTGTTTCTTGAATCACATAAGCAAGTCCCTATGCCCAATTAGTGTCTATGGTCTCTGGAGAAGTCCAGAGAGGGGCCAGAGGCCCCAGGGAGTTTCTGGAAGAGAGCAAGTGGATCCTGTGCCCAGGGGAAATGAGACTGGACATGGCTGATCCTTGGCAAGATATCTGAGACAGCAAATGACTCTCCTGCCCCTTCTAGGGATGCTTCTGGCCCCAGGTCCTCGCTCTGTCCTGTCACTGCCCCATCTTTGATCAGGCCATAGTCCCAGGCAGGTCCCTGGACTGGTGAATACACCCATCCTGTGTCTCACCTTCTTGAAGGCTTTGTGACTTTCAGACTGAAGAGTGGCTAAATCTATCCAGGCTAATGTGTTAACAATAAAGGGAAGAAAGCATTTCTCTCTACTTGTGGGGCTTTCTCCCCCTCTGGGGTACAGAATGTACATTTTAACTGGGGTATTCTGGAGACGATGTGTCCACTTCTGCTATTGCTATCAAGGAATGCCTTTTATTTCAGTCCAGGCAGGAAAGAGGCAGTGTCATGTCAGAGGAGGGATTCTGGGGGCGGCAGAGCCAGGCAGGGCACAGAAATTGCGCCATATTGCTACCTAGCTGGGCTGTTCCCTCACACATATGGTGGAGGAAGGGAGAAGAGAGGTGCTGAGATCTGGGCCCTCAGCAGGAAGGTGTCCCTCCTGTCCCACCAGTATGGGGCTCCTCCAGGGGTGGTACAGGCCAGCAGCCTGAGCACCAAATCCTTCCCATCTTAGCGGCTCCAGCCAGTGTGGCTGCCACATGCAGGGACTGGAACCCACACGTGCACAGCTGGGGGTCATGCAGGGCAGGCAAGCGACTGATGGTGACAAAGACAGTCCCTGACGTGCCTGCCGAATGTCTGCCTTCCCCAGGACACCCGCCTTGGCGAGCCTCCCATCCGCGATTCACGCACACCTTCATGCACACTGGCACGCTGAAACCCGGACTGAGGTTACTGCGGGCTTGGGGCTTCCGGAGAAGACGCAGGGGCAGGGCCTAGAAGGAGGGGCCGGAGGAGCCAGGGAGTCCTGGCCTGAGAGGAGGGGTAGGAGCCGTGGGTGGGGCAGGTTCCCTAAGCGGGGAGGGCGATGGGGGCTGACACTAGGGGGTGTCAGGGAGCGAGGAAATTGACCCGGCAGGATGAGGGCGTGGCGAGGGGGGCCTGGAGCTTGGCGACCCCGGGAAGGGGCTCCGGGAGGGTCTGGGGAATGAATGGGGCAACATATGGCGGCTACTGGGGATACCTGGGGCGGGGAGGGTCTGGGAGGGTCTGTGATACGGATCTGCGGAGCTGTCCGCCCTACCTGTCCGGGGAGCCGCCGTCTGGGGCCAAGGGCTCCCCCTCGGGCCGTTGCTCCCCTTCCGGACCCGGGCCGGGAGCCGGACCGCTGCCGCCGCTGCTGCTGCTGCTGTCACCGTCCATGCCCGTGGGCGGCACCGCTGTCCGGGCGCTGGTGCTGAAGCCGCGGCGGCGGCGGCGGCGGCGGCGGTGGCGGCGGCAGCGGCGGCGGGGTGCTCGTGCGCATGCGTAGGCTCTGAGCGGGCCGGTCGCTGGGCGGGGCGAGGAGGAGCCCAGCCAATGGGCGCGGCGCCGCTGCCGGAGCGGAGCGCTCTGTCTCTAAGATCCCGGGGCTGCGGATGTGAGCGCCCCTCTGCTCCCGCCAGGCCAGAGAGCCGCTGTTAGGAGTCCGGCCGTGCAACCCTTCCTAGCGGCCTCGGCCTTCCCGTAAGGAACCAGAGAGCGCGACACATGCAGAGATCCTCACAAATCAAAACGCAGACCCTTCCAGCCGGATAGAGGGCGAGCTCCACGCCCGCACTTCACCACGCTGGACGCCCCGGGTCGAGGCGGGCGGCTTCAGGCCTGCGAGGTTCCCGGCTCGCTCAGCGCCCTCCTCCCCTCCCCAGTGGGGCGAGGCATCAGGTTGGGTCTTTCTTCCCATCCTTCTGGACTTCGACTTGGACCTGGGTGTGCACCCCTTAGATGCGGAGCCCTGACTCCGTTACTCAAGTGCGCAGTCTGGTGAAGGAGGTGGGGGAAGAAGAGAGGCGCTCAGATCATCCCCAGCTCCTTCTCTTTCTTTTTTAAAATTTAAAAGGTTTATAAAGCAAACAAATCACAGTAAGCTAAGGTTAATTTTTGATTCAGGGGCACATGTGCAGGTTTGTTATAAGGGTATATTGAGTGATCCCAGATCCTTTTTTATAGTCACCGCTGCCCCCCCACCCCACCTCAGCCTGGGAGGTGCCCAATAGCCACTGACTCCAGGGCACTGGGAGGTGCCCAATAGCCACTGACTCCAGTGCCACCTCCCCCACCAGGGAGTAGCTGTGAGTAGAGCACATTTGGGTATGATGGACTGTGGACAGGCCTGGCTAAGGGGTCTAGAACTAGAATAGATATTGGCAGTGTGAGAAGCCTGGGGGGCTGGGAGTGGAGAGGATCCTGGATGTGGGATTTGACTAGGCAGAAAGGGTTTTACAGCAAGCAGGCTGTTCAGGGCCTGGTTACTTGTGCAGGGAGAGGCCTTGGTTGAAGACATGGGGCTGAGGAGAGAGTCAGGAACACTTGGACTATAGGTATCCCTAAAATGTGTGCCAATGCCAGTCCGTGTAAGACACAGGTCATAAGAAATGGGGTGGAAGAATCTAGAGGTGTAGAAGTGTTGGGTCTGCCCTGAATAGCTTATAGTTTGGTTGGAGAGATAAAGGGCCAGCCCATAAATTGCTGCCAATAGGCAAGATATGGTGAGGCCCATGAGGTGGTTGAGAAGGGGACAGTATGCAAAAAGGAAGGACCTCTTTCTTCCTAATAGGCCTTAGAGAAGGCTTCTTGGAGATGGTGGGGCTTCAGCTGGCTTGGAAGAAAGGGTGGGCTTTGAAATGTGGAGGTAGGAGAGAGGGAAGGCCTTCCTGACCTGGGGTGGGGGCATTCTTCCTTACCTGTGCAAACAAAGGTAAGGGGGCTGGAAAGTTCAGTGTATTTTAAGGGAATGGTGAGAAACCATCTGGATTGGAGGGAGGCTTCTGGTCTGTAGAGTGAGGCATGCAAGCTGCAACCTTGGAAGGCCCACCAGATCTGGATGTACAGGATGGCATAGAGGTAATGAGGCCACACTTGAAGTTCCTCGATGGGAGGGCACAGGAGTGAAAAGGAAAGGAGAGGTGACCTTACACAGCCATTTATAGTGAGCACCATGGCATTAAGCTTCTGAGAATGCCAGGATGGTTGCCCCATCTTCACAACTAGGGAGCTTGGAGACAACTGGGTCCTCTGACAGCCAGGTTGGATATGAAGGAAGACAGGCTCTTTAAAGAATAGAATGTGGCCTCTAGGAGGCTGTTTATTAGGAAGAGAAGATTGTGGTTTAGGCCTCATTCCAGGTCAGCTGGGCAATTCTCTCAGGCTTGCCATCTTGTGTCCTGTTTTCTTCTACTTCCTCAGTGATGTGGACCAGGGGGTGGGTGACCTGGGCCATGGCCAGGGGGAGGCCCGCAGGGCCCTGGACCATGGTGGGGGGGTGGCCCGCAGGGCCCTGGGCCATGGCCAGGGGGTGGCCCGCAGGGCCCTGGACCATGGTGGGGGGGTGGCCCGCAGGGCCCTGGGCCATGGCCAGGGGGTGGCCCGCAGTGACCTGGAGGATGGCCATGCCCCCCACAGTGGCAGTGCCCCTGTGGAAAGTCAAATGAACAATGTCAGAGTCAGAGGTCAGGGCTAAGCTTACCTGAGATCAGCTCTCCCTCACTCCACTTCCCTGGGGGACTCAGGATTTCTAGGCAAGTAAGGAGTTGCGGTGGAGGGCTGGGGGCATGGGTAGCATGTCCCGTGCCTTTTGCCTTGGTGAGGCCAGAACACTGAGCAGATAAAAGGCAAGCAACCTAGATTTATTGGTTTCTATTCTTTGAGCCAAGATATGACTCCCGCTCCCTGTACCTCGATTTATTTTATTTGCAACTAAGAAGCAGAATTATTTCATCTTCTCCTTTCTCTCACCCAGGAACCCTTGCAGAGTGATTAGAGGCTTTGCCATGCTAGGAACTGCAGGCTCATTGTACTTAGGAGCAAGGGTGAGGCTAGAGGAGGCTACAGAAGAGCTCTTTGAAGGCCAGGGGCAGGGGGAGACAGGAGGCTGGGTCAGGGGAGATGAAAGAGCTGAGGAGGGGAAGAAGGAAGACAGTTGGAGGATGAGAAGACACGGAGGGTAGGAGGTGGCAAGGTGAGGATGTATGTATTCTTTTTATAGGTAGTGTGTATGTGTGTAGACGGTGTGTGCCATATTTATATAAAATAGCTATGTTTGTGTACGTGTGCATGGGTGGGTTCATATTCAAGCTTGGTATGTACACAGATACGTGCATGGAGTGCATGGTTCTGTGTACATGAGTATGTGCGAGCTCATACCTGTTCCTGAGCGGATGCCAGACCCAAGAAATCAGGAAGAATAGAAAGTAAAATCAAAGCTTTTCTGCCTCAGTCAGAAGAGGTCTGGAAAAAGTGTGGTTTAACCTTCCATCTTGGCTGGAATCATTCCTGAAGTCCCAAGGCCAGGGGAGTTTTTTGTTTTTTTTTTGTTTTTTTAACTTTTTGCCACAAGCCCAGGGGGCAGGCAAGAGATACCACCTTGCTTCTGTGGTAGGGGACTCGGGGTCTGGGGCCCTGTGGAGCAGGGCGGGGCTATGCTCCCACTGTCTGGGCTGGATAACTCCCCAGTCTCCTTCTGCCTCCTAGGGCTTGATTAGGGCTTGGTACCAGTGGGGAAGAGGCAGGCTCCAGGGCTGGGCGCTTTCCTGTGACCATGGTAGAGCAGCCCCTGCCCCATCCAGGCTCAGTGATGCCTGGAAACAGCCACTTCCCACCCCACCTGCCTCTCTGCCTATGGCTCTTTTGTTTGGGGGTTGGCACACAGACCAGGCCTAGGAACTGAGTCTGCTGGTGGTAGCCAGTGGGTGAGAAGAGGTGGAGGAGACGCAGTCTCCTTTCTCTGGCAGGAGTAGGTCCTAGGGGCCCCATAGTGTGGTTGGAGTTTGGGAGCAAGCCAGCTATCCAGCAAGGCTGTGGGGGTAGCCAGGAAAGCAGAAAAGCATAGCACAGGCGGGGAAGCAGCAGGAGAGAGGATGGGCTGCTAGGGCAGGGAGGGGACGTGAGGAAAGGAGAGAGACAGATGGGAAAACAGAGGAGAGAACGCCAAGAAGGCTGCAGCCAGCAGGGGGTGGAGGAGTGCAGCGCTGCCCACCCCACCCCCACTCCACGGGGCTGCTGCCTGAGCCTGCTCCCTTCTTTTCATTTGGGGGAAGTGGTGGCTGCTCCCTGAGGGTCTAGGAAGGAGGCTAGGGGTCTGGAGGACATGACAGTGGGAGGAAAAAGGGGAGACCATTGGGGGAACTTTCCTACCTTCGGACCTGTGGGAGAGGAAGGGAAAAAAAAGAAGCAGCTTTGGTCATTTGGTTCTGCAGTAAAAAAAAACCTGTCTTCTCCCTGGCACTAAGGATTTTGTGCCCACACCCCTAACCCAACAGGGCCTCTCAGACATGGTCACTTGCCTGACAATCATTCCTTCATTCATTCTCTCAGCAAAGATACATATTGGAAGTCAATATAAGGTTCAGCAGTGTGTCCCTGTGTGCTCAAGGGCTGGCTGAGTCCTCCTGGGTGGAGTGGCGCCAGTTAGGAGGTATGGGTTCTTGTCTCAACTCTGTCAGCCTGGAGGTGCTCCATGGTGGCCAACCCTGTCATCCACCTGATTCTTGCTTCTACCTCCAGGCCAGCAGCCCTGCCAACCTCCCCATCTGTCCTCTGCCCCTGTCACGCCCCACGTATCTCGGCCCAATCTCTGCTCAGCCTCTCAGAGCTGTTTGTTGTCTCCTGTTTATGACCTTCTGTTCTCAGCTCTTGGCCTTTGCTCATGCCTCCTCCCACTTGGAAATCTCCCTGGAGCAGCTGCGTGTTGCCCTCATGCAGGAAATCCACATGGGAGCCATCCAGGCTGCCCAGCTGTGGGTCCACTGGGCTCCTGCAGCACCCACCTGAGTGGTCCTGCATGTTCTGAAGTGCCCCATTGGTGTGGGAATCACCTGCTACTTCTTAAAGGCTAGGACGGTCTTTTGTTCATTTCGAGGGAAGCCGATGGCACAGCTCCCAAGAACTGGATTCTGGATTCCGACCCAGCTGCACCTCTATGGCCTTTCCCTGAGCATAACCCCTAGCTCCCCTGGGCCTTGAGTGTGCGGTGGGAGAAGCACCTACCCTTAGAAGCACCTAAGAACATGATGAGTAAGCATGCTTTTTAAACTGTAACATGTTCTACAGTATGTAAGGGCTTGTCTTCATTGTGGACCCCTACCACTGCCTTCATACAAACACACACGCACGTACATTTTTGGCACGCACTAGTTATGGCTGACTGATAGTCCCTGCCTTTACCGCTCTCCTGCTCTCTCCCTTCTTCCAATTCCCAGCCTCTCAGCCACAGTGCTTACCTGGGTCCATCTTTTTGGAGTAAGAGCAGGGAATACCTGTGTTCAAAAGGTAACTTTTAATTTACTGTAATCTAAATTGCAGTCTTTCCTTTCTCCCTCCCACGGATGCGCGCGCGCGCGCACACACACACACACACACACACACACACACACACACCCTTCAAAGGAAGAAAGGGAAAAAACTGCTCCCTCCGGCTTAGCTTGGCCCCAATATAGAGCTGGCACTGTAGGTGCCAGGCATGGGGGTTAAATGGACACAGCGGGTTCACCTACATGGTGGGTAGATGGAGACACAACAGCACCATGTACCAGCCCCTACACCCCATACTCTTACACTTGCCCCCCTAGACTCAACAATTGTGTGTTAATCCGATTCCTCTTGGGAAGATTTCAATATCCGTTCATTTGCTAATTATTCATGTTGTGTGTCTGCCCTGTGCCAGGTCATGGTATGCTTGTCCCTACAGACTCTTGTCTTGTGTAAACATCTGGCATGGCATGGGAGCAGGAAGCTTGGAGCTATCAGTGTGCCCAGTGCAGGGACGGGAAGGATGGTTTGCTAGGACAGGAATGGGGTTGGTGGCCCCTGAGGGCACAAGTGAATGGATTTTTGCCCTGGGGCTCAAGTGAATGGAAAGCCTTCCATGGGGTCCTAGCTGCTTGTACCTGTCTCCTCCCACCAGGATTGGAAGGGGGTGGGAGCTTGGAGTCTGAGCCAACTTGTCATTCACCAACAAGCCGTGCTGTCATGAGATGGAGCTGCTGAGGTAACGTGGTGCCAAGGCTGGCCATGTCTTGCTTGGGGCTGGCAAGTCACAATGGACAACCCCAGAATGGGCCCAGTGAACATACAGTACATTCATTTTTTTTCAACCCTCAAATGGGAGTGTAGTATGTGACGTCAGGAGCAAATACTTGACATCAGGGCTTTCTGGTACTTACAAGTTTGCTGAGCATACAAAAACAAACAGCGCCCCCAATACAACAACCCTAGCCTCTTGCAAGACACAGCCCCCTGAACCTCTTTTTTTTCTAGGGAGCCTTAGTGCCTCTTTAAAAGTTTTTTTGAGACAGTCTCACTTTGTCATACAGGCTGGAGTGCAGTGGCGTGATCACAGCTCACTGAAGCCTCGACCTCCAGGGTTCAAGCAATCCTCCCACCTTAACCTCTGGAGTAGCTGGGACTATAGGTATGTGCCACCACACCCAGCTAATTAAAAAAATTTTTTTTGGCTGGGCACAGCGGCTCATGCCTGTAATCCCAGCACTTTGGGAGGCCTAGATGGGTGGATCATTTGAGGTCAGGAGTTCGAGACCAGCCTGTCCAATATGGTGAAACCCCGTCTCTACTAAAAATACAAAAATTAGCTGGGCATGGTGGCGGGAACCTGTAGTCCCAGCTACTTGGGAGGCTGAGACAGAAGAATCGCTTGAACCCGGGAGGCAGAGGCTGCAGTGAGCCGAGATTGCAGCACTGCACTCCAGCCTGGGTGACAGAGTAAGACTCTGTCTCAAAAAAAAAAATTGTTTTGTAGAGACAAGGTCTCACTATGTAGCCTAGGCTCAAGTGATCCTCTCACCTTAGCCTCCCAAAGTGCTGGATTTCAGGCATGAGCCACTGCACCCGGCCCCCTGCACCTCTTGAGCTACCCATTTTCACTGGCCTCTACTTGTACTCAAAGTGTTCAGCTGAGGTCAGCCTGTGAACTATACCCATGGTCCTTCGTGCTCCCTCGTCCTTTCCCTTAGTGAGTGATAAAGCTGGAAGAGACCTATGGGGCTGGGCTTTGCGGGGAGGAGAGGTAAAGAAAACCTCAGGGCCAGTCAGGATCGGGTAAGACGAAAGAGAAAAGACAATCCTCAGAATGTATCTCCCCAGTTCAGGCCCAGGTGTTTGAGGGACAGGAGTTGGCAGCTCTGGAAGGGACCTCATGCAATTTCTTCCACTCTCAGCTAAGCCCTGCTGCCTGGCATGGCAAAGGCTATAAATCATAACTGAAGAAGACAGTGGAAGTGTAGGGGCCCAGCCCAGGAGTGGGGACAGTGCAAATGGACAGACACACACCCTCATGCAGAGACACGGAAGCACGGATACCAATTCAATGCATATACACACCCAGAGAGACCCTGACCACATGCACACACAACATACCCCACAGAGACCCTACTGTCCCCAGCCAACAGCAAGTAGAGCCAGGTCCCTACCTGAGAGTGCAGAGCAGGGGCAGGAAGTCTGGGGCACTGTCTGTCCTCAGGTGTATTTGTACAGGTCAGGGAGGGGCTGGGATTGAACAGGTGCACTGGGAGGGCCAGATGCAGAAGGCTCGAGGGAATGAAGAGGGATGGGCTAATCCTTATCTGGGCAAAGGACAGTTGAAAGCAGGATGTGTGTGTGTGTGTGTGTGTGTGTGTGTGTGTGTGTGTGATGGGGAGGCTGGGGAACAAGCCGTTACCAGATTGGTGTGGTAACGAGATGCCACAGAATCCAGGCAGAAGTCCCCAACACTGGCAAGGCTGTTTACACCAGGGACTGGCTCTGAACATTTGTAGAGTTCCTACTGAATGCCAGGCCAGGCATGCGGTGCTTCACACACATTAGTAACCCAATGAGTCCCACAAGATAGATAGGATGATTACCTCCTTTCAGCAGGTGGAGGAATAAATAGTGACCATAGTGGAGGACCTGGTGGAATATTTGCCCTGGGCGCCAAGCCCCAGGCCTGAATTGTCAGATGTGCTGCCCAGCCCAGGGAGCTAGCCTGAGAATGGAAATTAGACACAGAAAAGGGAACTTTTGGGATGGATCTAGGCAGGCGGGGAGGGAGCCCAGCCTGCCAGCTTGCTCTGCACTCCGAAAGCCCCTTGTGGTCCGGTCCCCACTGACCCCTGTGGCCTCTGATGCCTGCCACAACCTCTTGCTTGGCGTGCTCTAGCCATGGTGGCCTTCCTTAGTCCCCTGCAGACAGAGCCAGTGCCCTTGCTCAGCTCTCCTGTCTCCCTGGATCCTTGCTCCTGATGTCTCTTGATCCCAGTGGGGACTCTGTGCTCCTCAGAGGCAGGGGCTGTTGTGGCTTCCTTCCTTCCCTCCTTCCCTCCTCCTCCTCCTCCTCCTCTCTCTCTTTCTCTCTTTCTTTTCTTTCTGAGACGGAGTCTCTCTGTGTCACCCAGGCTGGAGTGCAGTCGCACGATGTCAGCTCACTGCAACCTCTGCATCCTGGGTTCAAGTGATTCTCCTGCCTCAGCCATCCGAGGAGCTGGAATTACAGGCGCCCGCCACCACTCCTGGCTAACTTTTGTATTTTTAGTAGAGACAGGGTTTCACCATGTTAGCCAAGCTAGTCTCAAACTCCTAACCTCAGGTGATCCACCCACCTCGACCTCCCAAAGTGTTGGGATTACAGGCATGAGCCACCACACCCGGCCTGTGGTGGCTTTCTTAGTCACCTTTATATCCCCTCAATTAGAGCAGTAACGTAACCACCATCAGGATACAATTTGGAAAATGGAGAGGAGGAAAAGAGTGATCCTCCTTTATCTCCACGGTGGGCAGGAAAGTGTTTGTGTGCCAGTTTCTCTTACAGTATCAGTTATCTCATATCAGCTCTTGGAGGTAATGGTTATGATCTTCCCCTCTTTTATAGATTAAAACATTGCCAGCGTTCAGAGACATTAAGAAATCTGCTTGAGGTCGCCCACCAAGTGTGTAGTTAGTCCCAACTGGGGACTATTTGAGTCTAGAGCCCGGGCCCTTTCTTCACCTTAGGTAATCTCTCCTTTTAGGAATGCTCTTCTGAAAAATTCCAGCCTGCTTTGCTAACATTGTTGGTCAAAGGACTTTGGTTTATGACTAGGTGGGAGGCTATTGGTCCCTTCTGCACACATTTGCTGTGGGTCTATGGGGAACCAGGACAGGGCGGCCTACTGGGGAGGGGCAGAAGTCCCAGGGGAGGTTTACAAAGGTATGGTGCCTGCCAGGCTCCGGCCCAAACTGTGTGAATGTTACCAACTGCATCCACTGCTCACTGTGCTCACCGCCCTCACCAGCCCTCTAAGCCCTACTCTGCTTCCTTTTACCCTTCAGGGATCTTGACACCGCAACCTCTCCACCTCTGTCCCCAGCCTTTGGCAGGAAGCTGAAAGAGAGGCCTGTGTCTTCACAAAGCCCCAGGAGGAAAGCAGGGGCTGAGAGGAATGCATGGGGGCCCAGTGCTCTGGGTTCCAGGCTTGAGGCCTAAGTTCTCCATCTCGGGAATCAAGGTCTGAGCTCCAGTGGGTGCCAATCACAGAACCCACTACAGCAGCAGTCAGGCAGAGTAGTGAGGCCTTGGGTGGTGGCAGTAGGCCCTGCCTTGATGGGGTGGACTGAGAAGACAGGGCAGCCTCTGAACCCCGAGTGGGCCCAGAGGCCTGTGAGAAGTGAGGAGGGCACCCACGGTGTGGTGGCACATGGGAGACGATCTATAGCAGGGTGTATGTGTTCATGGACTCTTCTCCTACCCAGTCTTAAGATTTTGAGGGCAAGCAGGGCCTGCTCCATGTGTGTGGCCCCACCACCCCTCAGCAGGCACTGTGCCTTACAGATGATAACTGCTCACCACGTGCTTGGGCATATTGCCTGGCTGAGTGTGGCGGCACTTCCCTGCTAGAAAGCCACAGAATGGAGAAGGGAGCTCTGTGGAGCAGGAGGAGATACTTCTGGGGTGAGGGGCTGGGATCTGGAAGAGGAGACGGGAGATCAGGGAGGGAGGCTGAAGGGCATCTCCTGGGGTAGTGGAGGCCATGAGGGGGCCCTGGGAGGTTGAGGACACAAAGTGAAGGCCCTCTCTGGAACCCCCAATGCCTGTCAGCAGAACCAGGAAGGCCCCCCTGCCTCCCGGGCTGCCCTGCAGGGTGGGGAGGGAGGTGGGACAGCCAGGCGCCACTTGGGCAGACAGGTTTTCCACAGTATGAGGCCAAAGGTACGCGCTGGAGAGAGTGCTGCAGGGATGGGCCACCAGCCACAGTGATTCAGAGGCAGTTGGGAGGGCCCCACCCTAGAGACTCCTGGGCAGGTCTCTGACCTTCATCTCCAAAAAGAAGCTAATAGCACCTGCCCTGGCTAATTCACAGGTTGCAGAGCTTAAAGAGATCCAATGGCATCATCTGTGTGAGGCTCTGGCAGTGTTAGACCTTGGAGTGCAGGGTGTTACTGTTATCAGTATGAATATCAGTGGTGACCTCTATGCCTCATCAGAGGCTCCCTTGCCCAGCCCTGGGGACCTGCCTGCGGGACACTTCCCTCGCACCTTTGGCCTCTGGTCCCTCAGAGCATTCCACTGACAGGCCCCCAAGAGGCCCCCTCCCTGCCCCAGCCTCCCGCAGCCCCCTCTTCCCCCAGGGTGCCGAGCATCCAGGTGTGCCTAGGACTGAGGTGTGTTCCAGACTCAGGACTTTCAGTGCTAAAACCGAGACAGTTCCAGGCAAATGGGGACAATTAGTCACCCTGCTGCCCACCCGCAGGTGTCCAGGCCCGGCATTTCAGTGTGCTTTCTCACCCTGGTTGCCCTTTCCTGCCTAGCCACCTCTAGGCTGGGTGAAAGCCCCTGAGCCACACCACCTAAGGCCACTCCAGAGGCCCATGCCCTCTCCTCAGTGGCCTGGGCTCTCATCCTTCCCTCAGCCTCCTAGTCACCCTTCTCTCCATGCCTCAAAGCCACACTGGACCTTTTCCCTGCCCCAGAGATGCCACCTCAGACCCATGTGACAAGCCTAGAGAAGGGGTAGAGACTGTCCCACCCAGCCTTCCAGCCGCTGCTGCCCAGTGGGCACCCTTCCCGGAGACATCAGGCCAGGCCATTCCATGCCTGACTCTGTGAGGGCCCCCAGGCCTGAGCGCTTAGTGCTCCCTCTCCACTGTGTTGCACCAGCCATGCCAAGGCTCTGAGTCCTCCTGAAGGCTCTCCCGCTCACCTTTTCCCTGGACGCCCCATGCCCTGCCTGGCCCAGATGCCTCCCTTCGGTATCTGGACACAGCCTCCTAACTGCCCCCGACCCTACCCCTGCCCTATGCGACACATCTAAGACCACTCTGGCTTCAGCTTCCTAAACCGTGGGGTGGCCTCATCAGCAGCTGCTGTAAAACTTTCAGCCCCTCTGCATGACTCCACCTCCTCAGTCTACCTTCCAGTGCCTCCCCAGTCTGGTCTGTACCTTCCTAACCTAATGTCCTCTTGCAGGTAAAAGCCACCGCCACTCCCCTGCCTCCTGCGATCCTGCTATCTCCTGTGCATTCATGGAATGCCCTCTCCTCCCATCCCCCTGCCTGAATCTTGCTCATCCCCTTGAAGCTCATCCCCTTCTGGAAAACTCCCTGGTGGGCCTGAGCCCTGTGCTGGCTGGGCCTCAGGCCAACGCAGCCTAGTGTTGGCAGGTGCCTCTGAGGTCTTTCCCTGGTGGTTCCTGCATCACCTTGGCCAGGGTAGGTGCTCTGTTCATGGCATAGTGTGGGCAAGTCCCAACAGGGCAGCATTCAGCCTCTGCTCGTGGACAGCTGTGGGCTGGGGGTCAAGGTGGGGCTTCTGGGAAAACACAATGAGTCCCCTTTGCACCATGAAGAGATCCATTGTTGGTGCGTGGGAACAGAACATCAACAAACAAGGGAGACCTCAGGGGCTCAGGTCCATGCCAGCGTTCACCTCCTATTACTGGGTCTGACGCTGGAAGGTTCAGGATGCCCCAGCCCTGGGTATGTCCTGGAGAGCAGAATGGAGGGGTATGTCCTTAGTACAGCTTTCCTTCTGCTTCCAATGCCTCAAAGGACTTCAGCCTGGGCTCCACCTTGCTCTGGCTTATGTGTTCTTTTGAAAGGCGTGGCCCAGACTTTGTCCCTGGCAGCTGGAGCCTGCCTAGGGCTGGTCCCTCCAGCCCCACCTCATGCAGTCTTGAGTCCTTCCCACCCAAGACCAGGCCTGGCCTGACCACACCTCAAGTCCTGGGAGCCAGGACAGGAGTTTTCTTGAGACAAGAATCGCCATGGTGGGGCAGGGAGGGAGGATGGGTTTGCAGGAAGGGAATGCTGTGCTTTAGGCCACTCTCTGGCCCCTTTCCATCTGGAGGGTCTCCCTGCCTAATAGCTGAGCTCTCATGCAATCCAGCCTGGCTCACTCTTTTCCTCAATACTCACCCACACACCCAGGGCTGGCTAGTGGCACCAGTGACCTCTAAGGGCTCGGCCCTTCACCAATAAGAAGGGTTCCCGAGCACTGGGGTGTGATCCTGGAACTGGGCCTGGGGGTATCCAGAGGCAGGTAAAGTGCAGGGACTGCTTCCAGAAGCACGAGTCCTGGCTGGAGAGGGATGGCAACCAGGGCCTGGGACTTCAGAGGGGACAAAGAGGGACAGGGAGGACTCCCTGGAGAGGGTGTGCTGGGCAGGAGACCTGAAGGGAGGTGGCTGAGGGAATGCCTCAGGATCTGCCCCACCAGATCACAAATGGTCTCCATAACCCAGAAGTCTTAATGTGTTCAGGCCCCAGCAGGCTGGTAGGAGGCAGGCTTTGGGCCTCTCAAAGGATGCTGGGGAGGTAGCATCCAGAAGGTGGCCATCAGGAAGTTACCCGAGGCAAGAAAACTGTTTTGAGCCTTACTCTGGGCACACTTTGTTCCAGATATGGATGGTTACCCATGTTATTTTATTTCCTCTCCAGATGATTCTGTGAAGCAGGTACACCTCATTTTATAGATGAGGGCCAGAGAGAGAAGGGACACAGCCAGTAAGGGGTGAAGTTCATTTGGAATCCACCCACCCCCCATCCCATCTTCTGACAAAGCCGAGGGGAAGGGCAGGGGCCGGCTTGCTTATGTTTCATTGATCCAGCTTCAGGGGCAGCATTCCGGAAACAGAATGAGGTCTGAGATGTGCGGCCCTCGTGGGTGGAGCCTCTGCCAGGGCTGTGATCCCAGGGTTGCGGTGGCTCCACGTGTGGTTCGGAGGGTCTTTCCTCCCCTGCAGCCCCTTCCCTCTTTCTCCTCAGTGAGAATCCCAACTTGCAGCCATCTCGTTCTCAGGGCTGGTCCCAGGTCTGTGCTCTGAGGACCACGAATAGGGTCCAGATACGTTCCCTTCTGGACCTCAGGGGGTACCCCCTGAGCCAGCGGGTGGCCTGGGAGGGTGGGGGACCACAGGGAAGAGCCTGTGCCCGAGGTGCTGGGACACCCGGCCCAACCCCGGGTGGAGAGAGGGAGGGCACAGAGGGAAGGATCAGCAGAACGGCATTGGCGGGGCAGCCGGTGAAGGCGCCCTGGGCAGGAGGCAGCTCCCGGGTGTGTGGCCTCAGCGGCATCACAGACAGGCTGTGCCACCTGGGCAGAGGGCGCCACCTCTTTGGGCTTCAGCTTCCTCATCAATAAAATAAGTCTTCTACAACTAGATGGCTTCTCTAGTCTGATGGAGTTGGGAGGTGGAGGTTACAGGGACTTGGGGGAGGCCCTGTGGAACAACAGAGAAAGGGAACCGCCTCCCGCACCCAAAAACAGGCTGTTGTCGCTCTGCTGCCCCTTAGTGGCGACACAGAGAAACAGACACCCAGTCTCATGGGGATGGCAAGCTGGTCCTTCTCCATCTCCCCTGCTTCCTGTGGGCTTCTCCCCGGGGTGGGGTGGGGCTACTCTTAGGGCACCTTTACCACCCACCGGCTCCCTCAGGGCTGCGTACATTCTAGGTGGACAGAAAGGCAGTCCCAGCCTATGCATAGGATACCCACAGCTATGCACAGGATGGCAAGCACAATTCACGCATGTCTTCATTCTGGAAGTGCTGATGGAGGTTCTTTAGTATGCAGGGGCACCGTGCCAGACACTGGGGATCCAGAGGCACTTGGCAGGTCATTCCTGCCCTCAGAGAGCCTCTGTCCAATGGAGAGCAGACAGGCCAACCACAGACTCTGGGGAAAGTGGGAGACTGTGGGGGCTGCTCAGAGGTGTGACGTCATGTGTGAATAACACTGGGAAACACACAGTCAGCAGCTGCTGGTACCCCCCGTATGATGGTTGGTTTGTCTTGGGCACATACCCCTCTAGCCTGACAGACCAGAAGGCCTTTGCCCTAGGTGAGGGGAGTGTGTTCCTGCAGGCCCTTCCAGAAGAGCTGTGTGGCCATCCCACAGGCGATAAGCCTGTGCCCATGCCTTTACCCCCCTGCTACTCTCTTGCCCCCACCTTGTCTGGGAATGGGGGAGGGGGTACACAGCCTTGCCTTATCCCTGTAGCTTCCTTACCCCATCTACACATCTCCTCCCCAGACCTGGTCCGGGCCTGAGTTCTGAAGAGGCTGGAGAGCATTAGGTCTCCCTCCCCAGCAAGTGCTCTGCGGGCCTCCCAGCTCCAACACAGTGCGGGGCAGGCGAAGGGAAGTTTGAGGCTTCTGGAGGCTTCTGAAGCCTCCTGAGGCTGGCGTGGAACTCAGTCCACTGTATGGGGCAGGATGCAGAGCGTCTGGGAGAAGGAGAGAGAGTGTGTGCGTGTATGTGTGTGAGAGAGGCCCAGGGCACAAAGCCTGGGTGCGTCATGGTTGCTGGGAGAGTTTGACGAGTCTGACTCAGTGGGGACATCCGGCAGGAAAGGAAGGGAGAGCGCAGTGGCATTTGCAAGCAAGATGGGAACTCTGGGGTGGTGGAGATGGGGTGTGGGGCCAGGGGTGCTGTGCAAAGGCCTGGACAGGAAGAGGGCTAAGCCTGGCGGAGCTGGGGGAGGGAGTGGGGAGGAAAGGGCAGTTCTGGAGGGGTGGAGGTTGGACCTCTGGCTGCCTGGGTGGGTCTGGGAGGAGAAAGAAGGCAGCGGGGGTTTCTGCTCTGGAGACAGAGGGGACGAGTTGTGGCATTTGGGAAACTGGCCTGGTCAATCAGGGATGTGGGGAATGCAGGGGCTTCTGATTCTCACCTGAGGGCCTGGAGCTCAGGGCCTTGTAGCTGAGGAAACAGACTCCACGAATTCCTAGTCCAGAAAGACCACCCTCCTCTCAGCACCCCCAAGCCTTGAGTCCCAGAGGCTCTAGGAGCCTGGGCAGGGAGACCAGTCTCAGCTGTATGAGGAAGATATGGGGGAGGAGCTTTCCTGAGAAGGGCTGATTCCTTTGCCAGGTTCAGAGAGGCTGAAAAAGCCAGTCTTGGAGAGCAAGGCCAGGAAGGGCCCAAACTTAGGGCCCGAGGGAGGAAGGCTGTTGACCAGCTCTGAACTGCCATGGCAAGGGCCCTGGAGGAATGCCTGGCTCACCATACCAAAGGGCTAGAGACCCAAACAACAGAGCCTCTTGGAAGCGGCTGTGCTTTAAAACATAGTCATGTGTCTGCTAATGACAGGGCTATGTTCTGAGAAATACGTTGTTAGGTGGTTTTGTCATTGTGTGAACACCACAGAGAGCACTTACACAAACCTAGATGGTACAGCCTACTACACACCCAGGCTATATGGTATAGCTATTGCTCCTAGGCTACAAACCTGTACAGCAGGTTACTGTACTGCATACTGTAGGCAGCTGTAACACAGTGCTAAGTGTTTACATATCTAAACTTAGAAAAGATATAGTAAAAATATGGTGTACAAGATTTAAAATGGCACACCTGTATAGGGCACTTACCATGAATGAAGCCTGCAGGACTGGAGGTTGCTCTGGTGAGTCACTGAGTGAGTGATGAGTGAATCTGAAGGCCTAGGACATTACCGTCTGCTACTATAGATTTTATAAACACTGTACACTTACGTTAGACTAAATTTATACGAATGATTTTTTGGTCAGGCATGGTGGCTCATGCCTGTCATCCTAGTACTTTGGGAGGCCAAGGCAGGAGGATCACTTGAGCCTAGGTGTTCAAGACCAGCCTGTGCAACATAGCAAGACGTTCTCTCTACAAAAAATTTTAAAACTACCTGGACATGGTGGCATGCGCCTGTTGTCCAAGCTACTCAGGAGGCTGAGGCAGGGGGATCCCTTGAGCCCAGGAGGTTGAGGCTGCAGTGAGCCATGATCATGTCACTGACCTCTGGCTTGGGTGACAGAGTGAGACTGTCTCAAAAAATGAAAAATTAAAAAATATATATTTTTGTTTCTTCAGTAATAAATTAACCTTAGCTTACTGTAACCTTTTTACTTTATAAACTTTTTAATTTAAAAAAACTTTTTGACTCTCTTGGTAATAACCCTTAGCTTAAAACACAAACAAAACACATTGTACAGCTGTACAAAAATATTTTCTCTTTATATCCTTATTCTATAAGTTTTTTTGCTATTTTGAAACTTTTTCTTTTTTTTAACTTTTTAAACTTTTTTCTCAAAATCTAACACACACACATTAGCCTAGGCCTACACAGAGTCAGAATCATCAACATCACTGTCTTCCATTCCACATATTGACCCACTGGAAGGTCTTCAGGGGCATTAACAGGCCTGCAGCTGTCATCTCCTATGCTAACAATGCCTTCTGGATTTCCTCCTGAAGGACCTGCCCGAGGCTGTTTTACAGTTCACTTTTTTTTGTTGTTGTTGTAAGTAGAAGAAATACACTCTAAAATAATGATAAAAAGTATAGTATAGTAAATACATAAGCCAGTAACATAATTGTTAATTATCATTATCAGGTATTCTGTACTGTGCACACTTGTATGTGCCATACTTTTGTGCGGCTGTCATGCCGTAGGTCTGTTTACACAAGCGTCACCATAAGCACATAAGTAGTGCCCTGTGCTACCATGTTATAATGGCTACAATGTCACTAAGCCATAGGAATTTGTAGCTCCATTATAATCTTATGGGACCACCATCATATATGTGGTCCATTGTTGAGTGAAACGTCATTATATGGTGCATGACTGCACAGAGAAGACAATGTCCAACCTAAAAGAATGAATGACTATTGTTGTCATTTTAGGGATGTGGTAGTACTTGGTAGTCTAGGGGAGGTGAGCTTCTTGATCCCTTTGAATTACTTAAACCAAGGCTGATGAGGAGAAGGAGCAGGAGAGGGCAGGCGCATCTGTGTGCTGTAGGCCTTTTTCTACTCATGGGAGGCACAGAGGCCTACGCTGGCTGCCCATCTTGTCTGCAGGCAGGCCCAGGCTGGGGTCCTGCTGGGGCCTAGGCAGCCAGGCCTCCTGTGTAGGCTTGACCCACCAGGGAGAAGTCCCTACCAGTCTGTCTGGGGACGCTGGGGTGGGGCAGGGAGAGGTGCTAGGCAGGACCAGCCAGCTGCCAGTGCCCTGGTCCTCGCCCTCTGAGAGTGGAAGGGTGGGGGTGGCGGCCCGACGTTCCTGGCTGGGAGCCCAGAGGAGTCTTTTGTAATCACAACATGATCTCGTGTGCTGAGCAGCGAAGCCGGCAGGGAGAGGCCGGCAGAGGCCCGGCTCCGGTGGCTCCAGCTTTCCTCCCACTCTGGCTCCCCAGGGGCTGCTCTGGAATTCTCTCGGTGCCCGCCGTTGCCATGCACTCGGCTGTGAGTGGCAGTCTGCCTTTGGCAGGGGGCTTCTTGGGACTGGGAGGGGGCTGGGATACCAGGCAGCCACCCTCTGGGGGCAGCTGGGGACAGCTGGGGCTGGGAGGAAGAAGGCTGTGACTAGGGTCACAACAGAGAACCTGCATCCAGACAGAGAGGAACCTGGAATCTTGATGCAGAGACATGGCTTGCCCAGGGTGACTCCTGGGCTGGGGCCGCCAGGGGAGCTGGCTCTCTCCGCCCCGACTACCAGCAGCTTTCGGCCTGGAGAGGCTGGGCCCCTGGGAGCGGCTCTTTCCTCCAGGCTGGGCACAGGCCTAGGTGCGGGGTCCAGGGCCTGAGAGCCCAGGACGGAGCCAGGGCCTCTCCTTTTTCTCTGGTTGTGGATCTGGGAGCCAAACAGCTCCCCCCTCGACCTCCCGAATCCCCTGGCAGCTTCCCAGTCACGGCAGGTTCCGCTGCCAGAGCCATTTATAACTCCCATTCCAGGCTCTGCTCGGCAGTGAAGCTCCCTGGAGAGCTGGGGGAGGGGCACCCCACTGCTGGGAGCTGTGGCTTGGGGTATGAGGCCCTGACCTGAGCCCCCTGAGGAGGCAGGGACAGGCAGACGGGCCTAGCTGGAATGGGGGCTTGGGGCCTTATTTGGGCCATCTCCCTAAGCAATCCCCTTCCTTCCTGGGTGACCTTAGCTGTGGGTCTGGGATCTCTTCCTTGGGTGGTGAAAATGTGAAAGCTGGGGACTGGTGAGAGGGGGACCCGGAAGTCAGGAGCTTGGGTTCCCTGCCTCTGCAGGGAACTCCCAGAGCCGAGTCCCCCATGAGCAGGCAGGAGAAGGACGCAGAGCTGGATCGGAGGATAGTTGCCCTGCGCAAGAAGAACCAGGCCTTGCTCCGCAGGTACCAGGTGAGTGGGCTGCCACAGGGCCAGGAGAAACCACTTGGCTGCCGCTCCCTGTGCCCCACACGTGGTGGTCTCCCTGCAGGCTCAGCAATGCGCCTCTGGGGCTGGGGCCAGGGGTAGGGTGGGCATGGTCCCTCTTAGAGGCTTGGTGAGGGTCCTGGGGATGTGTGATGTGGCGCCTCTGCCCCCTGGTGTCCCACTGGTGTCTCTCTGTGTAGGCCTATCAGCATCTATGTCTCTGTGCACCTGGGGGGCCATGGCGTGTGCTGACCCCCAGCCCTCCCACAGGAGATCCAGGAGGACCGTCGGCAGGCAGAGCAGGGGGGGATGGCTGTGACCACACCAGCACTCCTCCAGCCTGATGGCCTCACCGTTACCATCAGCCAGGTTCCCGGTGTAAGCCTCACCCTGGGAGACAGGGCTCGTAGCAAGGAGGTGGAGGCCCAGACCATGTCGGGGAAAGACAGCTGCCTCTGTTCCCCTCTCCTACTAACTATTCTGGGGTGCACCTGCCAGCTCCCAACCTCCTGCAGTCGGACCACTGCTGTCCCCACCAAAGAGCCACAGCTGAAAGCCCCCCTACCCCCAGTAGATGCATCTTCATACCCTTTTCCAGTCCACAGCCCTGCGCCTATGCCACAAAGCACAGGCCACTCCTAAACCTCAAGCCCCAGGGGCTAAAACCCTGCAGGAAGTGGGGGACAGAGAAGTTGGGGCTGAATGCCAGGAGCAGTGTCTGAGGGACAGAGACCCATTGTTTGAGTGCTCTGGGTTTCCCAGCTCAGAGATGACGGGCCACTGTGGCATCTTGGGCCGCTGGGTGGCCCTGGGCCCTGGATAACCTCATGCCATTGGCATGTGAACACCCTGTGGGAGTCAGCTCTTCTGTGGGGAATGCAGGGAGGGCTGGGGTTGGAACCCAGGCCTGGGGAACCACCGAGAGGACCCAGCACCCAGGTCCTGCCCAGCACTGCCCATGTGGCCTGAGGGTCTTTGTTCTGCAGGAAAAGCGGGTGGTTAGCAGGAACTGGGCAAGGGGTACCTGTGGACCCAGAGTGACCAACGAGATGCTTGAGGATGAGGATGCTGAGGACCACGGGGGTACTTTCTGCTTAGGGGAGCTGGTGGAGCTGGCTGTGACCATGGAGAACAAAGCAGAGGTGAGCAGGGTGGTGGGGAGTGCAGGCATCGGCAGGCAGCCTCTTCCTCCCTGGCTCTGCTGCACTGCCCATCTTCATCCTCCCCAGGGCAAACGGATTGTAAGTGAAAAGCCTACCAGAGCAAGGAACCAAGGCATAGAGGGGTCACCTGGAGGGCGTGTGACCCGAAGCCCCCCCACGCAGGTGGCCATCAGCTCAGATTCTGCACGGAAGGTGTGTCTTCAAGAGGGGATGGGGACATGGATCTGAAGGTCCTCACTTGGGGGAGGCAGAGAAGCTGAGTCAGATATGTCCCTCATTTGCGGGGACGTGGCCAAGGGAGCACATGCAGGAGTTCCTGCTCCTCCTCCCTTTCTCTGGCCAGTCTCTACTTTGGGTGGGCCTTGAAGTGGGAGACAGTTTAAGCCAAAGATGTGATCCAGCCCCCTCCCCTATTTAGCCCTGCTGATGGTGGCATGGGAGTTGGGGAGGGGGCAGGAGGGTGGAGTTGACTGGCCAAGTGCCAGGTGTGACCTCTAGGTGGCAGCAGCCCCTAGTCCTTGCCCTTGCTCACAGCTTCCAGGGCCCCTCCCACTCCGGCCCGTCTGCATACCCCTGCAACACCCCTGTGGGTTGGTGCTACGGAGATCCTCCCCATTTTACACGAGGAAATGAGACACAGAGAGGTTAAATTACTTATGTAAAACACACAGCTAACAAGTGGATGGAAACCATTTCCACGGGAGAGCTGGAACAGGCCTAATTTTTAGCTGGAGATGTGGAAACCTTGAGAGAGGAAGCGCCTGGAGTCTCCAAACCCCACCCCAAGCCTCTTCCTGCTTCTCCCCCTCACTCTGAGTGTCTTCTCCCTACAGGGTTCTTGGGAGCCCTGGAGCCGGCCGGTGGGGGAGCCCCCGGAGGCGGGCTGGGACTATGCCCAGTGGAAGCAGGAGCGGGAGCAGATCGACCTAGCCCGCCTCGCCCGGCACAGAGACGCACAGGGTGACTGGCGCCGCCCGTGGGACCTGGACAAGGCCAAGTCCACGTGGGTGGCTGGGTTGGGCAGGTTGCCTGTGGTGCGGGATGGAGCTGGCTTCGGGCACTGCTGGGAGGGCTGCAGGGACCCTCCTCGGGGTTGAGAGGACCTTGCTGGGCATTCTGGTCGAGCCCAGGGTTCAAGGCTCTGGGTCTCCCATCTTTCTTGGGCCCACCATCTCCCTGCTGCCTTCAATTCTGGGCCTGGGCTTCGGGGAGGGGGGTGTCAGGGTGGGGCCCGCGGCAGCTTCTGTGCACCAGCAACCTGACTCCCTCTGTCTACACAGGCTACAGGACTGCAGCCAGCTGAGGGGAGAAGGCCCGGCCAGGGCAGGCAGCAGAAGGGGTGAGCCCACACCTACCTCATCCCTCCCCTCCTTGGCTTTGTTCATCTTTCACCCCCTTGTCCTCTCTTTTCTCTGTCTCTTAGTCTCTTATTTTCAGAGCTGAAAGGAAGCGTTGGAGAACATCTTCCTTCCTCTCCCTCACTATCAGAGGAGGGCACCAAGACCTCCCATCCTCCCCTCTGAGCCCACAGCTCTTGTCCAGGTTCTGAGCAGAAGGCCCCAGAAGGAGGCTCAGTGGAAGCCGGCCCGGGGTCTCTTTGAGGTCCCTAAAGGGTGAAAGTCCTGGTGGTCCTTCCCCAGACCTACTGTAGAAACAGCTCTGTGGAGTTCTGGTCCCCTTGTTTTATATATAAAGAAGCTGTGGCCTGAGAGTTGGGGCCAGACACCTAGCCATGGAGTGGCAAAGCTAGCACAGGACCCTATTCTCCTGACCCCCAGGCGAGGGCGCTTTTGGGGAGGCAAAACCCACGACTGGCCCCGAGGACTGACAGCTTCCTGAGGCTGGAAGAACTGGTGTTCCTGTTTTGGATCCTTTGTCACCCCACCTTTCCCCACTTCTTTTGTCCCCCGCAGGTCCCAGGAGCCACCAGAAACTACAGCCCCCACCATTGCTCCCTGATGGAAAAGGTGAGTTGGGGAGGAGGAGGGGCCAGGTCTCGTCAGCTAAAGATGGAGCCGGCTGCTATGGGCCTCTTCTCTCCTTGGCCGACCATCTCTTGCAGGTCGGGGCGGGCAAGCCAGCAGACCCTCGGTGGCACCAGCCACAGGCAGCAAAGCCCGGGGCAAGGAGAGGCTGACTGGCAGGGCCCGAAGGTAACAGGTGGCAGGGGACAAAATCAAGACGGGCATGTGGGTGTCCCAATTTCCTGGACCAGTACAGGCCCAGGTGCCAGCTCCATCCCTGGGGCCCCTGCCTCCTGGCTGACTGCTGCCTGGCAGGTTAATGAGATGCTGGGAGAGGCCATTAGCAGAGGCTGCAGCGAGAGCCTGGTGCCCGGGGAGGCTGGTGGTAATTACAGCAGCTCCCTTCCCCTGGGAAATGAGGTATGCCTTTCCCAGGCATTGCAGGCGGGGACATGCCTGGAGTCCCCACAGAACTCAAGGTGCTGCAAGTTTGGCCATAAACAGCAGCTGGGGACCCAGGATGGGCCCAGAGTGCGTGGTATTCAGAGGAAATAGTTGGATTTAGGGAACAAGGTCAGGCTTGGTGGGGGAAGCATCCTGGAGCCACATTCTGGCTCTGATCCCAGTCTGAGACCCTTGGGCTTTGGCTTCTGCCAGGAGTTTCTTTGGCAAGGAGATGGAGGCCCAGAGGAGGTGGAGGCCCCTCCTCTCTGGTCCTGCCATGGCTGCTCCTCTCTGCTGAGGGCTATGGGGCTCTAGGGAGAGTCTGGGTCACCCCTGGGATTTCTCCACTGCTCAGTGTGAGGCCTAAACCATGGGGTCCCAGCTCAGCCTTCCTCACTGGCTCTCAACTCCACCCCACCCCTCTATTCAGGCAGGGGGACATGGCTCTGGAGTGAAGTGGGGTGGGGCGTGCCATGAGCTGTGTTTCTACAGGTGGGATATGAAGGAAGACAAGGAGGAGCTGGAAGGTCAGGAGGTAGGTACTTGGGTATAGGATGGGGCAGGCTGGGGACGCGAGCCCTGGATTCATCAGCCACCGGGGCTATTCTCTTGTTTCAGGGAAGCCAAAGCACCAGAGAGACTCCCAGTGAGGAGGAGCAAGCCCAGAAGCAGAGCGGGATGGAGCAGGGCCGACTGGGGAGCGCCCCTGCAGCCAGCCCAGCCCTGGCATCCCCAGAGGGGCCGAAGGGGGAGTCAGTGGCTTCCACAGCCAGCTCAGTCCCCTGCTCTCCACAGGAGCCTGACTTGGCTCCTCTTGACCTCTCCCTAGGAGGGGCTGGCATCCCTGGGCCCAGGGAGAGCGGGTGTGTGCTCGGTCTGAGGCCTGGGGCCCAGGAGAGCCCTGTGTCTTGGCCAGAGGGCTCTAAGCAGCAGCCCCTGGGGTGGAGCAATCACCAGGCTGAGCTGGAAGTACAGACTTGCCCTGAGCCACAGAGAGGAGCAGGGCTCCCAGAGCCCGGAGAAGACAGGTCTGGCAAGTCTGGGGCCCAGCAGGGCCTGGCCCCGAGAAGCCGGCCCACGAGAGGAGGCAGCCAAAGGTCGAGAGGCACAGCAGGTGTGAGGCGCAGGACAGGGCGCCCTGGCCCGGCAGGAAGATGCTGAACACAGCTCCTGGGAGCTGGGGAGTCCCCGGGGAGAGGAAAAGGGAATCACTCTGTTAAAGGCCCTCCGCGTGATGGCCATGTGGTTGCCGGTGGCTTGCGCCATTGTCACTGAGCAGTGTGGCAAACTCTCCAGCATGGCGACCTTGTGAGGGCAAGGAGTGGCCTCCCTGCACCTCACACGCTCATCTCTGTGCACATGTGTGTTTTCACGCACGGGCACAGCCCCTGGTGTATTCCTGTACTAGTATCTGGCATCTGAGGCTGGTGCACCCTGACCTGGGCCTACTGCTGCCCAGGCCACAAGCCTTCTCCACTATGATGAGAGAACAAGGCTTGGTGGCACCCAGCACCTGGCTCTCCTGGCTCCCCGTCACCCCCCCAGGGCCTGGCCTCCCTCTCCAGCTGCAGGCTTTCACCTCTTGCCTGGGCTGGATTCCCCCAGTCCCAGATTCCCAGGATGCCCAACCAGGGGAATCCCAGTAACCATGCGCCAGCCTCCTGCCTCTCCTGAGTGGTGGCTGAGGCCTGGAGGAGGAGAGGCCACACAGCTGGCAGGGTCTGGCCTGGGCAAAGAAGAGTAGAGCTCACGTCTTCTTGGTGAAAAGGAGGATCTCTGGAAAGTCCTCCTCTCTGAAATGGGTTGGGATGGGGAGCGACAACCTCCTCTTCCCACAGCAGGATGGGAGAGCTTACTCCCAGGCCCCCACACCCAGGTCAGACATCACGTGCACCCTGAATGTAGGCAAGGGCCTGGCCCTGCAGCCCAGGGTCATTTCCTGCTCTTTCCACTTCCTCTTTCCCCACCGTCCTGCACTAGCACCAGGGCCAGGCCAAGGCAAGAATCAGACAGCTACTCCACAGACAGAGAAACAACTTCCAGCTAAGTATGACATCAGGACTTGTCTTTCCTACTAAGCCTCCATCCCCGCCCCTCCCCTGAGGCCCACGTCTGCTGAATTATCCGGACTCCGCACAAGCTGTGGCTTCCTCTCAGTTCAACAAACATTTCCTGAGCACCCACTACCAGTAATCCAGCCGGTAGGCGACGGAGACTGCCAGCAGGAGGGAGGGAAGAAAGCCAGTCATCCGGCAGATCTGGGCTGTTCTGGGCGGGAGCTGTTCTGGGCCACAGGTGCCCTACAGGGCTGGGGGCAGGATGGCGGTAGGAGCCCCAGGGGACCCTCCCACCTCTGCCTGGCAGAAGCAAGTGCCCTTCTTTCTTGTTATGTGTGCCTTCTGCTCCTGAGCCCTAGTGTGGACCTCACCGCATGGTCCCCTCTGCCCCCTCCTTCTGGTCCTGCCATGGCTGCTGCTCTCTGCTGAAGGCTGTGGGGCTCTAGGGAGAGTCCAGATCACCCTGGGATTTCTCCACTGCCCAATGTGAAGCCTAAACTGTGGGGTCCCAGCTCAGCCTTCCTCACTGGCTCTCAACTCCACCCCACCCCTCTATTCAGGAAGGTGAGGGGCATCTCTTTAGCAGACCAGACTGTTTTGAGAAGTGTCTCTCATACTTTAACTGAAGAGTCATGCAGATTCTAATGGTCTGGGGAGGGCCTGAGAGTTCGTCTTTTTTTTTTTTTTTTTTTTTTAGTTAGGGTCCTGCTGTTATCACCTAGGCTGGAGTGCAGTGGCACAATCATGGCTCACTGCAGCCTCGAACCCTCCAGGCTCAGGCGATCCTCTCACATCAACCTCTTGAGTAGCCGGGACTACAGGTGTGCCACCACACCTGGCTAATTTTTGTATTTTTTGTAGAGGCAGGGTTTCACCATGTTGCCCAGGCTGGTCTCCAACTCCTGGGCTCAAGCAATCTGCTCGCCTTGGCCTCCTAAACTGCTGGGATTACAGGCATGAGCCACCACACCTGGCCGAGAATTCGTATTTCTAAGAGGCTTCAGGTGAAGCCCATGCTGGTTCCTGGACCATGGTTTTGAGTAGTTAAGGGTTTGGACTAGAATATATGAAGGGCTGGGGGTGAAGACAGACTCTAGACTCTAAAGGTTGGTGGCTGGCTATGTAGGGGATGGGGGAGTGCTACCCCTGTCAGGTGGTGGGGGCTTCCTGGCTGCAGAGTTGGGTGGGAGACTTGGGGAAGATGCTTTGGAAGGCAGTGAGTGGGTGGTGTCAACTTCTAGTAGTGCAGTGGGAGAGCTGGTCAGGGATGGGATGGAGTGAAGGGGGCAGAGGCATTTGGTGTGGGGTTGATCAGAGGAATTTTGGAAAGGCTTGGAAACATTCCTATGTATGTGAGACACACCTATGCCAGGGCAAAGACTCCAAGCTCAAGTTTTTCTCTTGCCTTCTAGTCACAAGAACATGGCTTTGGAGTGTGACACTGGCCTAGGAATCCATGACTCCCAAAGGACGGGGCTAGGGGTAGAGGAGGTTCAGGCAAAGCCCTTAGATTTTGGAGACATCAGGCAGATGTCTCCAAAAATGATTGTGATCAAGAATCTGAATTATAAGATTCACAGTCTGCTCCCCAACCCAGTGCTGCCAACTGTACAGCTGCGCCTCCACGAAGGGGCATATGCCAGGCTCGTCTGACCCTGGAATGAGGATGTAGGAAGCAGGCAGAGCTCGGGTTCAGCCCTCACAATGGGACTGAAGCAGGAGAGAAGGCTGGGCAGAAGGGCTGTGGGGAAGTAGGGCTTGTCTCCATGGATGACGTCCAGAAGGATGTCAGGAGGAGGAATATCACAGGAGTTATAGACATTGGAGGGAACAGAGACTGGCACAGGACCTCTTCATTGCAGGAAGATGGTAGTGTAGGCAGGTAACATTGAGCTCTTTTCAAAAAAGGAGAGCTCTTCTTCAAGATAAGGAAGTGGTAGTTATGGTGGTAACCCCCGGCTATCAGTCCGGATGGTTGCCACCCCTCCTGCTGTAGGATGGAAGCAGCCATGGAGTGGGAGGGAGGCGCAATAAGACACCCCTCCACAGAGCTTGGCATCATGGGAAGCTGGTTCTACCTCTTCCTGGCTCCTTTGTTTAAAGGCCTGGCTGGGAGCCTTCCTTTTGGGTGTCTTTCTCTTCTCCAACCAACAGAAAAGACTGCTCTTCAAAGGTGGAGGGTCTTCATGAAACACAGCTGCCAGGAGCCCAGGCACAGGGCTGGGGGCCTGGAAAAAGGAGGGCACACAGGAGGAGGGAGGAGCTGGTAGGGAGATGCTGGCTTTACCTAAGGTCTCGAAACAAGGAGGGCAGAATAGGCAGAGGCCTCTCCGTCCCAGGCCCATTTTTGACAGATGGCGGGACGGAAATGCAATAGACCAGCCTGCAAGAAAGACATGTGTTTTGATGACAGGCAGTGTGGCCGGGTGGAACAAGCACAGGCCTTGGAATCCAATGGACTGAATCAGAACCCTAGGCCTGCCATCTGTCAGCCGGGTGACCTGGGTCAATTTTAGCCTCTAAAAGCCTCAGTCTCCTTATCTGCAAAATGAGGCTTGTGATACCTGTTTTGAAGGGTTGCTGAGAAAATTAAAGATAAGGGTATCCAAAATAGTCTACGGCCATACCACCCTGAACGTGCCTAATCTCGTAAGCTAAGCAGGGTCAGGCCTGGTTAGTACCTGGATGGGGAGAGTATGGAAAACATACCTGCCCGCAGTTGGAGTTGGACTCTGTCTTAACAGTAGCGTGGCACACAGAAGGCACTCAGTAAATACTTGTTGAATAAATGAAGTAGCGATTTGGTGTGATCTCTGTCTACTTTGTTTTCTATCTTTTCCTTACCTTCTCTTCTAGCCTCATCTTTGCTGGAGGGGCGGGGGGTGGGGGCACTCAATGCACTTTCAGAGAAACAAGGAACCGTCTGTAAAGATTATCCGGCCCACCAGGTGAGCTTCCTTCAGTCCCATGGGGGTCCAGTGGAGTCTCAGCCTCGAGCAGTGCCCCTGCTTTACCAAGGAGTGTTCTTTGACCTCCCCTACTGGCTCCATCACACTTACCCCCCTTCACCCTGCACGCTGCGCTGCGCTTGCAGCTCACAGGGGTTCCTCCTCTCTTCTGTCTACCTCAATAGCAATCTCACACTCACATCACAGTTTTCTGCTTATTTTCCCCAGAAACAAACCCCCTTGAGGAGTTTGCTCTGTGTGTCCCAGAGTTGTTTTGTCACCCAAAGGAGCAGCATGACTAGCGTTTGCTATGGTCAAGGGACAGGAACTGGGGATCCTTGGAAGCAGGAGAGCTTAGCTTATCTAACAAGGCACAAGTTTGGAAGGTTGCACCACAGTCACCTCCAGCCCCGACCCTGTCAGGGACGAGAACAACAGGAAAAGATCGCACTCACCCCCCAAAACAAGAAGGAACTGTCAAAAATCCTAATACAGCCACATTTTCTTATTTTAGGGACTAAATCAAGGGGAGGGGCCAAGGGAATAGAACTAGACACCATGTCACTTCCATCTTGAGTCACTTATCCATGTCCACACACCCCACACACATCTCTGAGCAAGGGTTATCAGGGCTCATGAGGAAGGGTTGACAGGGGTTGACCACAACCCCACCAAAGTGGGAGAACTCAAGGCTGGGAGAGGGAAGGAGAGCAGCCAGCAGAAAGCATGGACTGCAGCTGCTTTCTCTCAAGTCTGCTGGGCCTTACGTCACAGCTGCTCATTAAGCACCCACTTGACGCCGGGGAAGTGAAATAGCACAGACCTGGCACCAGAAAGAACAAATGTGGCACCCACTGCTCCTTTTAAGGACTGGCTCAAGAAGCAGCAGGCCTCAGGGCAGGAGGTGAGGCAAACACAGCAGTACCTTCGCGGGAGAGGGAGGGGACTCGTTCAGGGCTGCCTCCTTTTTAACAAGCTCTCCAGGGCAAGTTCTGTGGCAACTGTCAAAAATAATGGACAATGCAGCCTTTTTCCCTTTTCTTATAAGCACTAGGGACACTATTTCCTCTTCCCCCAGCAGGACTGCTGTCTTTAACCAAGAGAAAGGGTCAAAAGGCACCTCGATGACCATCTGTCAAAACAGAAATACCCTACCCCTAAGTTACAGCATCAGAGGAAAAGGGTGGGCCAGTGGTTCTGACTTCAGTGTGCATCAGCATCACCTGGAAGGCTGGTTAAAACAGAATGCCGGGCTTCGCTTTCTGAATTTCTTCTTCAGTTGGTCTGGGATGCGGCCTAAGCTGTCATTGTTCTAACACATTCCCGGGTGACGCTGATGCTGCTAGTCTAGACACTGGTGTAATGTTTACCACCTACCCCTTCACATTTCTTTCTGTGCATCATATTGCCCAAGGGACAGACATTCCCTTGAAAATATATTACTTCATGTGTACACGTTGTACTTTTACTCCCAAGATCTCAAAGCCCTTTCATATCTATAACCTCCATTTGCTCTCAGGAATTCCCATTTGGTTAGCAGAAAAGAGAGAGGTCAAGGGCCTTAACTAATGCCATTGTTGAGTCCCCAGGCTTCCCATCTTCCAGTTCAGGGGTCCCTCCCAAGAACACACAGTCTCCCTGCCCAGGGCCTTGTGATGCCGTGAGCTGTCTATACCTCTAAGCCTGACTGCTGTGACTCTACACCATCCAGGATACCAGCAAGGAGCTGAGGGAGCAGGTGGGCCTCCAGGACACAAGTGTGGGGAGACCTCAACTAATGACTCTGAACACTGAGGTAGCAGAGAAAGGTATACGTATGTCAAAGGAAATCCTTGGTAATCAATGCAATTGCTTTTTTTTGGACAAGTTGGTTTTTGGAGTTTTGAGGCTTACTTAGCACACTGTAGACACCAAATAAAGACCTAAACTAAACTAAAGTTCTTGAATTAAAGGTAATGGTTTGTGGAAAATATCCCTAAGGATATTGGCTAAAATCTTATTGCTATTTAACTGATAAGCTATTGCAAAAACAGAATACTGAAGTTAAGAAAACAGGATAGTTTGACAAGGGGAGACTTGCGGGCATGACTGTAAATTCCTTGAGAGTGATTTTCTGGTCCTTTAGTGGTAGCTTAACAAATGTTTATAGAATTGAATGGGGCACAGGATCCAGTGAGGAGCACTGACCAGGTGGCTCCCATGCTGGGTATTTCTGCATTTAGGGTGGAAAGCCTGGTAGAGTCTAGGTGAGGGGTAAAGAGAAGTTTGTTTGCTTTTTCAGTTAGCTACTGGAGGGGACAAAAAGCATAACACAGGCTTTCTGGCAGCAGAAAACCACAGGCTATGTCAGCAAGTAAAACAGAGGTAACCAAAAAAACTGTCGACAGAGCAGATATTTTTATAGCTTAACATGAGGCTGCAGGGCTGGGACCTAGGAGACAATGAATGGATCACATATCCTATGGTGTGTCCGTTAAGCACCATATGGAATACCACTGTGGACTTGCGGCACCCGGAAAGAACAGGAAGGCCAAGGCCGAGTCCTTCAACTTGGAAATAAAAAAACTGAGGCTAGAGAGATCAGTGCAGCTATGATTTGCAGGGGTTTTCTTTAGCAACCCACCTCCTTGAACCAGATTATGGGCTGTGGATACGGGTATGCAAGTAGATTATGACAGGGACACCACAATGACACTAAGGCTGATTCCATCAGCACCCAGCACCCACTGGGTGCTGATCAACTCAGAGATCAACAAATTCTGAGTACCCACTGCCAGGCACTGAGTGAGTACTGGTCATGAGAAACAGGCAAAGCCACTGCAGTTTCTCCTTCCACTGAGGGAGATGGAAAACGAAAAGTATAGCTGTGGCCCTTTTGTTACTGAACTGAAATTCCAGAAATACCTCCATTCTCTGTAGACAGGAAAGAGAGGACAATTATTACCCCTTTTACATAGCTGTGGTAGTCCTAAAGCTTGTGACCTGACCTTTCAGCTCTCCTTAAAGAAACATGTAGAAACAAGTAGATGCTATGCATTCAGCATTTCAAGACAGGATATAAATACTCCACGAAAGAACACGCTATCTCAGAATTCCCCAGTGAAAACTGAAAAAACAAGGTAGACAGAAAAGCTTCCAAAACATGGTCTCATACCATGTGGAAATCTAGGGCTGTTAGGAAGAGAAATATTTCTTATGCTTAAAACCTCAGAGAAACACTTCATTGTACCTTAACATTAATGGGGAAAGTGAAGATACCCTCACAAACTCAGCCTAATGGGTTCCTTCCCTGATCCTCCACCCCCCAAAACTTCACTTTCAAAACAGGCTTATCTCTTTCTTCAAGTTCAGGCCGTCAGGGAATAAATGAATGCACACCGTTAACTTCTAATATAAGCAAACACCTAGAAAGGGTCCTGGTAGTCCCGGTGCAAAGCCTTTGAAGGAAAGTAACCCCCTCTGCACAGATCTCTCCTTCCTGGCTTAAAACTTGATGGACAATTTTGCAGCTGATTTCTAACCCTTGGAAATAAAGCTATTCAGACCACTGCTCCTCAGCCAACCAGGCCCTGTCTCGTCGGCTAGCAGGCTCCCACTGTACATATTGCTGTATGTGCCCAACATGTGAAGCCGCCGTGGGCAGCTGTAGAAGCCACATGTCACTGTCTGCAAAAAGGAGGGGCCGACCAAAAGAGCCTTGGAAACTCTTTCACTCCCCTTCTGCTCTACCTTACCAAGCCCTCTCTCAGAAAGCCATTGTGTAGGCTGAAGAGGGAAATAAAAGAAGGGCAGACTTTTTCCATGCCTCCCTGCAGACTACAAGGTAATGTAAAAGAACAGTAGCTACCCCCCAACGGCTCTGCTGAAGTGCAGGCCTCAGGGGGCCCCACCAACACTGGCTTCTCACTCCGGATTTGTACCGGGCAGTATTGTCTAATAATGAGCTGAGCTCAATTGCTTACCATATATTTTGCAGCATAACTAATCCCTTATATTTGTGCCTTTCACCCACATGTCTTTTTTGTTTGCTTGAAGGGAAGAAAAAAACCTCACCTTTGAAGCAACCTAAACCTCTCAGCCATTTACCTCCTCCATGGTAGACAAAGCTCTGACCAAGCACCACAGATGTACACTTGCCTTTCTGGTGTTAGCACTTCTTGAGTTATCTAGAGGCCAATGGTTGAAAGGTGAGGACAGTGATGCTATCAGGCAGCTTATCCTCACCTCAGTGCTTAGCCAGCTAAATGTTTGCAGTAAATCTTAATATTCATGCTTACTGGTCCCTTAGCTTTGTCAGCTAGGCATCTGCTCTGGTAAAGCACAACTTTTTCTCAGCCTGTTTAAGGTTGGCAAAAGGTGGCTGAGCTAGAGATCACTGTTCTTCCACCCCGGGATTGCTTCCCGACTAAGATGGATTCTGCCGCCCTTCGCTAATCAATTCATTCAAGCCATCAGGCACTGAGAACAGCAGGGCAATTGCTTTTTCCTCCTCAACCTATTCATCACCATCCATCCATCACACCTCAGACCACTTACTCTTCCAACCTCTACTCCGTCCCCACGAAGCACAGTAAGAGAAATGATCAACTTACACAGGCTTAGGCAGAGTTCTTAGGATGTATTTTTGTTCACCTGAAAAATAAAACTTTTTAAAAATATACAGGACTTTTTGAGTACAGGTATATCTTAAATGGCTGAATTATAAATAATGTCTCTGGTCATGTTCACAGCTAGGGCTGGAGCAAATGTCCCAATTCCAGTGAAGGCTTTGGAGAGTCAGGAGGCCAGCAGCTGGACCTATGAGTGGCCTCTCTAGACTCTCTGATCCATCCCAAAGAGGATTTAAACAGTCCAGAAAGCAGGGATCAGGAAGAGGACAGGGAAGTGGACTCCCAGATGTTCTACAAGTTCAAAGGATTCTTGGAATAAGAGATCAATTTACAAATTATTAAAATATAGGACTAAAAATTCACACAGTAAATATAAATTACAGGCTATTATTGAAGTTGTAAAGTGGCATTTTATGTTTCTTCCCCATCTCACACCAAAAATGTAAAGGCCTCATAGGCTTCCCAATGACTGAAGTCCTAGTCAGCTGCTAAGAAATCTGCTCTAGCCAAGAGACCCTGGAGGTGTTACCAGCCTGCTGGTAGGCTGTGACAGCTCAGTTGCTATTATCGTGCCCACAACAGGACATGGCTTAAAGCAAGGCTGTTGTCCTGTAAACTTGGATCAGAGCTAACTAGAGTATAGGCCAGAAAACTGGAGAGACAAACTGTTTCAGGACTCAGGTGGGTAAGTTGTCTTTTAAAAAAAAAAATAGTGCCTCATTTCCCAAAATGGAAACACTAAGGGATTTGATATCTCATCACTACCCACACTCAATTGCCTAAAAGCAAATGGCAGAAGGAAATGGAATCCAAATTGAGGAAGTCTAGTTCTTGCTACCCCAGAGCTACATGTATGTCATTTCTCTTGATGTTTCTCATCTCCTTTATACAATTACAGGCTGCATTTAAGTAGGGCTTATCGGGAAAAGTAAAGACAGCCAATTCAACCTTCCCTCGGCTGGTCTATTAGCTGGTTCTCAAAGCACAATCCTGAGTGTGAAGCCCACCTTCCAGCCTTTCTGATTCTGTAGAATAACTCAAAACCAGAGGATGTGTAATCAAAGCTCTGGTGTTACAACAGATTTCATCCCAAATCGCCGGGCTTTGTCACTACAGGCTCAGGAAAGAGGGAAGGCAAAAGTGATTGCCGGAACAAGACAACATTTTGAGGAGCAGGAAAAAAAAAAAGATAAAAACACTTGCCACTCTACTTACAAAAGCTTGCTCTTCCTAAAAGAATTCTGTGAGGGGAAGGCCAGGATTGAAGCACAGCAGCATTGCTCTTTCCCTTCCTTCCTCCCTGGCCCATATCCAGATACTGAGGGCTGCAACAAGAAGCCTCTTTGGTGGGGGCACTAGGATGGAAAGAAGAGGGGATGAGTACATTCCCCACCCTCCCTAAATTGTTTCTACTTCTCCTAAGGCTTTCCACAGCCATGTCAACAGTCTAAGAATGATTATACTCTTTTGTGAAAGAACGTCATAAACTTATATTTCAGAAACAGGAGGGGAACAGGAGAAAGTGAGTGATTTAAGAAGCCGTGTTTGTGCCCTTCTGGCCAGGTGTACTTTTTGGGGGACAGCAAATAGCCCTTGCTTGACCCCTTCAGTCAGTAGCTACCCAGGGTGTGGGAGGATATACATAGAATTCTATGTGATTATAGCTTCTAGTGCATATGTCAACAACTATATACAGGGATCTAGAAATTTAATGCATCTCTGGCCACTGCAACTAGGTTGACGTACCTGAGCTCCACTACTTTTGGTGCCCTCCTCCTTTCGAGAGCTTCAGCTTACTTAAAAAGAGCCCCTACAGCTCCATCCTTCCCCTGAGTCTTGGGGGAAAGCCCCAGTCACCCCTGCATGTAGGATACACCAGAGCGAGCGGCGCAGAAGGGTTTGGTGCCGGGATCTCCCCACCCCTCCCCCCATCCCCCTACGGCTCAGGGCCCTGGTGCAGCACGGTCCTGGGCAGCAAACCCCCAGCCCCCCGGCGAATCGTGGTCCCTTGGCTGAAGATCTGGCTGCGGGCCTCCCGCTCCGGGGCCAGCCGGCGATGGTGGGAGTGTGAGGGGCGTTCACTCTCGTGGGGGTCACTCCCGCGGGCTCTCCACCCCATCCTGCTGCGAAGTCCTGCCTCTGGGCTTGGGGAGAATGGTTCCCGGCGGCCCCCAGCGCGGAGGGCTTCAACGACTCCCGGGCGCCGCCGCCGTTTCCTCTTCGTCCTCGTCCGGCCCCCGAGGCCGCTCGAGCGGCCCGGCCGGGGGGCTGTCCGCAGGGGGCTCCGGAGGCGCCGGTCGCGCCGCCTGCAGTGGGGGAACGTCGCGCGGCGCCTCGCGGCGGGACGACCCAGTGGTGTTGGGCCCCGCCGCCGCCGCCCCCGAAGTCCCAGACGGGCCAGTGGCGTTGGAGCCGCCGGGGGGCGGGCCAGCGGCTCCCCCCGAGGTCCCGGCGCCCACCGGCTGCCAGATGAGGCTGTAGTAGACGGCGAGCACGATGGCGGCCAGCGACACGGAGAGCACGTAGGCGAACACGGTGGCGAGCCGGACCCACTTCTTGTTGGTCTTGGCCGCCATCTTCGCCTTCTTGTCCCCGGTGTAGGTGGCCGGCTTGCCCCGCTCGGCCGGGGCCGCGTCGCGCTCCTTCATGGGGGGGCCCCGGCCTTTGCCCCGGTGCTCCACGGCCCCGGCTGGAGGGGGCCTGGCGGCCTGCAAGGACTGGGCAGGGGGCGGCCCGGCGCCCTCGGTTCCCGGCGGCCCCGCGCTCCGCCGCCGCTCCTCACGCCGCCCGCCCGCAGCCCGCCACCGCGTTGCTGCAGCCGCCGCCGGGGCCTGGACCAGTCACCGCCGCCAGCGCCGCCGCCGCCGCCGGCCCGTCAGCTGCTTCCCCGCCGCCGCCACAGCCACAGCCGCCACAGCCGCCACAGCCGCCCGGCTCCGCGTCCCCATCCGCCGCCACGCCGCCGCGCGCTCCGCCGCCGCCTGCCCGGCCGCCGGCCGCCTGGTCTCCAGTGGCCGCGCGGACCGCGCGCTCCGCTCCAGCCCGGCTCCCCCGCCTCGCGCGCCGGCAACAGGGGGCGGGGAGAGCGCTGCTGGGGGCTGCCCCTTAAAAGGGCGACGCCGGGGTCCGGAAGTGCCGCGAGGGGAGGCGGCGGCTGCCGGGAGCCGCGAGCCCCGCCGGGACGCCCCGTTAAGAGAGAGTTAAGGGAGGCTGGCTCTTAAACGGGCGACGTCACCGCGACCCCTGGTGGGCTGGCGCGGCGTAGAGTGGAGCCCCGGGCACTTCTTTAAAAGGGGGAACGGCGTTGTGCGAGGCGGAGTGCGGAGCTAGAAGGGGGCGGTCGGAGCGCGAGCTGTCAACTCTGGCGCCTCCCCGCTCCGCCCCGAGGCTCCGAAGTGACAGGTGGAATAGCAGCCTGGGCTTCGGACTCCAGGCCTAGGTTTATCCTCTGGGAGGGGACGGTAAGAGGGATAGGGAAGATACCACGTTCCAGCTCTCAGCTTGCTCCCCGCACCGCGTACCCCCTGGGTGGGTCTCCCAGGCCCATTCACAGCTAAAGAACCTGGTTGACGCCAGGGGTAGGCGGTTCTGGCACCTGGAGCGCTCACTGGGGCCGCAGCTGGTTGTGTTCCTTCCACCCAGTCCAGGCTGGGCTTCGGAGCTCTACTGAAGTCGTCGCAATTGCGTACCCCAGCCCGCCTCACCCCGCCAACCCTGAGCCTCCGGGACAGAGCCACGGACTGAGCTGTTCTCCAGACTCGCTTGCCACCTTAGTCCCAAAGTTCGCCGCAGGTCGCTGGTCCCGCTTTTTGGGTCTTCCAATTCCTGGTTTTGGCCTGGATTTGGACCCAAGGAGCTGCACTGAACCTGAGGAGTTTAACTCTCAGGACTCCTAGAGCGTTTTCACTCTCAGATCCCCTCCAGACCTCAAGGCTTGGGCGGTTGTCCCCTCCCCACTTTCCCATGTGAGGTTTGTCTTCTTTGGCTCCAGGCCAGGCGCCAGGCAGTGGGCTCTGTGCCTGGTCTTTGGACCCCCTAGGTGCTAACAACCCTTCATGCTCAGACTCTCCCTTGCGGCTTTACTTGTGCCCTCCCCCTCCTTCCGCTCTCTGCTCTCCCTGCCTTCTCTCCTCCCCATTCCCTCTCTATAAGGCTTTCCAGAATTCTGGTTCCCTCCTCCTTGGATGCTACTTCCTGTGTTCCCAGAACTGGGCATATGGACTGCCTGGGTGTCTGAATGAGTGAGGGAGACTTGTCTGGGCGTGTGTTGGGGAACAGAACTGTGGTTCTGATGGGGTTCTGTGGGTGAACCCTCCCTCAAGCCCCTGCAAGTGTGAGCCTGACCTGGCTTCTACCCTGTGGGGCAGGATCCCCTCTGCCCTTCTCACTTCCCCCCCTCCTCCAGGAATCTTTGGCTTCCAGAGGACCCCCCTTACACACACACACACACACACACACACACACACACACACACACGAGGAAGCCCTCCCAAAACAGCTGCCTTGCCCACCTCAGCAGCACAGAAGTCAAGTGGCTACCAGAACTGAGTGTGCTAGTGGACTGCTGGAACCACAGGCCTCTAACCCAGCCTCAGTCTCATTCCTGATCCAGGCCCAGGTGTGGGGCTGCCACTAGTAATGGCTAGCCAGATGCTATTTCAAGGAAAAAGCTGTTTTTTTTACTTTCTGAGAAATTTCAAGGATATTGGTAGTGTGGAGTGTTTATGGCCTTTTGTGGGTTGATGGGGAAGAAATAACTCACTCCTCCACCCTGCTCCTAGGTCAGCCAGGGCAGCCTGTTGACTTAAAATTCCTGAATTGTCGCCGGGTGCGGTGGCTCACGCCTATAATCCCAGCTTTGGGAGGCCGAGGCGGGCGGATCACGAGGTCAGGAGATTGAGACCATCCTGGCTAACATGGTGAAACCCCGTCTCTACTAAAAATACAAAAAAATTAGCAGGGCGTGTTGGCAGGTGCCTGTAGTCCCAGCTACTCGTAGTCCCAGCTACTCGGGAGGCTGAGGCAGGAGAATGGCGTGAACCCGGGAGGCGGAGCTTGCAGTGAGCCAAGATGGCGCCACTGCACTCCAGCCTGGGCAACAGAGCCAGACTCCGTCTCAAAAAAAAAAAAAAAAACAATTCTTGAATTGTCTCTGGAAGTTGTCCTCTCTTCTCTCCCCTGCTCTAGGGCCTTCCTGGCAGGACATATCATACAATTATTCCATGATGAATTATTCTTAAAGATTCCAGGTTGAGGCCAATACAAAGCTTCCTTCAGTCCCCTTTCGTGAATGCACTCCATATTGCTTCTCCATATTTCTGTTGCAAATTAAATGCCTTTCTTCTTGCTTGGTTCTTAGTGGAGTGGGAAAACAGCATGTCACTCTTCTGTACCAAAGAATAATATACTTGAAGCCTTTATTCAATTCCTCTCACTCTGTCTTTTCTAAACGAAACAGTGCCAGATTCTTTAACCTGTCATCAGTAATCCCTATTTATTGTCTGGATTTACATAGTGTCTTTTACCCCAGGAACTAAGAATGCTTTCAGATATAATTGAGCCTGATCTCCCCGGTGCCTGAGCCATTAAGAAACCATTAGTGTTCTCCTGTTGCAGAAAACTAAATGGCCCCCTAGTGGCCTGAAAGTGAATATGCCTCCCCCCACTAAGAACAGGCAGGGATCAGAGAAATCAGAGAATCAAGGCAGCTTGGGGACAGAATGGGCCCCAAAAGTCATCTTTTGTGAATACCCCTGTGGGCCCTAGAGCCTCCTCCACAAAATCCCTGGGGAGCACTCAGCAGCGTCAGCCCAAAGACCATCTGGGATGGTGGCATACCTTACTGTCTGCTCCCTGAGGCAGCCCTTTTTGGCTTTGGAAAGTTCTGACCAATTATGACAATAACAGTGCCCTTAGAATGTGCTAGGCACTATACCAAGCCTTTACATTCCTTGTCTTATTTGTCTCCCAATGACCTATCAGGTAGTACTGTTTATCTTCATTTCATAGATGAAGTCCCTGCCTCAGAAAGGGCCAGGAACTTGCTCAAGGTCACATAGTCCTAATGCCTTGGAATTCAAAAGCCCTGATGGAATTCAGACCTCTGACTCCAGGGCATTAAGCTCTTGATCCTGGTTCTGCTCTGTCTCATAGGCAAAGCTAGACTTTGTCTCTATAGTGGATATTGGGGGTTACTACCCGGGTCAGCCTCAGGAGGGAGGTGCTCATTCTTCCAATTGTCAGGAGTGTTGGCTATGATGGCTCAGCTGCAACTGTCACTGGGACTTGCCTTCTGACACCAAAGGAAGCTGCCTCTCTGTCCTGGCCTACAAGCCCAATACATAGAGCCAGATCACAATAAAGCCCAGTCAGAGATGTGCAGGGGCCCACTAGGGAAGAAGGCTAGACCATGAAGTAGTTGCGGAAGTAGCCAGTATATACTGGCAGGATCCAGGAGCGAATGTATAGGCTAGATCAAGGTGGGGTGTGGTGCCACACATTAAGTTGAACAAGGGATACTTCGTTGTTATAGGAGTATTCTCCTGTGAATCAGGATGTGATATCCTGACAAGGATCCTGGGAGACAGGAGGAAGGCAATGGCCACCAGAGTGTAATGGAAATGCCAGAACTACCACAGCAGAATGTGGAAGAAGGGTTCAAAAGCTCACAGAAATGGGTATATTCTATGTAAGGCCAGAAACCACTTAAGTTCTGCAGGAAGGCCCAGAGGATACTCTAGTTACCAAAGCAACAAGGAACACACTGGTGAGAGCGGTACCAGCATCCCTGAGAAGCTGAGTTTGGACTGTCCTCTGTAAGCCATGCCTGACAGCAAGAGGCCATTCCAGAACTGGCTCCAGATAGCAGTGGGGATGATAGGACCATGAAATCATAGAAGCTAGACAGCACAACTGTTGTAATAAGCAGCAAGTTGGAGTGGCAGTGGGGGCAGTCCTGGCCAGTAGAGGACCATGGTTGAAGATGGTTGATAGCATAGCATCCCTGGAGCAAGCTAGCTAGGCAGCCAGTAACAGTACTGCTCTATCTATACCAGTGATTCTCAAATGTTTTAGTTTCAGGATCCCTTTACACTCTTAAATATTGAGGTCTCTAAGCCTGATGTGGTGGCTCGCACCTATAATCCCAACTACTTGGAAGGCTGAAGCAGAAGGATCACTTGACCCCAGGAGTTCAAGATCAGCCCGGGCAAAATAGTGAGACCTCATCTCTACAAAAAAAAAAGTTGAAAATTAGCTAGGCAGGGTGGCACATGCCTGTAGTCCCAATTACTCGAGAGGCTGAGGCAGGAGGCTCGCTTGACCTCCGGAGTTTGAGACGGCACTAAGCCATGATCATGCTACTGCACTCTAGTCTGGGTGACAGAGTGAGACCTAGTCTCTAAATATATATATATGTATGTATATATGAGAGAGAGAGGTATCTAAAGGGATTTTGTTTATGTGGGTTATAGCTATTTTTATTTGACATATTAGAAATAAGACCAAGGGTTTTGCAAAATATTTATTAATTTGTCTAAAGAATAATAAGCCCCACTACATGTTAACATAGATAATATATATTTTATTTATTTATTTATTTATTTATTTTCCAAGACAGAGTCTCACTCTGTTGCCCAGGCTGGAGTGCAGTGGCATGATCTCGGCTCACTGCAACCTCCGCCTCCCAGGTTCAAGCAGTTCTCCTGCCTCAGCTTCCCGAGTAGCTGGGATTACAGGTGCATGCCACCACACTCGGCTAATTTTTGTATTTTTAGTAGAGACAGGGTTTCACCATGTTGGCCAGGCTGGTCTCGAACTCCTGACCTTGTGATCCACCCGCCTCGGCCTCCCAAAGTGCTGAGATTACAGGCGTGAGCCACTGCACCTGGGCAGATAATATATTTTTATGACAAAAAATAATGAAAAGAGTGGCTTTGCTTTGTAAATTTGCAAATCTCTGGAATGTAGAAGACAACTGGATCCTCATATCCACTTTTTTTTTTTTTTTTTTTTTTTTTTAGACAGGATCTCACTTTGTCACAAGGCTGGAGTGTAAGTGGCGTGATCTCAGTTCACTGCAACCTCCACTTCCCAGGTTCAAGCAATTCTCCCACCTCTGCCTCCCAAGTAGCTTGGGACTTCGGATGCACACCACCATGCCTGGCTAATTTTTGTATTTTTTTGTAGAGACAGGGTTTTGCCATTTTGCCAGACTGGTCTCAAACTCCTGAGCTCAAGTGATCCACCTGCCTTGGCCTCCCAAAATGCTGGGATTACAGGCATGAGCCAACATGCCTGGCATCTCATATCTGCATCTACATTTAATCTGCTGGCAATTTGTTGTTATGGTTAAAATATATGAGGAAAATCCAGCCTCATATAGACATGTAGTTGGAAAAGAGAGGAACATTTTAACAGCCTTTTCAGATAATTGTGGCTGTTTTTCTTTGATGCTACACCAAAACCCAACAAGCAGTATTTTCTTAAATGGTGGTTGAAATGTAGACTATAAAACTATATCAGTGAACTTTTTTTGTGCTCAATTACATTAAAGTCCATTGATCTAACTTGCCCTTTGAATGGCACTTTTACCCATGCATGATTTTATAATATCCCACGTTGATCATTTGGAAAATATTGGTTCACTGAATTAAACATATCTTTGCAATATTGATACATTTCATTATATAATAGAAAAAATCACATTTGATAATATTATAAAAAGTTTAAGTATCAGGAATCTAGGAAGCTCATGATAGTGCATACATGTTTTCTAAAATTCTAGTTTTTACTTGAAAACTCAAATTTTGTAATTGGTAACAAACACTATCAGTTATTTTTTTCTCAAAGTGACAGGCTCACTTGGTTCAAATGTGAGAAAACATCTGCCAAATAGCCAAGTCTGCATAGCCATGGTTTTTCAGTTCTTCTTTCAAGTAAAACTGGTGTTCCATGAAAAGAGCAGCTAATTGAGCTCACGACCCAATCGCAAAAGTACTTTTCCCCAAGAGAACCGTTATACTTCCATATGCAGTAGAGTACTTTCATTTAATCACATGGAATATTAAAAAGACATCTATTTAAGGGTCATAACTTCATACAATTTAACAATTGATATCGTTTTGTTAAAGATATTCTAAAGTAAAACGACTTTTCTCCCTTCCTTTTTTTTTTCTTTTCTTTCCTCTTTCTTTCTGCAATGAACTACTAGTTCAGTTTGGTGTCACTGCCTTGGTTGTTTAAGGTGCCAGAAGTTTTACCCACCATTGCTTTAGCACCATCAGTGCAAACGACAACACAGTTAAAAAGGTAAATAACATGTTAGTATTATTATGAAAGCAATTTTGACCTTGTGAAACCCCTGAAGTGATCTCAGGGACCCCAAGGGGTCTGGAGACCACACACTGAGAATTGCTGAGCTGTACAATTAAAATAAATCAAGGATGAAAGACCAGGAGGTTGATGGCAGCTGCTCCAATAAAAAGTCACAATATCTTGTTTGGTTTCCAGTCCCAATTCAATTTTCAGTTCAGGTTCCCAGGGGAAAGGTTTCTGCAATACTATAGCAATACAGTAATGATTTCCCCACTACTTCCCTAAAGGGAACTATGCCGTTTACCTGGGTAACTGTACACTGGGGATAGTAGAATAGTCAAACGCTTTAAGGTCTGCTGGATGCAGTGTCTGCATTGACATTGATACCTGACTGGGAACTGAATCATCAGCATGGCCCCTGGTAAAGCGGCCTGAGGTAAAATTGTCTACAGGCTCATGAGCTATAGGCAAATGGTTTGACTGGTTGGTTAGAGGGCTAGAAAGAGAAATACTGGAAGACTGGGAACAAGAAGGTCTTGGGAAGAGATATGTGGCTTTATCTATTTGAGTGAGCACCAAGTGTGAGTATCTTTATTTTTTATTTTTTGAGACAGGGTCTTGCTCTGTTGCCCAGGCTGGAGTGCAGTGGTACGATCATGGCTCACTGCAGCCTCGACCTCCGGGGCTCAAGTGATCTCCTACCTCAGACCCTGGAGTAGCTGGTACTACAGGCACACACCACCACACGAGGCTAATTTTTTTTTGTAGAGATAGGTCTCACTATTGAAGATCTTTATATTGCATGTTAATACTCATCAGAGAGCACCTGCCACAGGGGAGACTGCATAATCAAGTAGATAGAATGATGTGGAATTGATGTTAGCTTGCCTCTGTCATTGACCACCCCATGCCAGCACAATGGGCACATGAATAAAGTGGCCATGGTGGCATAGATGGAGGTGACACGTGTCGCATGTGTGTGGTGGCAGGGGTGGCTCAACAGAATGGGCTCCCACTCACCAAGGCCAATTACCTATTGTCACTGCTAAAAGTCCAACCTGCCAGCAACTGATACCAGCCACGCAGTACCAAGCTGGCTACCTTGGACCTGTTCCACTCCAGAAGGGTGAGGGACTCATCTTGACCTGAATTGCCATATATTCTGGATATGGATTTGTCTTTTCTGCTCAAAGGCCACTCTCTGGGGGCTAAAAGAGTGTTTGATTCACTGACGTGGGATCTCACATACCATTGCAGAAGACCAAGAGTCCCACTTTAAGGATAGAATGGGCACATGATCATGGGATCTTTTAGGCCTATTACATACTTCACCATCCAGAAGCTGAATAGAGCTGGTGGAATGATAGAACAGCCTTTAGAAGCACAGCTGAAATACCATGTTAGAGATGATGGGACACCGTGCTCCAGGATGAGGTATGCATCCTAATCAATAACTGTTATATATGGTGCTATGTGTCAACGTGTAGAATAGAGGTTTAGGAAACTAGGGGTAGAAGTAGGAATGACTCCACTTACCATCACTCCCAGTGACCTTTCTGGAGGAATTTGTGGTTCCCATTCCTGCAGTTCCAAGCTCTCCAGGTTCAGAGAATCTGGTTCCCAGAGGGGGAGCACTTCCACCAGGGACAGAACAAGAACCCCATAAACTTAAGTATGGCTGCTTTCTGTTCGTCAGACTCTTTGTGCCAAGAAACCAGCAGGAAAGAAGAGGAGTCACTTCCTGGAAGGGGCAACTGACCCCCATCCTTTGGGAGAGATAGGGCTGCTGTTACATAAGGGGGTCAGGAAAGAATATGTTTGGCACCCAGGTGATCCACTGGGGTGTCTGTTGGTATGCCCAATTTTGGTGGAAGGTGGACACATCAGCAGCATGGTCTGAAGGCCATGGTGATTGGTGATTGGTTACCCCGACAGGCAAGCCACCTACACCAGCAGAGGTGCAAGTTGAAGGTAAAAAGAATCTAGAATGAGTGACAGAGAAGGGGAATGATGAACATCAATTGTGTCACCAAGACTAGTTGCAGTAGTGGGGGCTATAGTTTCTCCATTTAATTCTTGTAAGTTTCCCAGAATCCAGGAGGAGCTATTCCCAGGTAGAGTGAACTTACCACATAAATCAAGTAGGTCTGGGCTATGCCTGGGGGTACTGTCTCGGTTGCTGTGGTGCACCACCCAGATACTGCTTTTAGGACCAAGGAGCTTATCCCTGAAGTTGCCAGAAGTGTTGGCTGCCAATGGCTCACACATGAGTCTCTCCCTTGGCATTTCCTTCAGCTGCTAAAGGGAGCTGTCTTGCTGGACTTCACAACCCTTCCCTAGGGGTCATCTGCCAAGTCAATGTGGAATTCAAAGGTACAGCCCTCTTATCCAAGTTGGGGCTAACTCTACGGGGCCAGCTCAACCCCAGGGCTTCCTGTGGAAGCATTCTGTATTGTGACTGCATTGTTCACCAATTTCTTCCTCTGGCTTGATTCTGATTCTTTCACTAGTTCACAGATGTTATCTCTGAAAGCACCCCCAATAAACTTCCTACAAGAAAATCTCTATCTCGGCATGTTTCCTGAGAAACCTGACCTAAGACAGTCTCCTAAGATTCTAACTTTAAAAAAATATGTACTTAAATTTTTTTTGAGAGAGAGTCTCGCTCTGTCGCACAGGCTGAAGTGCAGTGGCACAATCTTGGGTCACTGCAACCTCCGCCTCCCGGGTTCAAGCAATTCTCCTGACTCAGCCTCCTGAGTAGCTGGGACTACAGGCATGTGCCACTGCGCCTGGCTAATTTTTATATTTTTAGTAGAGATGGGGTTTCACCATGTTGGCCAGGTGGGACTTGAGCTCCTGGCCTCAGATGGTCTGCCCCCCTCAGCCCCCCAAAGTGCTGAGATTACAGGCGTGAGCCACCGCACCTGGCCTAGATTCTAACTTTTGGGACCTCAGAGAACAAGACTCATCCATGTGAAGTTGGGCCTCCTGGCCACCTGTGTCTTCTATAAAGTGGTTCTCTTCAGAGTGTTGCCTGCATCCTGGCTGCTTTCCACCAAATATCCTTCAACTTATGACCTTCCCTGCAACAAAGCAACCTAAACTGAATTCCTCAAGTATTTTGGGTGTGGTCTGTTGTGCTGAGAATGAGAATGGGACTGATTGTTCCTTGGTTCAAAAGCCCTGGATGCATCTTGGAATGAGGGGGGATACTCTTTAGAAACTCAAACTCCTGGCTGGGCGCAGTGACTCATGCCTATAATCCCAACACTTTGGGAGGCCAAGGCACGAGGATTGCTTGAGCCCATGAGCTTGAGACCAGCCTGGGTAGCAGAGTGAAACCTGTCTCTAAAAAAAAATAAAAGAAATGCAAACTCCTCACCTTCCTTTCCCTCTCTCATCTCATCCCAGATCACGATTCAGAGGGTCTTGGTACAGCAAGGAATATGCAGTGTTACCAGAGCTTTGCAGGTGGTTCTGGTGTGATATCAAGATGGAGAACCACAGGGCTCAGTACCCGACTTCAGTTCGGCAGCCTGAGTCTGCCCGTTTTTATTGGCAGCTCTGTCATTTGACTCAGATGGAGCTGGCTGTCAGCGAAAACCCTCAGTTTTATTCACACATGCTTCTGCTAAGCTGCCACTTCCCCACCCTGTCCTTGTACAGTCGGTGTCTTGGCACCAAGCCCAGATCTCTCAGTTAAGCCCTGTTCATTTCACCTTGGGAGGTTTAGGCCAGTGCTCCAATAGGTTAGAATGTTTTTGGATCCTGAGTCTGTCTTCCAACATATTCCTGTCTTCGCTGGCTCCTTGCTATTCGCAAAGTTGAGGGGCTTGTTCTCTGTGGCTTTGCCCAGGTCCTGATAAAAAGGTGGATCAGATGCCAAGTTTGGTGGTACATGCCCATAATCCCAGCTACTGGAGAGGGTGAGGTGGGAGGATTGCTTGAGCCCAGGAGTTCAAGACCAGCCTGGGCAACAGGGTGAGATTACATCGTATATTAAAAAAAAAAAAAAAAAAAAAAACTCTCTCTTGGCATCCTCGTGAAAGTGACATTGTCTTTAAACCCTGCGTGGCAATCCCTGATGCACTGCCGTGATGCCCAGGGAAGACAGGATGACCTGGAAGTCCAACTACTTCAAGATCATCCAGCTTTTGGATGATTATCCAAAATGTTTCATCGTGGGAGCAGCAATGTGGGCTCCAAGCAGACGCAGCAGATCTGCATGTCCCTCTGAGAGAAGGCCGTGGTGCTGATGGACAAGAACACCATGATGCTCACGGCCATCTGAGGGCACCTGGAAAACAACCCAGCTCTGGAGAAACTGCTGCCTCATATCTGGGGGAATGTGGGCTTTGCATTCACCAAGGAGGACCTCACTGAAATCAAGGACATGTTGCTGGCTAGTAAGGTGCCAGCTGCCACCTGTGCTGGTCCCATTGCCCCATGTGAAGTCACTGTGCCAGCCCAGAACACTGGTCTGGGGCCAGAGAAAACCTCCTTTTTCCAGGCTTTAGGAATCACCACTAAAATCTCCAGGGGCACCATTGAAATCCTGAGTGATGTGCAGCTGATCAAGACTGGAGACAAAGTGGGAGCCAACAAAGCCACGCTGCTGAACACGCCGAGCATTTCTCCCTCCTCCTTTGCGCTGGTCATCCAGCAGGCATCTGACAATGGCAGCATCTACAACCCTGAAGTGCTTGACATCACAGAGGAAACTTCCTTCTTGCTTCCTGAAGGTTGTCCGCGATGTTGCCAGTGTCTGTCTGCAGACTGGCTACCCACCTGTTGCATCAGTACCCCATTCTATCATCAGTGGGTACAAATGAGCCCTGGCTCTGTGGAGACTGATTATACCTTCCCACTTGCTGGAAAGGTCAAGGCCTTCTTGGCTGATCCATCTGCATTTGTGGCTATTGCCTCTGTGGCTGTTGCCACCACGGCTGCTCCCGCTGCTGCAGCCCCAGCTAAGGTTGAAGCCAAGGAAGAGGTGGAGGAGCTGGGTGAGGATATGGGATTTGGTCTCTTTGACTAATCATCAAAAAACAACCAACTCAGCCAGCTTTATTTACAAAACAAGGAAATAAAGGCTTAACTTCTAAAAAAAAAAAAAAAGGTTGGACCAGGACAGGAGTAAGAACAGAAGCAATTGATCAATACTGATGACCTTCCCTATATGCAATGCACCGTGCCCACCTAGAGGAGGACATCATATAATTTATTTCTATCACACTTATTAAAACTGGCCCATTTCACAGAGGGATTGACAGAGGCAGAGGAGTGATTGTGCCCAAGAATGTCACACTGGGATGAGAGCTAAGCCTCTCCTGCCACCTACAGCTCTCATCTCTAGGTTTGTTGTCTCTCAGAGGAAAGGCAAGAGAGAAAAGTGACAAGATTGGCCCTTCCAAGTGGAAAGAGATTTTTAGAGCTGGAAGGATTCTTAGAAATGATCAAAAGTTTGACAGATTCAAGGGCTCAGGTAACTTGCTAAGATCACAGAACAAACCTTTGCTCCAGTGGGGACTAAACTCTGGGTTTCTTGAAGATGGACACAGGTAAATTTGATCCAAAATAGCACTTCAAAGAGAAACATACATGGACTGATTGTTTTCCACTTTTTTTTTTTTGAGATGGAGTCTCGTTCTGTCACCCAGGCTGGAGGCAATGGTGTGAACTTGGCTCACTGCAACCTCTGCCTCCCAGTTCCAGCTATTCTCCTGCCTTAGCCACCTGAGTAATTGGGATTACAGGTGTGTGCCACCATGTCTGGCTCATTTTTGTATTTTTGGTAGAGACGGGGTTTCACCATGATGGTCAGGCTGATCTTGAGCTCCTGACTTCGTGACCCACCCGCCTCGGCCTCCCAAAGTGCTGGGATTACAGGCGTGAGCCACCATGCCCAGTTTGTTTTCCACTTCTAAGTCCCAGATGGTTCCTTGTCGGGTTATAGAGGGGCTTGGAATGGGAAGACAAGCAACATCTTCCTCCTGGGCATCTACAGGAAACTTGATTGCCTCTCTCCTCCCTAAGGGATCAGTGTTGGCTACCCAGCCTTGCCCATGCCTCCACTTCTGCTTAGCTCTCAGTACACAGAGGGTGGCTGAAGCTGGGGCCACAGAGGGACACACAGCTGGGCAGCTCAGCACTCTCATCTGTGCCTCATCAGCTGGGGGGCTGTGGTGGCATGAAGCTGGTGGGAGGCTGGCACTTGCCCATGATTGGAGCCCTTGTGCTCATCACTTCATGAGTTCAGGCCGCTTGGGAACAGCTTGCTTCAAGTCCACAGACAGGAGCAACCCTAACTCAGTCTGCCCTGCAAAGGTGGGTACAGCCCCTGATCCACACGAACTGCTGGAAGAAAAATCCAAAGAGAAAGTCAGTGAAGACGTTTGTAGAAAGAACTGTTGAAGAAGGAATAAGAAACTGCCATTTTTCCTGTCAGTGTCTGCTAATAAGTAATAATAAAATAACAATGATAACTCATAATGATAATGATAGTATTATTGAGCTCATGTGTAGGCACTGTATTAAGTACCATTCATTATATTCTTTAATCCTTGCAACATCCCCATGAGGCATTATTATCCCCATTTTACAGGTGAGAAGGCTGAGGCCCAAGAAGGTTAAGTATCACAAGATAAACCAGCTAGTAAGTGGCTGGGTTCCTAGAGTGGTGAGTGTGGCTCCCTTTGCCAGACTGGGAAACAGACACCATAAGAGCCATCTTCCCTCCAAAAGAGGGCCAGCCCTTGACCAAGATGGACAACAGGGTTCCACACTCCTGAAACCCACTGCTTCAACCATCATGGCATCAGATAAGAAACCGACCTAGTCTGATCCTCTTATTTGGCTGGCAGCTGTGGCACCTGAAGGTCTGAGTTCAACTTCTGCCATTAAACTTCTCTGATGAGCAAACTGGGAAACCAATGCATGGGGCTCCCACATAGCACTGGCAAGTGAACAAATGAACTTGGGACATATGTGCTGGGGTCCAGGTCACAAGCATGTCCCTTGTGGGAGGCAACATTTGGTTGAATATAAGTTCTTACCACATTCTATGGCCCAAGGCTCCCACTTGCCAAACTCTCTGGCATAGGTGTTCCCGTGGGTCACAAATGACAGACCCAACCGCAACTTCCAGGACATGCATGCTTTGAGTGCACCCAGCAGGGGGCATCCTTGCCCTTCCACTGCCCACCCTGGAGGGGTGAGACTGGCCCACTGCAGGGTTGCCCTCTACCCAGCTCAGCCCAGGAGCCCAAGGCCACATTTCCCAAACGGGGCATTCATGTAACTACCCTGATTTTCTCTACTATTATTTACATAACATTTTTCTTTGTCAACACAAATTTTCAAACCTAAATGTATTTTTAAAAGCAAAAAGCTCTTTGATGAAGATTTTCCGCTCTCCTGACTGCCTGGATTTTCTGCATTTTTGGAGCTAGCTTTGCAGGAGGTCAGGATGTGAGCAGGAGAGTACAGGCCCCCACTGAAGCTACAGTTGTGGTCCCAAGAACAGTGCAGGCAGTGACATCACTGAGTAAAGATGGGCAAGGCTTTGTTCTGTGGATTCGGAGCTGGAGATGGAAAGGAACAGAGTGAGGAGCCCTGAAATCCTGAAATGAGGAGAGGAGGCTGTCCCTTTCCTCCTCAGGCTGAGGGGGAGGAATGGACTGGTCTCTCCAGGCCCAAAGTGGAGAGGGGGCTGATGGCTACAGGACAGATGAAAGGGAGGGACTTGGGTGCCGGGACCAGGGCAGCCGCAGGTGACAGGTGCAGGGGCTTTGGGAAGGGACAGGGATTTCCCTTGCAAAATCCATTCAAACAGATATCGAGGGAACCTGATCCCAGGGAGGAACCCAGAACAGCATGGGCTGCCAGAGGGGCCCCCAGAAGGGCCCCAGACTGGAGGGAGGGAGAGAGGAGAGATGACGCTAAGGGACTGGGGGAAACGAGGAAGAAGAGTCCTCTGAATTGTTACCATTTCCAGAGGCTTGGTCAGGCCCTGCTCCGGCTCCATCCCCCGGCCCTAGAATTGCTCTTCTGCAGATTATTTCTGTGCTGGGAATTCCCTTAGCTCCAGCCTCCACTGGGCAGTTTATTATCTTAATTCCGCATGAAGAGTGTCCTCCCTCACCCTCCACCCTGCCCTGGACCAGACCTCCAGCCGCGACAATTCTAGGGCCTGGGTGAGGGTCTTACCGTTGTTGGGGGTATGCAAAGCCCCATGGGGGGGTGACCCAGGGCAAAAGGCCAGGCCCCAGAGGGGAAGGAAGTCTTGGGTAGAGCTCCCTGCCTCCCAGGCTGGGCTAAGAAGGGCGATAAGAGGAGCAGATTAGGCAAGAGGAAGTGGGCTGGGCTGAGCTGGACTGGTGCTGAACTCCCTGGGCCTGGGGCAGAGTGTGGGTCAGGCACCTGAGCAGCTGGGGCTGAGCCTGGCCAACCAGAGCAGCCATCCCTCCGCCCCAGCCCCGCTGCAGGCTGGGGTACACAGCAGAGGCGGGCACACGGAGGAGAGAGGAGAGCGCAGTGGAGGCAGGGGCTAGGGCTGCTCAGTGGGGGTCCAGGCCTCAGGCAGTCCCAGAGGCCCAGAGGTGGGAGTCTGGTGAGGTGGGTGAGGGGAGTGATTGCCTTGCCTCATGTGCCCCTCATTTTCTTTCTTTTTTTATTTTTTTCGAGATGGAGTCTTGCTCTGTCGCCCAGGCTGGAGTGCAGTGGCGCCATCTCGGCTCATTGCAAGCTCCGCCTCCTGGGTTCATGCCATTCTCCTGCCTCAGCCTCCCGAGTAGCTGGGACTACAGGCGCCGCTGCCACGCCCAGCTAATTTTTTGCATTTTTAGTAGAGACAGGGTTTCACCGTGTTAGCCAGGATGGTCTCGATCTCCTGACCTCGTGATCCGCCCGCCTCGGCCTCCCAAAGTGCTAGGATTACAGGCGTGAGCCACCGCACCCGCCCGCCCGGCAGGTGCACCTCATTTTCATGGGGGAGGAAGCATTGAGAAAGAGGAGCCGTGTGTTCAGCAAACTTTGCTTATTCAAAACACTCCATTCCAGCTGGGCCCTGTCCCCACCCCACCCCTGCCTCTACGGTGCTCCCAACCTTTGGGGTCAGATGCCCATGCTCTGGACCCTTCCCCTGAGGAGGTCCTTTCTCCTAGTGAGCTCCCTGTGCCTTCCCTCAGTCCAGGCCTGGGCAGCAGTCTCCCCAGCTGGTCTCCATGTCGTCCTTCTCCAGCCCTCCTGGGCCAAATCTGACCAGAGACCACCACAGGGACTGAGAGGCCCTGGCTCCAAGGCGACCCGGCCTCATGACCACGTCTCCGCTGTGAGCAGCGCAGAGAAGGAAGCCCAGAGCAGGAAGTGCTGAGAGGCACAGGGTGGGGCTGGGGGTGGGGGCGGGGGCCTCCAGAAGAGGCGGGGGCTTCCTGCTTCAGCCTCCTTGGGCAGAAGCAGTGACCACAGGCCCCCATGGCAGGCAGGGCGGGTGGGAGGAGGGTGATTTACAAGGCAGATGGGCCTCTGGCTACAGCTCAGTCCTGCACTCAGCCAGGGCCACCCCAGGGGCTATAAGAGCAACTAGATTTCTGGAGCAGCTCGGGGATGGGTGCCATTTGAGCCCAGCTTGGCTCCCCCTCCTGGCTGGCCTCCTTCCTGCCCTTCTGCCTGCCTGTGTCTGCTGAGATTCTGCAAAGAGGAACGCTTGGCACCATGTCTCTGCTCAACCCTGTCCTGCTGCCCCCCAAGGTGAAGGCCTATCTGAGCCAAGGGGAGCGCTTCATCAAATGGGATGATGTAAGTGGGGCAGGGGCCTCAGCTGCTGGAGCACCAGGTGGTGGGGGCCGGGCTGCTACGGGGCTTTGCTTGGGTGGGAGGATTGGTTTATGTCTCCTAGGATCCAGGCGCCTGTGTGGTTTGGCCAGGCAGCTGACACCACTGCTTGGATAAACAAACCTGGGATTAAGGGTGTATGTCCCCAGCTAAAGGGCTAAGCCTTGGTTCTAGGTGTGAGAAGTGGGTGAGCTGCCTGGGTGGTCACTGGAGGTAGTTTATTTGGGTCTGCTTCTCTTCTCCTTCAAACCCCCAAGAGAAGAGGAGGAAAGTGCACCCCAGAGCTGAGGCAGGCTAGGAGGAGAGGTGAGCTCGTCCCCGCTCCCAGCACAGATGTCTTGCCCTTGCTCCGGCAGGGCGCTCAGACCCAGCTCCTTCACCCCCTCCACTGGGCATCATCCTGTCCAGGGAAGCCTTGCTCTCCCCTGCGCTGCTGTGGGGGCAGCCACAAAAGGCCCCTGGACCTAAGTGAGAACTAGAGGCTTCTGCTCCCAGGGAAGGAGCTGATTTGACTTCTGCTACCCCTTGCTGGGCTCAGCATTGCTCCCCGATGCAGGCCTGTCAGCAAGGGAAGGGGAAGACACTGCTGCACCCTGCAGCCCTCTCTCTGCTGTGTCTGTTCCTTCCTACACGGGGCTGCTCCCAGGCTCTGGTTCTCCTGGCCCCTGAAAATGTTACCTTAGGCCAGGGATTCTCTTAGGCTGGAGAGAACAATATGGAGATTCTCCTTCAGGGAGGGGAGGCTGCTGGGCTCGCCCAGTCTGAGAGTTAGAGTGCTGGGCTTGTCCCAGGAAGGGAAATGAAGGCTTGGTGGGGGAGGGAAGACAGCCCTTAGTGCTGACTTGTCCACCTGATGGGAGGTGGGATGAGGGGGTCTGGGTCTAGGCCCTTCGGGGCTGGGCTAGGCTAGGGGATCTCGCTGCCCATGACTATGGGTTGGGGCCCTGTGGTGAGATGCTTCCTGCTTCCCTAGGAGTGATGTGGGGTTGGTGTAGCATGGCAGTGGCATGGAGGTGACATGCCCCAGGAGCCTGTGGAATGAGGGAAGTGGCTCAGAATGAAAAGCGAAGTGGCCTCTCTCAGTTCCTCTGGGCAGTGTGTGTAACCTGACTGGGCAGAGGGTCACAGGGTGGCAGTGGAGGTCGGGGGTTGGTGGCCAGCGGAGACTGTCCTTCTTCCTAAGCTGGCACCTGTGTACCTGGCTGTTCCCTTCCCCTCTCCAAGGTAGGGCATTGGATGTTCTCTGGATCCTGACCTGCACAAGCAAGAATGTCCCAAGCCTATCCACAGGTCCATGCTGCTGTGAGACAGGGCTCTGCTTTCAGGCTGCTTTTGGCACAGTTAGTGGATGGCATGGGTGTGCTGTGCCATGTTGAATAAGCAGAATACATAGGATGTAAGCAAATCCCAACTTTATTTCATCTCCCATGGCCTCTTTACAATATATTTGGTAGGAGAAGCTCTCCCCCTGGCCATGGAAAGAAACTCTGCAAGGCCACAAGACATTATATTTACTCTCAGGTAACACAGTCCAGTGGTCACTTTTCATCACAAAATCCAGTCCGATGTCAGAAACTGGCTATAATCAAAACTCCAACCTTTATTTACACTGACATCTTCTACCCTTCTCCTTCTAGGAATGGTTTCAGGTAGGCTGCAGGCCCCCTGGAAAGGGCCTTGGTGGGATTCCCTGCTGGTCCTGCTCAAGGCCCCTCTAGGCATGAGCTATAGGGAGGGAGGTGGGAAAGGGGTAACCAAGTTCTATTTAAACAGGTGCTGTCATAAATTGGCTCATGCTTTCTGAGCCTGGCAGAAGCTTAAAGCTGATTCTTTCTCTGGAGGACATTTTTGAGGATTCTTGGGAGACCCACCCCTTCGAATGGGAACCTGTTGCTTGAAGTCCCCCCAGCATTTCTATTTTAGGGGTCACTCACAACTATGTCTTCAGCCCCTTCTTACCACCTTCAGCTTCCTGTGGCTTTAGGCCCTTTGCCCCCACTCTCCCATGGGCCCACCCTGGACCCCAGCAAATACCCATGCATCCATTGTCCCAAGGGTGCAGGCTTGTCCAACAGGCCAGCACCCCCTGCTCTGCCTCACACAGTTAGCTCGCTGTAGTCCACTTGGTCTCCTGGGCAGGAGTCCGACCTCTGTCTGTTATGCCTACAACTTCAAGGATCACAGGGGCCTGTTGTGGGGTGGGGGGAAAGGGGAGGGAGAGCATTAGGACAAATACCTAATGCATGCGAGGCTTAAAACCTAGATGACAGGTTGACAGGTGCAGCAAACCACCATGGCACATGTATACTATGTAACAAACCCACACATTCTGCACATGTATCCCAGAACTTAAGGTAAAAAAAAAAAAAAAAAAAAAGAGATCACAAAAGCTCTCTAAGTAGAGTTGAAACCCCTCACTAGGCTTAAGGTGGGGGATCAGGCACTCCAACTCTCCCTTGGGGAGGTAAGGGAATGGAGCTCCCAACACAGCTTTCTTAAAATTGGCTTCTCCACAAAAATTTTCCCTTTTCCCTGTACTCTAACCACCTCTGATCTGAGAACATTTTTTGGATCATTCACCTTGTAAATGCTGCATTTGGTCTGTTTTAGTATACGGCAACTATTGTGCCTTGCTGGAAACCTTAATTTTAATATCTTGTTATGTACACATACAAAGACCGTTAAACTAAAAGGTAGCCTATGTGCTCTGTCAGTGAGTGGAACAGGACTTTAGAAGGTGAGTTCATTCATTCATTCATTCATTCATTTGCTCATTCAGCAAACACCACATTCAAGTGCCAAGCACCAAGCACCAAGCTCAAGGTCTAGCACAGGCTTGTTGTCCTGGAGTCCATGAGTCCCTGGGGATTTCCTAGGTGGGCTTGTAGGTCTGTGACTCACATCCCCCCGGTTACTGTAGCACATTTCAGGAAGGGTTTTCAGAAGTTGGGGGGCTTGGGTTGTCCTTGAAGTTATTTCAAGCAGAGGAGATTTGGGCACTTAGGTTTGGAGGTGGGAAGGCTTGGTATCTTTATGGGACAGTTGAATGGACAGGGTAGGAGGTGTTCATGGAGGGAAGAAGGGGCATATGGGAGGTTAGGTTGCATCTGGATTGTGCAGGGCCTTGGATGCTGGTGCAGGAGTTTGGGCTCTTGGCTCTCGCTGTGTCAATCTCTCCTGGGTGGCAGTAGGGAGTCTCGCTCTATGAGATGAGGTAGGGGCCAAGATCCTCTTTAGGGTCTAGAGGGAGAATGTCTATTTGGGCTTTAGAGGGGAAAACCCTTCTCTTCCAGAAATGGCATCCCCAATCCTCTGTCCCTCCTGGTGCTTAGCTCTAGACAACAAAAGGAAATGCCTTCAGATTTCTGGGATGGGCACCTCCTGGGAAGATAATGAGCTCTGAAACCCCTGGCCTGGACCAGGGAGGCTTGGCCTGAGGTCTTGGAACAGAGTGCTGGCTCCTTCTCTCTGCAGGAAACTACAGTTGCCTCTCCAGTTATCCTCCGTGTGGATCCTAAGGGCTACTACTTATACTGGACGTATCAAAGTAAGGTGAGAAAACCCTTGTGTGCCATGGCCCTGGACTCCTGCTTATCATTGAGGCCAGACAGCCCCCTGGCTGCACCAAGGTGGAGGCATGGATGCTGGGGAGTACAGAATGGCCTGGAAGGGTGGCTCCAGAGGCTCCCCTGTAGGCAGGGGCTCTTTGCTCTGGAAAGGAGGATGCAGTCACTCCAACCTGTGGCTACCCAAATGTTCCATCCTTAGCATCCCTTGGGGAGAGAGAGAGACAGGCGAAAGCACTGCTGCTGAAGGCTGATGCTCTGCCTGTGGCTGTGGGTTGACTTGGGGCTCTGGGAGATGAGAGATAGGCCCCAGCCTCTGGGCAGGAGGACGGGAAGGGGAAGCTGGGAAGGGTCCAGGATGGTGGAGGAGACACTGCAGGCTCCAGCTCCCTGCCAGGGAGGAATGGACAGAGGGAAAGGGAGGAGGATCTGCATGAATAGAGAGAACCTGGGCCATAGGAAGGGAAGTTTGGGTCCAGCTGGCCCTGGGCAGCCTGGCATCTAGAGAGAGGTGTTGGCCAAGATTTGAAGGGTGTGGAAGCTCCCTTCTCCCTATTGCTCATTCTTGACCTGGACTTTTTGTCCCACATCCCTTCTTTGCTCCCACCGGGATCCGCACCCTGCCCCCAGGAGATGGAGTTTCTGGATATCACCAGCATCCGGGATACTCGCTTTGGGAAGTTTGCCAAGATGCCCAAGGTAGGTGTGTCCAGTAGCAGCCCAGGCTCAAGCACAGCTACTAGCTCCATGGGGCAAGGGCAGGGGTCCCTGTGCGGGTGGGAAGCCTGACTTCTGAAGCACGGGGAATGGTTCCTTGGCTGGGCAGCAAGGACCGTGGCTGGAAGCCAAGGAAGGGGAGCGGCAGCTCCTGGGCTCGCCTGGGCTCTGAGCTTCAGAACTGCGCACAGTGAGCTGAGATGGCAGGGATCTGGGAGGAGGGGTCACCTCCTGCCCCTAAAGCACCCCAGTCTGTCTGGGAGGGGTGGCTTACACCCCCACCCCCGGACTAGTTTGCCTATATTTGCCTAATGCTGGTAGGAAAATTGGAGGAAGGGATTGGTGGGAAGCGGGGTTTCCTGAGACTGGGAGCTAAGAATCTATCTTCAAACAAAAGTGGCAACCAACACACACAGGACTCCCAGGCCGGCCTCCCCGCCTGCCCGCCATCTTGGCTAACCTTTTCCTCAGGGCCTCTCCTTCCCATCCCAGCCGCTGGAGTCAGGGACAGGAAGATGCTAAGGCCTGTGGTTCCTGGGATGGGGATGGGGTTCTGCCCAGTGGGCCATAGCCCAAGTGGCTGAGGGGAGGGCCAGAGAGAGCCACACTGGGCAGGGAGGGAGCACACCTCCATCCTAACCATACCACCACGTGCTGCAGAGCCAGAAGCTCCGGGACGTCTTCAACATGGACTTTCCTGATAACAGTTTCCTGCTGAAGACACTCACGGTGGTGTCCGGCCCGGACATGGTGGACCTCACCTTCCACAACTTCGTCTCCTACAAGGAGAACGTGGGCAAGGTGTGCCAGGGAGCACTGGGCCTGGGTCTGGGCCCCTGGGATAGCCTGGACTTCCTGAGAGACACAGGCCTGGGCGGGGGTGCTCAGGAGCCTGACCGCTGCTCTCTGTGGTCCTGCAGGCCTGGGCTGAGGACGTACTGGCCCTAGTCAAACATCCGCTGACGGCCAACGCCTCCCGCAGCACCTTCCTGGACAAGATGTAAGTGCCCTCTGCCTGGCCTGAGCCCTGGTGCTGAGCATGCCAGCCCTGGGCCTTGACGGGCTGCTTTCTGCCCCCAGCCTTGTGAAGCTCAAGATGCAGCTCAACTCTGAAGGGAAGATTCCGGTGAAGAAGTGAGCCCCCCAACCCCTCCCCAGGCTTCCAGGGGCTCCCCAAAGCCTTTCTTTCTCAGGCCTGACTCCTCTCTGTACCTGGTACCTTTCTCTGCCCCTTCAGCTTTTTCCAGATGTTTCCTGCTGACCGCAAGCGGGTGGAAGCTGCTCTCAGTGCCTGCCACCTCCCCAAAGGCAAAGTGAGTGGATCTGCACCCCTGCCCATCCCCCAGCATTCTTGTCCCCACCAGAAAGCAACTTGGCCAGGAATGGTGGGTGGGGGAGCAGAGGTGACATCACAGCCCCAGCCAAGAGCCTGGAGAGCCAATCAACCCTGGAGCTGCTGGTTACTGACACTAGGCACAGGGGTGGAGCCAGGGCAAGGGAGTGAGACCCTGAGCTCCAAGCAGGTTTGTCTGTATCCCCTACCCTGGGTGGTGGGGGCGCTGGGGCTGTGGTTGATGGACTGTGTTCAGGGCAGGCAGCAGAAACGGCATGCATTCCCAGTCTAGTGTTGGGAATGGGAGCTGAGCGTGAATGTTTTCAGCCTGGAGGAGCGAGATAAGGTCGGCAGTGGCAGGCGGCAGTCTGCAGGGATCTGGAAGTCTGCAGCGTGTCGAGGGAGAGGAACTGAACCAAAGGCGGAAGCTGCCAAGATGCAGACTTCTGCTCTGTACAGAAAAGCATTTTTCCCTGTCTTTTTAGTTAAATAATTAATTTTTAATTACAAGTTGTAAGCAGGGTCACCCCATGAAGCAACTTGTGTGAATTACAAAAAGGAGCCCTCTGGGCTGATATGGCCCTGAGCTAGGCTTCAAGCCTGGCCAATGGAGCGAATCTCAGCCCCTGTCCCTGCTTGGCCAGTGCTCTTGTGTGGGTCCCAGCCTATACCCCATGGAGTATTTTCTCCTGGTAAGAATTTGGAACGTTATAAATAAATAAAACCACGACCCCCATTGATCACCTGCCCACATGAATCCCAGGAGGAGCATTTACCCCACAGCCACAGCTCTGCAGAGTTGGTGACTCCTTGATGCAGTCAGTCACAGGGATCCAAATGTGGCGTTGGGGAGAGGTAGGAATGGGCTCCTGCGGCTCCCCTACAGCCAGCAACACTTACCTGTGGTCAGCACACATCCACCCTCCCTCTCTCCTGCTGCCTGAGCTCCTCCCTTGGCTAAGTCCTCCTTATCTATCTGCTTTCCTTGTGTCTCAGTAGAGGCTACTGACCCAACTTTGCTTGGAGCTGAAGCTCCAGAGACAGGGAGGGGTTTGGGGAGATCCAGTTAGACTCTCCTGCTCAGACCCTCTGCTCCAAACTAAGACTGATGTTGGCCTTCCAGTGTGATTCTGAAAGACATTTAATGTTTTTTTTGGGGGGGGAAGGAATGCAAAGGTGCAGAATCCCTGAATACCACAAATGTACTTTTCATTTCTATTTCTATAGATTTGCCTATTCTGGTGGTAAAGTAAATGAAATCATAAATATATGCTTTTCGATGTCAGGCTGTATTCATTTCTCATAATGTTTTCAAGGTTTATCCATGTTGTAGCATGCATGAGTACTTCATTCCTTTTTACCACCTAATAATATTCCATTGTATGGATATACCACATTTTGTTCATCTGTTTATCAGTTGGTAGATGTTTGGGTTTTTTGTACTTTTTGGTTATGAATATTCATGTACATGATTTTGTGTGAACATGTGTAAATTCTCTTGGGTATATACCCAGGGGTGGAATTGTTGGGTCATGTGGTCACTCTATATTTAACAATTTGAGAAACCGCCAAACTGTTTTCTAAAGTGAGAGCATTGTGTAGGGATTTATTTATTTATTTTTGAGACAGAGTCTCACTCTGTTGCCCGGGCTGGAGTGCAGTGGCGTGATCTCAGTTCACTGCAACCTCTGCCTCCCAGGTTCAAGCAATTCTCCTGCCTCAGCCTCCCAAGTAGCTGGGATTACAAGCATGTGCCACCATGCTGGGCTAATTTTTGTATTTTTAGTAGAGATGGGGTTTCACCATGTTGGCCAGGCTGGTCTCGAACTCCTGACCTCAGGTGATCCACCCTCCTCGGCCTCCCAAAGTGCTGTGTGGGGTTTTAGGTTAGTCACATCCCGCTGACACTTGTGATTGTCTGTTTTTTGTTTTAGCCATCCTAGTGGGAGTGGTATCTCATTGTGGTTTTGATTTGCATGTCTCTAACTACAAATTATATTGAGCACCTTTTCTGTGTTTATTAGTCACTTATATATCTTCTTTGGAGAAATACCTGTCCAAATCCATTGTCCATCTTTCAACTGGGTTGTCTTTTTGTTGACTTATCTCTTATCGGATATCTGATTTGCAAATATTTTATCCCATTCTGTGGGTTACCTTTTCACTTTCTTGATGGTGTCCTTTGAAGCACAAAAGTTTTTAATTTTGATGACGTTTAATTTATCTTTCTTTGTCCCGGTGCTTTTGGTGTCTCCAAATATTATTGTTGAATTGTCCTCCTTTCAATTCTATCAGTTTTTGTTTTATATATTATGGGGTTCTGTTGTTAGGTGCATATATGTTTATATTCAAATTGCTTCTTTTTGAATATTTGTCCTCCACTTAAAAAAGATAGCCTACTAGCCTGGCAAGCAGCATCATTTCTTCTGACCTCTTTTCTACCTCATTCTGGTTATTCTTAGTTCCGATCCTGCCCCAGCCAATGGAATAGCCACTGTACAAAATCAGGGTCAGAGCAAACCAGCTAAGCATGCTCTCTGCTCAGCAACCAGGGCCTTGAGAAGTGGATGCTTGGGTGTCCTTGAAGTTCTTCTGTCTGCCTTGAGCCCGCCTTCTGACCAGGTCCCCTTGACCAGGGCTGGGCCGAGTTTGTGGTTCTTAGCTCTGAGAAGGTGAGGGCAGGGGCAATAAGGTTACTATGCCCCTAGAATGACGCCATCAATCCTGAGGACTTCCCAGAACCTGTCTACAAGAGTTTCCTCATGAGCCTCTGTCCTCGGCCAGAAATAGATGAGATCTTCACTTCTTAGTGAGTTTCTTGGGTTGTGCTGGTCATGGGAAAAGGGTGGTGGCTAACAATCCCCTCCTCCCACCTGCCATGCCGGGAGTCAGGAGGCTTCACTGGACAAGGGGGTTGTCTAAGCCTCCAGGCCCAAGGGATATGGACCTGTGCTCTTCTCTCTGGCTTGAAGCCATGCTAAGGCCAAACCCTACATGACGAAGGAGCACCTGACCAAATTCATCAACCAGAAACAGCGGGACTCCCGGCTTAACTCCCTGCTGTTCCCGCCAGCACGGCCTGACCAGGTGCAGGGCCTCATCGACAAGTATGAGCCCAGTGGCATCAATGCACAGAGGGGTGAGGACTAAGGGAACCCCTTGTCCCCTGTGGTCCTGTCCTGCCTTGGCAGCGGGGTTGTAGCCTGACAGCTATCTCCTGTCCCCCAGGCCAGCTGTCACCTGAAGGCATGGTCTGGTTTCTCTGTGGGCCAGAGAACAGCGTGCTGGCCCAGGACAAGCTGCTGCTCCACCACGACATGACGCAGCCACTCAATCATTACTTCATCAACTCGTCCCACAACACCTACCTGACAGGTGGGCCCTGATAACATTGGTGCCAACCTCTGCTTTCACAGGGGTTCCCTGCATCCTCCACAGGGGTTGCCCACATGCTGCTGGCCCTGAGAATAACACAGACCATGATGGAGTGGCGGTAGGGGGAGAGCTGGGCTGCCTTTGGGTGATGCCCTCACCTCTTCCCCATCCTCTGGCTCAGCCGGCCAGTTCTCAGGCCTCTCCTCGGCTGAGATGTACCGCCAGGTGCTGCTCTCTGGCTGCCGTTGCGTGGAGCTAGACTGCTGGAAGGGGAAACCCCCTGACGAGGAGCCCATTATCACCCATGGCTTCACCATGACCACAGACATCTTCTTCAAAGTGAGACCCTGGGCACAGAGGCTGGTGGCCGTGGCAGTAGGGAAGGGCTCTGGGCCAGAAGCTTTGAGGGGTTGGAGGGCTGAAGCTAGAGAAGATGAATGGCTGGAAGGCCTCAGACCATTGGGGACCAGCAGGGATTGGGGGCCAATGGCGGCCATGCAGTTATATGTGTGTATTGAAACTAGGCAGGGGGGAAAAGTGCTATCACGAGACAGGCAGTCGGAACGCTGACCTTCTGTTCATGGAGTCTCCTTCTCCTCCAGGAAGCAATTGAGGCTATTGCAGAAAGCGCCTTTAAGACCTCCCCCTATCCCATCATCCTGTCGTTTGAGAACCATGTGGACTCGTGCGTATCCAGGCCCATTCAGCCACATTCTCACCCAGCCCCCAGTCTCCTGTCTGCAACTGTCCTCCCCACAACTGCCCCAGCCTCTAACCATTGCCTACAGCTTCTCCCACGTCTCAGTATAATCACCCTAAGGCCTCATGTTCTCCTGCTCGAGTCCCAGCCTCCCTGACCTCCTGGCCCCTGATCTGGGTCATCAAGGGCACAAAAGGATGCATAATAGGGTTGGTGCTGAGCGGCTGAACCCCATCCCCGCTTTTGCTCCCCGCAGACCCCGCCAGCAGGCTAAGATGGCTGAGTATTGCCGGACGATCTTTGGGGATATGCTGCTCACAGAGCCCCTGGAAAAGTTCCCAGTGAGTGGGCTTCGCTGTGGGACATTTGAGCCTTGGGCCTGGGAACCTGGGGCAGGGTGAGAACCAGGTTAGGGAGGGAGACACTCCCAGAGGATGCTAGGGTTCACTTGGTTAGATGCGGGTCTGGGATCCTGTCACCTTCCGTGTGTCAGGCACTGGGCTGGGCTTCAGGGTATGCTAGTGACAAAGACACAGTCACTGCCCTCAGGTGTATTACCCTCTAGTGAGGAGACAGACAAGTAACCAGGCCATTACAATCCAGTGGTTGTTATGGGAGCACCTGGGGAGTTCTGATCTGGTCTTGGGGATCAGGGAAGGCTTCCTGGAGGAAGTGATGGACAGGGCTCCTAGAGTAGCCTGTTAGGTCCTCCTGGTGCAGATGGCCTTGGGCCAGGGTCCCATACTCAGGGACAGCTACAACAAGCACAAGATGAGCCGCATTTACTCCAAGGGATAAGCTGGATTTATCTCAGTGAGAATGGGGATGATAAGCAGTAGTGAGAGGCAGGTCAAGAGGAGTGGGGGAGGCCGAGGGAGCATGCCTGGTAATAAGGAGCTCAGGCTATGCCATGAAGGTGAGAAGATGGTGCTGACCTGCTCTCCACTCCATAGCTAAAACCAGGTGTCCCCCTGCCCAGCCCTGAGGATCTCAGGGGCAAGATCCTCATCAAGAACAAGAAGAACCAGTTTTCTGGCCCCACCTCCTCCAGTAAGGATACTGGTGGGGAGGCTGAGGGCAGCAGCCCACCCAGTGCCCCTGCAGGTGAGGGCACAGGTGAGTCGGGGAGGACTATGGTGGGGGGTATTAGGAGCATCTGGAACAGGAGAGGGGCTGGACCTGGAGGAGCCATGCAGGAGCCAGTGCCGACAGAGCTGTATGTGGCAGTGTGGGCTGGCGAGGAAGGGACTGAGCTGGAGGAGGAGGAGGTGGAAGAGGAAGAGGAGGAGGAGTCAGGAAACCTGGATGAAGAAGAGATTAAGAAGATGCAGTCGGATGAGGTGTGTGGGGGTAGCCCCAGGCCCCTCTGTGTCATCCTCCACCGTTAAGCCCCCTGGATGGGGGCCTTGGGCCCCATTCCTGGGCTCTGCACCATCCTCCTCTTCTTTGCCCTCCCCTCTTCTCCTTAGGGCACAGCGGGCCTGGAAGTGACGGCTTATGAGGAGATGTCCAGCCTAGTCAATTACATCCAGCCCACCAAGTTCGTCTCCTTTGAGTTCTCTGCCCGTAAGTTAGCATGAGTAACTTACGGGTGGGTAAGAAGAAGGGGGATCTCCCCCTTCCTTGGACTTGGGGCCCTGCCTATAAATATCCAGCCACGGAGTCAGGCAAAGGGCTTGCTTAAGTGGCAGTGGCTCCCAGTTTCTCTAGTGAGGAACTTGGCACCAAACAGAATGCTCTGGAGTGTGTCGGTGACAGGCTGGGCGTTATGACAGGCCACCTTGGCTGGGATGGCCTGGGGCTCCTGCAGCTGCCTGCAGGCTCTGTGGCTCCCAGGGCTGAACTGTGCTGTGGGCTGGCCCAAGCCCAGAAGCCCTGGCCGTGGGACATGAGACTTCCTGAGAGGGAGTGGAGGCAGAGAAAACCACCAGAGCATACTGCCCCTTTGCATGCTTCCCCTTTCATGGACAGCCCGGCTGTTTACCTGTATCTTCTCTGGACACAAGCACAGTACGTTGCTCTCACTCTCTGCATGTCCCATGCACGAGCACCTCTTTCTGTCTCCTCCTGTGCACAGCTGGACTTCTGTAGCACTAACTTCTCATCCCTGAACCCACAGCCTGCATCCCCACCTGGGTACACTCATGGCATGTACTACAGTTAATGTGCCCCTCTCCCCAGACGTGTTCAGCCATAGCTTACATACCTCACTCCCTGTGCACATCAAAGCATGTGTTCACATTTCATGTGTGCACAGCATGTTACTGACCCCCTAGGCTCAGCCTGGCATGTTCCCCATACCCTCTGTGCCCATCTATGGCATGTGGGTCTCACTCTCCACATCCATGGCACACACCCCACCCCTGTGCATACACACTGAGAACACCCCTCACCCCAGCAGGCACTGTGATTCATACACTTCTCCCAGAGGTTGGTCCCTAAACCTCAGGTCTCAGTGGAAATGCTGGGGTGGAGGCATCTCTATAGGCCAGAGGGAGCTGCCCCAAAGGGGAGGCCAAGACTGAGGGAGGGGACAGCCTGATAAAACTCCTCCCCTCCCTTTCTCCCCTATATAGAAAAGAACCGAAGTTATGTCATCTCGTCCTTCACAGAGCTCAAGGCATATGACCTGCTCTCCAAGGCCTCGGTGCAGTTTGTGGAGTATCCTTGAGGTTTCAGTGGCCAGGGTCCTTGGCTTGGGTGGGGAGCCAGAGGAGGGCCTGGGGACAGGGCCCCCAGGGTAAGCTGTTAGGTTCTCCTGGTGCAGATGGCCTTGGCTAGGGTCCTAAACTCAGGGACAGCTACAACAAGCGCCAGATGAGCCGCATTTACCCCAAGGGAACCCGCATGGACTCCTCCAACTACATGCCCCAGATGTTCTGGAATGCTGGATGCCAGATGGTTGCCCTCAACTTCCAGACGATGGGTGAGGGCATTCCCAGGCCCCTAAGAATCCTTCCCTGGTCCCTGCGCCCCCCACCTTTACATCCTTGAGGGGTCTTTGGAACAGGCTGGGGAGTCCTGCTGTTAGTGTAGACTCTGGGAGCATGCCCAGGTGCGTGAGAATTTGGGGGTAGAAATGCATTAGCCTGTGCCCATGTGCCTGCGCATACATGATGGATGTAAAGATGCCAGGCTGCCGGCGTGGGTTCTGGCCGCTCCACCCAGGTATGTCTGTGGGCCACCTGCCCCAGCTGCCCCAGCTCCCACCACAGTCCCTCAGCCTGGCTGTGGCTTTCCTCCTTGCTGCCTCCAGGCTGTGGACCCTGCCTAAGAGAGGAGACACTGCAAGGAACCAGACTGGGACAGGAGAAGCCCTCATCCTCACGGTCCACCCAACCTCCCCATTCACCAGACAGCAAAGGCTGGGAATGGAGGAAATGGAGACTGGGCACAGCCCCAGGGCTGGGCCTTCCTCACTGAGTGTCCTTGTCCCTCCAGACTTGCCCATGCAGCAGAACATGGCAGTATTTGAGTTCAACGGGCAGAGCGGCTACCTCCTCAAGCATGAGTTCATGCGCCGGCCGGACAAGCAGTTCAACCCCTTCTCAGTGGACCGCATCGACGTGGTGGTGGCCACCACCCTTTCCATTACGGCAAGGCCCTGGGGCACACAAGTGGCCGGGAGGCTGAGGTCTTGAGTAGAAGGGCACAGGAGCCCACCCCTCACTCAACTCGCAACCCCCTCCCCTGATATCCTGGAAACTTCAGCCCCAGCCAGTTCCTGCAGTAGCAAGTTGCCTTGGAAACTGCCTCCTCCTCAGCACTGGAGGCTGCCACTTGGTCCCCATGGAAACCAACGGGAAGGGCTGAGGCTGGGGTGGGGGAGGGGAGGAAGAGTGGGCAGAGTGGGGCAGCCGGAGCCCCAGGTCCTGGGGGAAGGCATTGTTCCCTCTTTGGCTAGGGAGGGAGGTGGGAGGCCCACCTCTTCCCTTCATGCTAGAAGCACCCTGGTCCTCAGAGCTTAGCTGTAACCCGTGGGCTACACAGCCTCTCTACTCATGGCCAGAGCTGAGTGAGGTTCTTCATAACACCCAAGAACGAATGCTTCAGCTCTAGGCAGCCAGGGGCCCCAGATGCTTGGGGAAGAGCCTGGGTGGGGATTTGATGCTGGTTTTCCTGGGCCCCTACCCCCAGGTGATCTCTGGGCAGTTCCTGTCAGAACGCAGCGTGCGCACCTATGTAGAAGTGGAGCTGTTTGGCCTTCCTGGGGACCCCAAGAGGCGCTATCGAACTAAGCTGTCACCCAGTACTAACTCCATCAATCCTGTCTGGAAGGAGGAGCCCTTTGTCTTTGAGAAGGTGGGGGCCAGGGCATGGCAGGGCAGAGTCTGTCTAGTTCTTGGCCTCTACTTACAGACAAGAGGAAGTAAACAAGGCAGCTCCTTGACCTTCCTCCTCCTCCTCTTCCCATCCCTCACCCTGGGCCCTCCTGTTTCAAGAGTGCAAAACCCAAGTTTACAGAAGTTTACTTGGTAGGCAGAGTGTGTGTGTGTGAAGATTAGAGGCAGAAATGTGCACTCAGGGTTGAGGTTCCCATGGGAGTCTTTTGCCCCACTGGATACCCACTGGCAAAGCTGTCAAGGGCTATCTGTGCCAGGCCCCCTCAGCCTTGGGCTGCAAATCCAGCCCTCCTCCCCTGTGTGGAACCAGCCATGGCATGTGCTGTGGGGATGTCTTTGTATATGGCCTAGAGTGTGCCCTCTGTCTGTCCTCACCAAATCTGGTGACACTCACCATGTTCTCACACTGATGCTGAGACTTCTGGAGCCAGGGAGGGGGTCAGCTTGGCTCCTCTCTCCCCTCCCAGCCTGTCATGTCCCCAACTCTCCCCAGATCTTGATGCCTGAGCTGGCCTCCCTCAGAGTGGCTGTGATGGAGGAAGGCAACAAGTTTCTTGGACACCGCATCATCCCCATCAATGCCCTAAATTCTGGTAAGGAGTGGGGTCCTTCACTGTTCCAAGATCAGCAGCAGGAGCCTGTGCACAGGGTGGGGCAGCTTCTGGGAGGGGGCCTGGAGTGAGGCCTTACCTAAGCCCTCACATTGTAAGGAGTAGGGCAGAACAGTACCTCTCCAGGAACCTAAGAGAGGCGGGAACTCTGCCCACCTAACAGAATTGCTGTAATTTTCTGAAACGGCTGGGGCAGTTTCTCAAGTAGCTGACACTTATGGGCATTTAAAATTTGCTAAGGGCTTATAATACATTCTCACTTCATCCTCACAATAACCACATGAGTAGACACTCATCCCCTCTTCATAGATGAGTAAAGTCTCAGAGAGTTAAAGTAACCTGGCTGAAGTCACACAGCCAGGATGGTGCAGTGCCAGACTCAGACCCTTGGGTCCTAGGCTGTGTGTGCACAGTGCTGGCAGGAACGGGCTCTGGCTCACTGCCTACCCTGTCCTGTCTCACAGGGTACCACCACCTGTGCCTGCACAGTGAGAGCAACATGCCCCTCACCATGCCTGCGCTCTTCATCTTCCTGGAGATGAAGGACTACATACCTGGTGCTTGGGCAGGTAGGAGCCCATGGCATGCCAGGAGCCTCGGGGTGTCTGTTCCCCCTTCCTTCCCATCAAGCCAGCTTCCAGAGTTGGGGTGGGATCCAGATGGGGCATCCTGGAGTGGGTGAGGACAGGGGAGACTTCCAGCCACATCTCCATATACACTATGTTGTAATGTCCTGTGCACCCACCCAGATCTCACTGTGGCCCTCGCCAACCCCATTAAGTTCTTCAGTGCCCATGACACGAAGTCTGTGAAGCTCAAGGAGGCCATGGGAGGTCTGCCTGAGGTCTGTGTTGCCTGCACTGCTGCCAGGGGCTCACCAGAGATTAGCCCTATTTATGGGAGAGGCTGGGGAGAGGGCCGAGTCCCAGGCTCGGGGAGAGAGGGCTGTCAAGCCACCTTCCTGACCTGCTCTCCCTACACAGAAGCCCTTCCCACTGGCGAGTCCAGTTGCCAGCCAGGTCAATGGGGCGTTGGCCCCAACGAGCAATGGGTCACCAGGTATGAGCTTCGGTCCGCACACCTACTGGGGGCACCTCCACCTCTGCACCCACAGGCACTTCCCTTTAAAAAATTTCACCTAGGGAAAGTGCGGGGCAGGGGGCACATACTGCGACTCCCAGGGGGCGGTGTGGAGGAGGCGAACGGAGCCAAGGGGCCCCCCAGAGCACCTGACAGCCCAGCCCGTGGCTCTTGCAGCAGCCAGGGCCGGGGCCAGGGAAGAGGCTATGAAAGAAGCTGCGGGTAAGGCCTGCTGAGCCCGGTGATCTCGGGGATGAGCCTGGGGCGGGTCCGGGGCTCCTTGGGGGTTGGACGGGCAGGACGGCCTGGCCGGTGTTGCGCCTCACCCGGGCCTCCGCAGAGCCGCGGACCGCCAGCCTGGAGGAGCTCCGGGAGCTAAAGGGCGTGGTGAAGCTGCAGCGGCGGCACGAGAAGGAGCTGCGAGAGTTGGAGCGGCGCGGAGCGCGGCGCTGGGAGGAGCTGCTGCAGCGGGGCGCGGCGCAGCTGGCGGAGCTCGGGCCACCGGGCGTGGGGGGCGTCGGGGCCTGCAAGCTCGGTCCCGGCAAGGGCTCTCGCAAGAAGAGGTAAGGCTCGTGGCGGTGCCCTGCCCTCTGCAGCGCGGGTGGCGCAGGATCTCAGGGCCTGTCCCCACGTGGCCTCCCCAGGAGCCTGCCCCGCGAGGAGAGCGCCGGAGCCGCGCCGGGCGAGGGCCCTGAGGGCGTGGACGGGCGCGTGCGGGAGCTGAAAGACAGGCTGGAGCTGGAGCTGCTGCGGCAGGGCGAGGAGCAGTACGAGTGCGTTCTGAAGCGCAAGGAGCAGCACGTGGCCGAGGTGGCCGGGAGGGGCAGGGCGACAACCCCACCAGCCCCACCGACCCCACCCCCCATGGACCCCATTCGCCCCTCTCACCGACCCAACCCCCTCACCGACTCCCCTCCACCGACCCCCGCCCCCCGTACTCCCTCTGAACAACAAAGGGCTTCTCGCCAAGCTTACTTCCTCTCCCTGCAGCAAATCTCCAAAATGATGGAGCTGGCCAGAGAGAAACAGGCGGCAGAGCTGAAGGCCCTGAAGGAGACGTCGGAGAAGTACGACTGCCTCCCTCCCACACCTGCTTCGCCTCCCAGCAAGGGCTCAGCCGCACAAAACAGCTCCTTCATGCCTGTCTCTCTGCAGCGACACCAAAGAGATGAAGAAAAAGCTGGAGACAAAGAGACTGGAGCGGATCCAGGGCATGACCAAAGTCACCACAGACAAGATGGCCCAGGAGAGGTGAGCCCTGGAGGGGAGGCCCAGGGCTGGGCAGACCCCACTTCAGGTGGAAAGGGGCCTCTCTACAAATGGATCCTGACTCACTTCCCAAAGATGCATCTGTCCCCTGGCTCTCCAAAAAGCGGATCCCCCCTGTCACCTTTGATCAGAGTGTCCTCCTCAGACAAAACACGGAGGCCAACACTACATGGGCAGAGCTCTGGAGGCAGCCAAGCCTGCAGGGAGGGAGCTGAGGCCTTGGGATTGTAGCCTGTCCACTGTGGTGGCACTGTTTCCCACGGAAGGACAGTGTGTTTTGATGGGGAAATGGTTCCCTCAGAGGGCCCCAGGACTCCCAGTGGCCCCTACATACTCCTTGGGTCCCCACACCTGCCCCCAGCTGGTTCCTGCCCTATGTTGGATTTCTCATTTGCCTACATCCTGCGTAGACTTCATGTTACCCTACTCTCCCTAGGGGTTTTCTCCCTTTTCTAAAACTCCAATTACACCAACAGGTTGAAGAGAGAGATTAACAACTCCCACATCCAGGAAGTAGTGCAGGTGATCAAGCAGGTGTGTAAGGGCTGTGTCCTTCCTAAACACACACACACACACACACACACACACACTCTCTCTCTCTCTCTCTCTCTCTCTCTCTCTCTCTCTCTCTTCACAAGTAGGAAGGGGTGGCCCCAGGCCCTGACTTTGCCCTTAGGAGATGCACTGCCTAGCGCTGTCCATGCAGCTGGGGTGGCAGGGGACATCCTGGGGTTCTGGCCTGTGTATGGAGGTTGGGGTACCAGCCTGAAGGGATCTGTCTCTGGCCAGTTCTCATGTGTGGAAATGATATGGGCTAACTGGCCCATATCAGGGCCAGGGGAGGCTGGGACTGGCGAGGGTCAGGGGATGAAGAGGGAGTGAGGAAGCTTCCTGAGGTGCCAAGGAATAATGGACCTGAAGCTCCCCTAGGGATCATTAACCACAGAACACAGCTGCCACCTACTGGGTCCTGACCTGTGCCAGGCACTCTGCCAGGTGCCTCACATGAGCTGTCTTGTATAATCTTTTACAGTCCAGTGAGACAGGTGCTGCTATCCTTATCTTACAAATTTTAAAAACTACCTAATGTTAAGGAATTTGCCCAAAGTCTTACAACTAGTTAGCTGGGATTACAGCTGGATTCTGACCCAGCTTGCCTGTCTGTGTTGTCCTGATTCTCTGCCATCCACTCCCACCCAGATGACGGAGAACTTGGAGAGGCACCAGGAGAAGCTGGAGGAGAAGCAGGCGGCTTGCCTGGAACAGATACGGGAGATGGAAAAGCAGGTAACAGGTTCACTACTGGGACCCCCAGCAGAACTGAATGGGTTCCGGGTTGTAAAGGGGCCTTGCCCCAGGGAGCTGCCAGTGAGAGGGTAGGGGAAGGGGGCCATCATCCTTCACTGTGGGGTCCCGAGGCCCTTTCAAATGAGGCAGCTCTGCAGATCTCCGCCTGGTTAGGATCCCCTTTCCTGAGAGGCTCCTGATGGGCTCTACCACTCCCCCACCCTGCCTCTCACCCCAGTCTCCTGGGAGCTCCGAACATGGATATTGGGCATCTCCTGTTCCCACTGTCCAGGGAGCGAGGGTGGCCAGCAGGCCCCTCCTGAGCCAGGCAGGGGTCCTTGCTGTCTCCACAGTTCCAGAAGGAGGCGCTGGCAGAGTACGAGGCCAGGATGAAGGGTCTGGAGGCAGAGGTGAAGGAGTCGGTGAGGGCCTGCCTCAGGACCTGCTTTCCCTCCGAGGCCAAGGACAAGCCTGAGAGGGCCTGCGAGTGCCCCCCAGAGCTGTGTGAGCAGGACCCACTCATAGCAAAGGCAGATGCCCAGGAGAGCCGCCTCTGATGCCCCCATCCCACTGGGACATTTAGCAAGGAGGTTCAGCCCCTTCTCTGGGATGTGGTTCTATTCCCCCAGGAAAAAGGAGCCCCAGCCTTCTGAGGCTGTGGGAACCTGTGGCTGCCTTGGACGCTGCAGCCCCCTCCTCAACGGCCAGGCCAGAGTCTGAGACAGGACCCAGGCACCCTCACGGCAGGGCCTCTCTGGGGCCTAGAAGTCTTCTCAAGCTGACTTCCTACCTCCCCCTCCATCTCTAGATAAGTGTCATATATTTGTTGAGGGCAAAAGACTATGGACTGGAAGGCAGAAAGTGGGATCCTGGCCCCACTCTGCCTTTCCTATTGAGCAACCAGCTCTGGGCTCAGTTTCCTCACCTGGAGGGTTGGACCCACTCACCTCCACTCTAGCCCCGAACCCTCCTGCCCCAGGCTTCCAGGCCCCATCAGGCCTGCCCTGAGTTGGCCTTGTCCACTCCTTGAGGCAGATCCTGGCACTACCTCACAGCTCCCTGGGGACGGCCACTCCCTGGCTGAGGGCCCTCCCCTCCCCTCTGCCTGTCCGGAACGGGAGGCTGAAATGGAAAAGCTGCCTTGGCCCTGCTTGGCTGAGTCACAAGGGGCAGTGGGCTCTTGGGTGCTGTTCCACCCTGACCCTGGCTCACCCCTCTTCCTAGGCCTGGGGGCAGGCAGTTCCTACCATGTACCCCTCTCAGGCTGCCTGCCTGACAAGGTCAGCATCATTTGCTCTCCTGAATTTATGAGGTTTATTTATTTTTCTCTTTCCTACTCCTATTAAAGAACCTCGTCCCAGTGTTTCCTGCTTAAGCCTGGTCTCTATTCTACAGGTAGAAAATGGGGGCAGGGTAGTGGAGTGCCCCTGAAATGAAACGGGCTGGGGAAAAAAAAATCTCTTGGGAGCTGAACCCAGGGTGAGGTCCTTTCCAGAGTCCAGTGAAATGGCCCTGCCTCTGGACTTGAAGAGGATTCATTTCCCCTTCTGCTGGCCCTGATGCCACAATCACTGGAAAATTATGTCACCCCCTCTTCGCCCCCACACAGATGTGGCCCTTCATTGTCTCCACTCTCGGGGTTGGAGCAGAAGAGCTGAGTGCAAAGATGTCCCCTATTTTAGGGGGAGTTCCAAACTTTTAGGCAATCTAGGCCCCTTTAGGAAGACAGAGTGGTTGGATGCTCAGGACCCTATGGCAGCTATGGTTGACCTCAAAACTTGCTGTGGAGGGGCTTGTGGGCAGCCACTCACTGCACCGATGACATGATCCCAAATCCCAAATAGGGACAGGCACTGGCTTAGGAGGCAGAGGGGGATTGATTCTGGGAAGAGGTTGTTTTCTTATTAGAGTTACAGCACATGCCGTTAGCTGTGAGCACCTGTTCCTTTGGAAAGTAAACAGGTCCTCCTGCCCCCACCCTGCCATCCCATCCCTCTGGGAGTCTGACCTCTGGGATTCTACCAGGCCCTGGCTGTAGGGTGAGGTGAGGGGGCTGATCATTTACTGGGCTAAGGCCTAGCATTGATCAGCCTGCTCCCTACATCATTACAGACTGGATACGCTGGGGCAGACCACCTATACCCCAGGGTGGTGCCCTATGTTCAACCCTTCTGCCAGGCACTGGGCTGTAAAGGTGAGGATTCGGGCCTAGAGGAACTCACTGACCCAGGCATGTGCACGTAAGCCAGAGCCAGAGCCCAATGGAGCCCACTGGGCAGCCCCCAGATTTTGCTGATGACTGTACAGGAGAAGGAAAAGCTGCCTTCCCCTCACCTCTGGGCCAGGCCACGCAGAGTCTCTGGGCTCCCAGTCTGGAGCTGGGTAGCCCAGGAATGGGGAAGGCGATGCAATCCTGCCCCCGGAGAGGCCTCTGCATAGCCGACTGGGGCCTTCCCATGTGGCCAGGCCTAGATACCTGCCTCCCTGCTTTCCTCCCAAAAAGGCAAGGTGTCCCTTAGGCAAATGCCATCTCTGGGTCCTGGAGATGAATTAGTCTCTGGCTGCAGGGGATGTATAGAAGAAGAGTTGACGCCTTCCCTTGGGGTACTGGGGCAGGTGAAGGACACCTGGGTTCCATCACTGCTGTGTATCTATGGGACTGGGGCAAGGCTCCCTTCACGCATCATGCCTCAGTTTCACCTTTTGCACAAAGAGAAGGGTCCCTACCCCTTTCCCAATTCCATTGCTGACTCAGACTCGAGTCCCCTGCTGACTCACCCCGCCCCCTGCATCCCCTGAGCAGCCCTCTGGATCTCCCAGACACATGCCACCAGGCCCAACCCTGCCAAGCTGGTGCAACGTGACAGCGTGAGGGGGCTGGTGACACTTGAGGAAAGAAGGGGCCTGAGAGGGAGGCAGTTGCAGACAGAGTGGCAGACCACACTGAGGCATCTTGGGGAGGGAGCCCTTCTGCCAGCCTGGGGCCTGCTGGGAGGACAGGCCCAGCAGGTGGGACAGGAGGGGAGAGGAGGGGAGGTGAGTATGACGTGCCTGCCTGCCCCCTGCCTGCCTGGGCTCCATCTCCTGTCAGCCTTCAGCTCCCTAAGCGACAGCTTCTAATTCCGGCTGTTGGTGCCTCTGTGCTCTGCAGCAAAGTCTCAGCTTTTTTTCAGCTTTGCTGTTTCTTTTCTGTTCAGAACATACTGAGCCCATAGAGAAGTCAGAGCAAAGGCTCCAGGGCTCGAGACCTGGCACCACCACCCCCTTCCTGCCATGGGAACCAACTGCTCCTTCCAAAGGGTACCCAGCACAGCACTTTCTGCCCCAACTCTTCTTCCCTGGAACTGTCTCAATCCACCACGGAGGAACAGGAACAGAAATGAAGCTCAGTTGTCTCAGGGAGGAGGGGCTCTTCAGGACCAAGAAAGTGCCCATTCTGGGTTTCTGCTGCTTCTCTCCTCCACCTGGGGGGGTGTGAGTCATGGCTTGTCAGGCTGGTGGGCCACACACAGGTTCCAGGGGTACACCCTCCTCTGACCTTGGAAATAGAAGGGAAGAAAGCAATTTCCCTCACAGTGCTGAAAAGAGAAGTTGAGTCATAAAGGGAAGAAAAGCCTTTCTTCTGCTGAGTAAAGGAGAGCATTCCTGCCCAGTTACTGGGGGTGGAGAGTCTCTATCCATTCCTGGGGGCCACCCCAGAAGGGGGCCCTAGCTCTGGGGCGGGAGCAGCTTTGAGGGCTGCACTCTAAATAACTATGCAGCTCTAGAAAACAAAACAAAACAAAATAAAAAAAATGAAATAACTATGCAGCTCTTTCCCTGACACTTTCTAACTTGTTCTTGTGTAAAGCAGGCAGGGCTGGTATTTATCAGTCTCATTTTGCAGCTGAGAATATGCAGGCTTGGAGCCACACTGCTAGTAAATGCCTTCAAGCTGGGACTTAACGCTGATGTCAGATCTGTGGCCTTTTCATGACACCAGGAAAGAAAATTGGCAGATCCCTGACCAAAGGCTTAACAAATGCAAAAAGAGAAAAGGGGGGCTTCGTAGTGGATGCAGGTACACATCACACGCTCCTCACGTGACAGAGGGGAGTGGGAGCCTCTGCTCCATGGCCTGGGTGCCAAATTCAAGGTGGACATCCCCGGAGCCTGGGAGCTGGAGAGAGGCAAGGGGTTCAGGGTGCAGGGCCATGAGCCCACTTTGCCACGCCTATCTATGCCCAGTACCTTTCCCCAGGCATCTCCTACTCCAAAGCATCTGCTCAGACTGAGAACACCATCATTCTTCCCTTATTTCCTGTCTCTGATAGGAAGGGACCCCTTAAAGCAGCCCTCAATAGTGTCCCCTGAAGGTTTATCCTGCTTCCAAGCCTTTGCCTCCAGAACCCGTCTGGAATTACTTCCTTTTTTTTTTTTTTTTTTTTTTTTTTTTGACGGAGTCTCACTCTGTCTCCAGGCTGGAGTGCAGTGGCGTGATCTCGGCTCACTGCAACCTCTGCCTCCCAGGTTCAAGCAATTCTCCTGCGTCAGCCTCCCAAGTAGCAGGGACTACAGGCGCGTGCCACCGCGCCCAGCTAATTTTTGTATTTTTAGTAGAGACGGGGTTTCACCATGTTGGCCAGGATGGTCTCGATCCCTTGATCTCGTGATCCGCCCGCCTCGGCCTCCCAAAGTGCTGGGATTACAGGCGTGAGCCACTGCACCCGGCCTGGGATTCCTTCCTTCTTTCTTTTGCAGCCAGATCCCGCACATCCTTGAAGGCCTATCTTTAAAAGGCCCGAGAGCCCTCTCCTGCCCACAACTCCATCTTTTCATCCAAGGACTGTGTTGGTACGTATTTAGCAGAAGAATTCAGCCCTCAGGTGACAACGTCCATTTTTTAAGTCCCAGTGTTGTCTTCTTAAGAGGTGGAACGTCTCGCACCCAGAACCGAGATTCTGTCTCTCTCTTACCCGCTGCCGGCAACAAAATGTGCGGCTCATGAAAAGTCTCAGTAAATTCTGCAGCTGATAACTGCTTTACTCCTTACTTTACAAATATCCATTCCAACCCTACTCACACCCTCCCCACCACCCACACCCAGGCTCTGAGGCGCCCTAACTCTGCTCCGCCCAGGCCTGTGTATCATCCCCCCTCCTCCAGGACCGAGGGGGACCTGCTGGCCGGAGGGAGAGGAGATGCAGTGGTTTCTCCAAGCATCTTACGGAAAATGGAACTTGTGCTCGCCTCCTCTCTTTAGGGGTCAGCCAGTGGTCAGAGCCAGAGCCCTGTGGCCTGGGGGTTGTTTTGTGCTCAAGGGAGAAGCGAGGGGCAGGGAACCTCGAGTGGGTCCCTAGCTCTTTCCAGGGTGGCGGCGCCAGGGAACTTTTAACATGTCCGCGGCACTCCCGGGTCCTAAGGAGCCCCTCCCTGGTCTGGGCGTCTACACTCTGCCCGCTAGGCAGCCACCAGGAGCTGGCACGCGGGCGCGTTGTCGGGGTTGGAGACGTCTGAAATTGGAGAGCGCACTCGGACCCCACCCCTCGTTCCCAGGGAGCGTGTGCGGGTGGAACAATTGTGTGTGAGTGCGTGATTCTCTGCACTTCGAGTGGCAGTTCCCAGCCAGGCTGAGCGCCCCCAATCCGCGGCACGTATACCCCCTCCCCCAAATTACTCCTCATCCGCCTTTCGCTGCCACCCCTAGCTCGCGCGTGGTCCAGTTCTGCGCTCATGGGGTCCCAATTCCTTTCACCCTGGACCGATGGGGGCAGCTTTCAGTCTTCCCCGACGAGGCCGAGGTCCCGCCAGTTTCTAAGGAGCCGAGGGCACCGACTCGGTTGGGGGCGGAGGGCGGGGAGAGAAGACTGCGACTTTGGGATTGGCCCGGTTGGGTGCATGTGGCCCCCGGCGAGCAGCCCCCGCCCCCGCCCCGCAACCGCCGCCGCATTCCCAGGGGAGCGCGGAGGAGGAACCGCTCCCCTACTTCGTGGCCCACGAAGGGGTGGGGGTCAGGAGCGGTCTCCCCCGCCCCGTCCGTCTCTGCCCTGACGGCGCAGTCCGCTCCCAGGACAGCCATTGCCATGGAGACCCCCAAGGCTATAAAGTCAGGTATCTAGGCGGGCGGCAGCTCCCGCGCCGCTGAGCCCCCCAAGTAAGGAGCAAGCGCCCTGGCGTGGCCCGGCCCCCGCGAGAGGGGAGGAGGCGGAGGAACGGCGCCAGCAGCTTGAGGAGCGGCGCGCCCCGCCAGGGCTGGAGGCAGGCGTGCACGGCGGGCGCCACCGTCGCTGCGGGGGAGCGGGGGCTGCCCTGGGTGCGGGTGAGTGGCACGGCGGCTCCAAACCACGAGGACTGAGGGGCGCCGGACACCGGGAAAGCGGCGAGAGACTCGGGAGAGGGTCGAGTCTCTGCTCCCGACGTCTGGTGGCGGGCCAGGAGCGGAGCCCGGAGTAGCGAGCAATCAACACCTCCAGGCGGGAGGCCCGGGGAAGGAGCGGCGACACGCCAGGCGTGCGGCCCAGGAGCGGCGGGGCAGTCGGAGCCTCCGGGACAGCGGAGTAGGAACCTCGGGACCCTCGGCTGCAGCCGCCCACGCGCGGAGGGAGAGGTATCAGAGCGCGGGCGGAGGCCGGAGCCCCGCGGGGCGCGAGAACAGGGGCGCCCCCGTGCGGAACTGCCAGGCTGCCCGGGCGCGGCGGCCGGGGCCATGCTCAAACCCAAGGACCTGTGCCCCCGAGCGGGGACGCGCACCTTCCTGGAGGCCATGCAGGCGGGCAAAGTGCACTTGGCCCGCTTCGTGTTGGATGCGCTGGACCGCAGCATCATCGACTGCCGCGCGGAGCAGGGCCGTACGCCGCTCATGGTGGCCGTGGGGCTGCCGGACCCCGCGCTGCGCGCGCGCTTCGTGCGGCTGCTGCTCGAGCAGGGTGCTGCAGTGAACCTGCGAGACGAGCGCGGCCGCACCGCACTCAGCCTGGCGTGCGAGCGAGGCCACCTGGACGCCGTGCAGCTGCTGGTGCAGTTCAGCGGTGACCCCGAGGCGGCCGACTCTGCGGGCAACAGCCCGGTGATGTGGGCGGCGGCCTGCGGCCACGGGGCGGTGCTCGAGTTCCTGGTGCGGTCCTTCCGCCGCCTAGGCCTGCGCCTCGACCGCACCAACCGTGCGGGGCTCACCGCGCTGCAACTGGCCGCCGCCCGCGGCCACGGGACCTGTGTGCAGGCCCTCACCGGGCCCTGGGGCCGCGCCGCCGCCGCCGCTGCGGCCCGGGGCTCCAACTCCGATAGTCCCCCTGGCCGCCCGGCCCCCGCGGCCAGCCCCGAGCATCGACGACCCAGCCCCCGCCGCCTCCCGCGGCCTCTCCTGGCGCGCTTTGCGCGAGCGGCGGGCGGCCACGGCGGCGAGGCTGGCTCAGCGGGCAAGAATTCGGGCCGGCACCGGGCGCAGGGCAGCGAACGGCCCGAGCTGGGTCGGAGCATGAGCCTGGCTCTAGGTGCGGTAACCGAGGAGGAGGCTGCCCGCCTGCGGGCTGGGGCCCTGATGGCCCTACCAAACTCGCCCCAGTCTTCGGGGACTGGGCGGTGGCGCTCACAGGAGGTGCTGGAGGGAGCGCCCCCAACCTTAGCGCAAGCCCCCATTGGCCTCAGTCCCCACCCGGAGGGCGGCCCCGGCTCTGGCCGCCTGGGTTTGCGCCGACGCTCCACAGCCCCAGATATCCCCAGCCTGGTCGGGGAGGCGCCAGGGCCCGAGAGTGGCCCGGAGTTAGAGGCCAACGCTCTGTCTGTCTCGGTGCCTGGGCCGAACCCTTGGCAGGCGGGCACCGAGGCTGTGGTGCTGCGTGCTCAGCGGTAAACGGCGCCAAGGCCCGAGGCCTGCTTCCCCTACCCTCCCGTTTCTACTCCACTGGTATTTCTCTCTTCTAGGTCCCTCACCTTTTCGGCAGCCGCCCCCCGCAGTCCATTTTGGAACCTGCCTCCCTGCCAAGGCGAGACCTCCACCAGCCCTCCACCAGAAATAAGGGACCTCCATCTTCTTTTTTGTGCTCCTCGGTATTCCCTGCCTAGGTCTAGAGGTGTCGATTGACTGGTTCCGTAGGCTACAGCCAGGAAGGTGGATTCCCCCTCCCCAGCCCTCAGGCTCAATCCTGGGTCGGCCTAGCCATCTGTCGCTCCTGTCCGGCCCCCCTCCCCTCGCTGGGTTTCCCAACAACTGGGCAGCCAGGTAAATAGAAGGGTCCACCTTGGAGAATAAGGACCCAGCCTCCCCACTTTCTGCCTACTGATGCTGACAATAATCCCACAAACTACCAAAGTCTCCTTTCCCTCCAAGTGTGGGAGAAGGAAAGGACGGAGGGGGCCCTAGAGCCTTTCAGGACTGGAGGGTTGAGGAGGAAGGGGTCTGGCTGTTATGTTTTTCCAGGGTAGAAACTCCTGTCTCAAGACAATGAAAGCATATTTTGGGAGTGGGAGAGTCCCTAGTGTTGAACACCAGTTGTCCCTTGAATCAGCTCCTGGGTAACTCCAGCTCCCTCTCTCTCTGCCCCAGGATTCAGCTTCATTGATAATGTGGAGTCACTGCTCCACACAACCCCTACCCAGGCCAACTCCGGGCTCCAGAGCCAGCCCGCTCTTCAGCTCAGATGCATTTGAATTCCATCATCGAGGTTCAACACCTCACCCCTGGAGGCCCAAGCCCTATTTCCGCTGGGTCACAGAGGCCTGAAATGGAAAGGACTGAGCGCTTCCCCGCCTCCACGCCTCCCAGCTCCCCCGTCCCGCACGTGGGTGCTCCCGCGGGGTGGAACGGTTGCGAAGGCTGTGCTTAATTGTATTTCTTCCAATCCTCAAAGAACTCGTGTTTTAAGCCTTTGTATATGAAGCAGAAAGCAGCGGGTCTGATTCCGAGGCTTAAGAGCCTGACAATATCTCTTTAAATAGAAGCTCCGCGAGGGGGATAATTGACTAAAGTGTTTGCGACGTGAAACGGCGGCGCGCGGGAGTCGGGAGCCCACACGAGCTGCGGGTCCAGGTTTAAATTATATCAAACTCTGGCGAGAGCTGGAAGGAGCCTGTTAAACGGCTCCTGCTTCTCGCTGGGCCGTTAATGGAGGGCAGGGCGGATGATGGATGCTAGAGTTCGAGACCCGGGACTCCTGCCTTGGTCCTACCGCGTGGGACGCAGGCCCGGCCCAGTTTTATTACTGGGTAGATGAGTAAGTCAGAGGCAACCGCAGAGAGGTGGTCAGAGGCCCTTTCCTGACACTGTCCTTTGTCCCCTGCCTGCTCGCCCCCACCCTCCTGCCCTATACTGGCCTAGCGAGGCGGCGGGGTTGGGGGCGGGGGTCCGGCGGGACGGGTGCGCTAGGACCTTGCGGAAGCGCCAGCACGTGTGTCAGTGCGCCTGGCCCGCGGGGAGGCGGCAGGTGGGGCTCTTTTGTGAACCCTGAGGGTGGAACTTGAAGCCTTTCACCTGCCTGCAGTAAGGTCTTTGCAAGACTTCGATCTGTTTGCCTTTGCAGTACGGAAGGTTTCTCGCCAGCAACTCCCAGGGAACTGCCCAGAGCGAGAATGTGCCGAGATACTGCTGGGCCTGGCGGTGAGGGGTGGGCGGCCAGGAGTGGGCCTCGTGCAGGTGTCAGGACACCTATCCAGTCCTTGCCCTCCGCTTGCCCCCATCCGCTAGGCCAAGCAGGCCGGCGCACTGGACGTGATCTCTGGTGCCCCCTGGTGGCAGCGCTGGGCCCTCCCCGCTGCGCCCCGGCTCGGAGCTCAGACATCCTGGTTTTCTTTGGGATCACCCCTGTGTACTTCTTCATCCATGTGCATTTATCGTGGAATCCTCTTCCTCTTGTAGAATATTAAATCCGGATACTTGAAGTCACTTTACAGCAGTGAAGTGAGGGACAATGAACAAAAAACTCGCATTGAGAGTAGCAGGAGCCCAGACCCTTCAATAAGGACCCCAAGTTAAATCTTCCAAGTTAAGGCTGAGAGCTACAGCTCTCTTCCGAAAAGCTGGAGCTGCCAACCCTTCCCTTGGGACCTGCCGATTATGCAGTTTTCTTCTGATACTAGCTTTGGTTTCTGAGGTATTCTGCCCTCTCCCTCCCCTCTTCTCCCAAAACATCTGCCTCTCCTCAGTCCCCGTCTGGGTGGTGGGTGCACAATACCAAGTGCCTGAAAAGCCTGAGAGAGAGGGTCTGGGGTAGGGTGGGGACCACTGGACACCCCAAGTGCAAACTGCTGCTTTCTGACCCTTGCTTGCTTATGTACTCCCTTTTCAACTGTGTTGAATTTTAATGACGTTTTTAGTGGTGTAGAAATGCAAGTATTTTGGCTTAACAGCATGAAGTCTGGGTTGCACATTGTATCAGAGGTGCTGTAATCTTTCCAGTATCTCTGATATACGGCTTTCTGGTTGAATGTCACCCTGGGCCCTCTTGACTGGATAAACAACCATGAGGGCTCTTCTCTGTGGAGCTGCCGAGAGCTTGGTGGTAGAAAGCGATGTTTCTAAACAACTGCAGCGGCTCTTTCCTGTCTGAACTGCATCGTGTGTCTGACTGCCTTGCTGTCCATACATACAGACTCCTTCCCAGGCCCGGCTCTGTGCAGAACTTCCATGTTTTACCACATTTTTCTCTCCTGAACTCCCTTTGTCAGCCCCAGGGTGTTGAGGCTGGGTCCTCTCTAGCAATCTCTACCTTCAGAAGAGACTTTTCTAAATATTTTGCTTTTCCAGTTCTTGTTGCTTTTGTCATTGTGAAGAGTCACCCAGGATGCTGGCACTTGGTACCCTAAGATCAGAAGTGGTGTGTGTGTGAGCTGTGAGACATGCACACCCTTTCAGAGTGATACTGTGTGGTGGAAGGACTGTTAGAACTCAAAGAATAGTTAATAAATCCAGTGTATTATTCCGTTGCGAGAACTGGCCTCTCTTTGCCTTATCAAGCACTCCTGACCCTCGGCTCCCTTTGGAGAGATGGACCGAGCCTTTGCCTCCTGTGGAGGCCCCTGCCTTAGTGAGCCTCCGCCCTGCCCGTCCTACTGTGCTGGCTCCTGAAGGTAAGTCACAGGTGCTGCTTCTGCTGAGCTGGGGGGACAGGCCGGGCCAGCCGCAGCACCAGGGCACCTGTCAGGGTGTGAATGCACTGGGGAGTGAAAGAAAGGCTGCATGGTTCCTTGCTCCTGGCTTGCTCCTGAATCCTGGGCAGTGGGAGATCTCAGGAAGGAAGTGCGGGAATCCGTGTGGGAGCTGGAAGTTGCAAGATAATTTCATCCACCTCCCCACCCCCAGAACGAAAGCCCAGGCTCCCTGGTTTCCAGGCTCTGCTCCGTTCTTTTTGAACCCCACACCATCTCCCTCAGTCCTGAGGAGTGAGGCAGGGACTGCTCTCCCACTGGAAGCGGTTTCAGACCACTTCCTATGGACAGCTGGAGGTCTGGGGTGGGGGTGAGGAGCGCGCAGAGGATGGGAGAAGCTGACACACAGGGTGGTCGTCAGCCACTTCGGCCACCCCCCGCAAACGCAGCGCAGGGCCCTGGCTTTCCTTGTGGGCTCTTCTCCCCTGGGGAAGTAGCCCCGTCTATTTTTCATCGCCTTCATTCCCAAGGGCCTTTCACTTCCTGTTTCCCTTCCTCTCTGCCCTCCTTTCGGGTCCACAGGCCACCAGGGAAGTTGGGTGTTCTGTGGTGTGGCTGCTGGAGAGCTCACGTGGGGAGGAGGGGAGGCTACACGAGATTCACCCGCCACAGGAGACCCCCCTCCAAGACGGCCGGTCTCCGCTCCCAGAGACACAGGAAGCCCAATGGCTTTGAACACTCAATTTAATTTAAAACAGGCACAAGTGCAAACAATTCACAAAAATTTCTAGGGAAGATGCTTTTGTTTTGAAAACTCTGACCCTTAAAAAAAAGTCCTTGCAATTTCTTTGCCCCCAGGTAGGTCACTAGGGAGCAGAAGAATCTAAAAATATTATCTAGATAGAAAGGGTCCAGACACCTGAAGTTCTTTCCTGGAATTCCATCTCACAGCAGCCCTGAAGTGGGGCAGGGCCGAGGAGGACAAGGAGACAGCAGTCTGTGGAGGCAGCTGGGGCAGATGGTTTGCACACATGGATGCCTGTGACCTTGACATGATGGAAACCCGGAGGTGGTTCGCCTTCTCTCCCAGATAGGGTTCTGAAGAGAACAATGGGTCCCTGATGACCTGGTTATTGAGATAAACTTGAAAGGTAACACAGTTGCCAATCCTTACATTCCTGTCTCTGGCCCTCACGATGCACAGTACAGGAGAAGCTCAGAAGCCTCCTGAGCTCCCAGGAGTGTTAGACTTAGCATGGACCACTCCACTGGCCAGGTAGACACAGGAGTGGAGAGGTGGAAGCCAGGCCAAGAAAGCAGGTCCCTTCAGGCCAGAACTTAGTGGGAGAGAGGGGCAGCCTTCCTGAAACTGGCTGTGGGTGACCTGGAGGGACCTGGGCTGTCAAGGTGGCTTTCCTCCCCTTACACACACACACACACACACACACACACACACACACACACGATGTTCTCTCCATTCTGTAAAGTGAGAGCACCTTCACCACCGACCCCATTCTTTCTCTTTCACTCAGAAATTGTCCCCTCACTCCCTGCCCCCAGCCATGGCCTGGAGCAGGCCATTCACAGTTCTGGGCGGGGAGGGGCTGTACAGGTGGGACTGCACCTTCAGGACATCAGACGTGAGGGAGGAAGCGGGATTCCGGTCATAAAAACCACCCCGTGGCCCTCTCGAGACTCGAGGTTTGAAGCTGGAGCTGAGAACAGCAGGTATCTGTGGAGACCAGCAGTCTGCCCTCTGCAGTGGCCTAGGACACTAGTGGACAACTGCCTTTAAAAAACCACAGCAGCCTTTTCTACTGTGTTGGCTGCAGAGGCCAGGAACGCTGGCCTCTGCGTTTCTTAGAAATATCCCTGTGCAAATATCAAGGGGTCATCCTGTAGAAAGGGGTCTCCATCTGGGGACTCGGGAGGGAGAGACACTGAGGGGGCAGGTCCGGCCTGGCCCAGTAGGCTGAAGGGCAGAGGGTGGGGCTGGGGCTTCACATTTCAATCTTTGGAGAGAATACTGAGAGGAGGAGGCAGGCAAGTCCTGCCGGCAGGCTGGCTGCCCAGTGTGCCCTGCCTGTGGGCGTAGGTGGCAGGCATACTTGGGGTGGGCTCAGCAGGTGGAGGTCTGCTTTCGGTAGAGCTGGATCAGGGGCACCAGGCACTCAGGTAGCCCTGTCTGCAGCAGGAAGGGGTGGTCTAGGAGCTCCTGGGCTGTGGCTCTCTCTTGGGGGTCCCGCACCAGCATCCGCTCCAGGAAGTCTCGCAGCACTGGGGAGACCTGTAGAGGCAGGGCAGTAAGATGAAGCCACAATTTGCAGTCACTTCGGGGTGACCTGATTGCCTGGACTTATCATTGTTTGAAAGTCATGAATTCGCTGGTTTTTTAACTTCCTGTTCCCTTGTCCCTCCCCACCCCCTCAAGGCTCTCAGCATTCAGATGCTATAGCTCTGTGGAAGGGGCAGAGGATTGGCATCAGTGATCCAGATCTGGCTCTATCCGTGATCTCAGGCAAGTCACAGTTTTCTCTAGGCCTCAGTTTTCTCATCTGTAAAATGGGCTAGTGATAAAGTATGCTTGCCCTGTCTGCCACATAGGGCTTTTGAGATTTTAAAAACAGGTCGCTGGGCGCAGTGGCTCAAGCCTGTAATCCCAGCACTTTGGGAGGCCAAGTTGGGCAGATTACGAGGTCAGGAGTTCGTAGACCAGCCTGACCAACATGGCGAAACCCTGTCTCTACTAAAAATACAAAAATTAGTTGAGCATGGTGGCACGTGCCTGTAATCCCAGCTACTCAGGAGGCTGAGGCAGGAGAATTGCTTGAACCCAGGAGGCGGAGGTTGCAGTGAGCTGAGATCGCACCACTGCATTCCAGCCTGAGCAACAGAGAGAGACTCCATCTCCAAAAAAAAAAAAAAAAAAAAAACCAACAACAACAGAAACAAACAAGTCAAGGATGAGGAAGTACTCTGAAAAATAGAAAATAAAGTGAGACCTGAAAAGGAAGATTTCTTTGTTGCTCTAGGCCTTAAGAGTCTAAAGCAAGGGCTTATCTTGGTTCATTTTGAGCCAGTATCTTGGGATGAGGCTGAGTCTTGGGCAGAAGGCTACATCCTCTGAGGAATTAGCCAACTGGAGATCTTTATATGCTAATTTTGGGGTTAGCGGTGCGGGCTCCAAGGACCAGTTGTCTTGGAAGATGTTTCCTGTTGGTCCTCCCATCCAGCTTTGTGTTGGGGCCACAGAACTCTTGTTTTTTTGCTATTTTAGAGGAGAGGCTTCAGCCCTCTGAGACATTTCTTGTTTTGGCCACCAGATGGCGGTGCCACTTAGCAGCCCCGTGCTGACCTGCCAGCAGGGGGCGTCCACAGTAAGGCCTGCGGGGTTGGGGCCGATTTGGCAAAAAGGGTTACATGTATACACTTCCATGCACTTATACTGGCTTTAAGGGGAACGCTGTGGCTTAGCTGTGTCGGGGTGTGCAACGATGGAGCATGAGCCGACTCGCCGTGATGGACAGGGACATCGAATCATGGTATGGATCTCCCGACACGGGTTAGAAGGGTTTGTGCTCAGTGAAGCTTCTCCGGATCCCTCCCTGGACAGCAGGGATTGCTGGTGTCCTGGCTTTCCCTGCTCATGGGCCCCACTGGGCTTCCGACCAGTGCCTGCCAAGCAGCAACCCTTCTGCCAAGCAGCAACTCTCCTGCCACAGCCGTGGGAGGCGACTTGTCGGAGCGCACATGCGAACTTGTGCGTAGATGCGGCTCCACACCCAGGTGCGGGTTTTGTGTGGGGAAAGAGGAGCCTTTTCCAGGAGCCCAGACCCTGTGGCTTCAGTGGAAGGGAGATGCTGGGAGCCCAGGTTCTGGTCCCCTTGCCTCAGGAGGAATGGGGTCTGCGAGGTCGCACCCTTGTGTGCCAACTGACCTTGTGAGAGTTTTTCAGCTTGGGTGGGGGGCTGTCCCGGAGCCTCTTCATGGCTTGCACTGGGGAGTCACTGAAGTACGGTGGCTCCCCATCTACCATCTCAATCACCATGATGCCCAGAGACCAGATATCCACCTGCAGGAGGAAAATGTCCCTGACCCCATGGCCAGACCCTGGCCCATTGGTAGCTGCGTTCTGGTGGCAGCAGTGGTGGAGGGGGGACAGCTGGCCCCAGCTCTCCTTGGTGGGTCTGTCTCCTTCCTCCCCTGGTCACCTGCCCTGTGGCCAGTTACTGCCTGCATGAGTGACCACTGCCTATAGGGACACAGCTGTCAGTCACTCAGAGAAAGGCCATCATACATAGGAGGCCCGGCCATACCCCATTCTGCCCTTGAGCTGAGGAAAGCACTTGCAGGACTCGTTCCTGGCAGCAAAGTCACTGGGTAAGAGCAGCCCCATCGAAAGGGGGAAGGGTGTTGACTAGGTGGGACTCTGAAAACCAGGGCTGCTTTTGGTGAGCTCACTGGAGGGGCCACAGCAGAAGAGCTGCCAGTTGCCAAGTTGCTTTTGGGAGGTCTGGGGGGTGGAGGGAACGGTTACCTCAGTGGCATACAAAGACCTGGAGATCACTTCAGGAGCCATCCAGTAGGGGGTTCCCACCAGGGACTTCCTCTTAGGGACGTCTTTGCTGATCTGAGCACAGAATCCGAAGTCCGAGAGCTTCACCTGCGGTTGAAAAGGGAGTGAGTGGTGGATCAGGAGGAAGTGGGAGCGTGGCTGTGCCAGGGACAGGATGGGACCTACCCTGCCATCGAGGGTCAGCAGGATGGAGTCACTCTTGATGTCCCGGTGGATGACACCCTGAGCATGCAGGTAGGCCAGGGCCTGCAGCACAGCCTCACACACAGTGGCAATCTGCTCCTCATTCAGCCTGGACAGGAAGGTGGGGCCACCCGATGAAAGAGAACGTTAGCTCTGGCAGGTCGTGGGGTGGCTGAGCAGAGTAGGAGTCCCTGGTGCTAGGCCCCACAGCTCCCAGGCAATCTGTTTGGCAGCACAGTCAGGCCATAGCCCTGGTGAAAACTGGGGCCTGAGCTTTGGCTAGAAGCTATCCTTCTCTTCTCCACTCCCAAGACCCCTGGGTCTCAGTTACCCCAGCAGGCAGGGGAGCCCAGGCATCCCAAGTCTTCTGGGCCACAGGCAGAAGACCACATTGCCCTGGCAGGGCCATGGTGAGGGCAGCCTGCACTCAGGGTCCAGCCCTCCCAGCTGCCCACCTGACTTGGGAGACGATGTCTGTGAGGGCTCCTCCCTGCAGGAACTCCATGAGCACCCACAGCTCCTCGCCCACCAGGTAGCTCTTGTACATCTCCACCACGTTGAAGTGCTGGTAGTCCCGCATGATCACCACCTGGGGGCAGGCGGGGGCCTGAGTGCCAGGCACAGTGCCCAGACGCATGGCCACCCACTGCCCCTGCTCACAGATGTCCAGCCTGGCTGGCTGCTCACTGCCCATCCCCAACGCCCCCGTCTGTGTCCCACCCTGTCCTCCCACCTCGTTGAAGAGCAGCTCCCTGCGCTGCTGCTTCCTGAGGTCCATCATCTTGACGGCCACCTGGCGGCCCGAGTGCTTCTCCCGGGCCAAGCAGACGATGCCGGTGGAGCCCTCGCCAATCTTCACGTAGCTGTCCAGCAGCAGCCGGGGGTCACCCTGGTCCACCACCATCCTGAGCGCAGCCTTGAACTGCTCATGTGTCACAACACCTGTGTCCTCACCAGCCAGGGCACCCTTGGCAACCGTGGGGTCCTGGGGCAGGTACAGGTTGCTGGTGCTGATCTGGGCGTGCCAGGTGCGGGGGGATCCCGCTGGGGAAGACCGGCCTGGAAGCTGGCCTGTGGCCGGGGCTGTGCGGAGGGACTTCTGGGGGCTGCTGGTATCCGAAGTGGTCAGAGGGCTGAAGGTCCCCACCGGCTGGTCCGAGGGCAAGGACTGGGCCTTGGCCACCAGGCTTGGGGGGTTGTCTTTCTGCGGCGGTCGGAAAGAGGAGTTGGGCTGCAGGGACAAAGCAACAGGAAGGGTCAGGGCTGTGGGAGCATTTGGAATAACCTTCCCGGAGGCAGGGGCTGGCCGCCGTGACCTCTGGACTCTGGCAGGGTCAGGCGGGGTATCAGATCAAACTAGGGAGGTGCTCTGAGCAAAGATTTTCAGACAGAGCTGAAGCCCAGTCACAGTCCTGTGCCAGCAGTCCCCCGCAGGGCACCAGGCTGGGCAGGCCCAAGACAGCTCCTTACACTCGCTCTGCTGCACCTGGGAAGACAGAGAAGGCCAGCTCCCCGCCGGGTCCTGCGCTGGGTATTTCTTCCTGGGCGATTGACAGCTAGACCCCAGGGAGGCTGCCGTGAGGCAGACTCTTCCTCTGAGCTCAGAGGCTGCTTGAAGAATCTGGGTCAGAGGCATTCTTCACTCCCAAGGCTCCCCCACCCCAGGACCCATGGGGGCAGAAGAGGCCTGGCAGTGGGGTGGGGAGCAGTGGGCAACTGTGTCTCCACTCCCTGAACCAAGGCAGGGGAGCCACACCTGGGGCCCGATAGCCCTGCCTGTGCCTGCAGCAGGGAGTTTGCAAATCTGTGCTGGGAGGTTATGTCCCTGACAGAGGACCACAGAGGTGTGTCACCATCTGGGGGGTTCTCAGGTGTCTCCCCTGGGCTGGGAATCTGGTGCCAGAGAGATCTGGAGTTAGGAGGGTAGGTCCAGCCAAACCCAAGCCTTGAGGCCAGGGATGGGGAGATGTCTTAAGGACCCCCTAAAGGAGTCCTTCCACTTCCTCCCTGGCATGAAACTCCTGGCTAAGGAGCCCCCGGGAGGGAGGAGAAGGTAGGGGGCCTATCCTCATTGGCTCTGGCAGGGAGGGAGGAAGGGAAGGTGGAGCTGAGGGGCAGCCTGGGCCCCCAGTGAGCCCTGCTCAGGCCCAGCCCTGGAAGCCTGCGAGGCTTCTTGCTTTTCCGAGCCCAAGCCCTTCTGCTCTTTCTGACAGGAAAGGTGCCCGCCCATCTTTGGGTTCTCCCCAAGGAGCGGTGATATGCACCATGACCCCTCCCAGGGATTACGTGTTTTTAAAGGGCACCTGGAGAGGGATGCTTCAGGGGATGCAGAAAAAGCCTTCTAGGAACTTCTCCAAACCCATCATGTAAGCCATTGTCTTAGGTGCCCAGTGGGTCCTGGTCCTGATCCCATAGCTGAAACAACTTACAGGAAATCTCAAGCAGTAAGTTTGGGCTGGGATGCTTGCTCAGGGACCCCAAACCCCAAATCTGGGCCTTGGGCCCCACCAGAGTCTTTTCAGTGTCTTTGGCAACCCTCACTCCCTTCCTTCCCCGACCCCCCGCAGCTTCAGGGCTTCTACTCTCCAGCCAAGTCCCTGGCCTGCTTAGGGTGGAATAGGCACTCCTGCTGGCCGACAGCCATGCTGGGGCAGACTTCTGCCACCCCCACACCTGCCTGCCCACCCGAGTGTGTGCTTGACCTTCACAGGAAAGAAGCTAGCAATCCTCCCAGGACTGCCTGGACTCACTCCATCCCTGATGAGTACATTTGGACAGTAAACATTCTCCCATGTCCTCGCCAGCACCTGACTGTCACCATCCACTGTGACACTGTGACACTGTCACCATCCACTGTGTAGTGGAGCAGTGGGACCCCTGGACTGGGCTGTCAGGACCTGGGGCCCAGCCCTGGGCTGCTCTGCCCTGTGATGAGCCTTAGGCAAGTCATCCTCTCTGAGCCTGTCTCCACTACAATGCAGGGACGTGTGCAGAGATCTGGGGAGCTAGAGAAACCGCAGACTTCCCGCCTCAGAGCCTGATTCGGTGGGAGCCTAGAGCAGAGACTGCATTTGAACAAGGTCCCTGGGTCCTAGGAGGCCCATGGAACATACTTTGAGAAACTCTGCATAAGTGGGCAGTATGATCTTACGGCCTCAGGGAGCCTCTGGGAGGGCTGTGAGGGGGGTGGAGGGCGCATGGCCATGACTGAGGCTGTGATACCAGGTCCTGGGAACAGAGGTTCCATGAGACGTCACCAGGCAGGGACAGGGAGGGAAGTGGGGCAGGGCTCACTGCATCACACAGTCAACCTGTAGAAAGGCTCGGGGCTCTAAGGAAGCTGCCTGCTGGCCTGAGTGTGGACTTAACTCAGAAAACATGCTCTCCAGGCACCCATCCAGGTGGGTCGGGGCAGAAGCTTGGGGACCACCTAAAGCTCCTCCTGAGGTGGCTCTGATGACCTCTCATCCTGAAGCTCCTAAGAAAGGCTGTAAAATGAGATCATTCCCCTCCTGGCCTTGAGGGCTTCTGCATGGGCCAGCTCTACTCTGAGGATGTGTGGGTACCACGTGGACAGGCTGAGGTAGGGGTTTCTTCCCTGTCTCCACAGGCCAGGTCCCTGTGCTGCTGCTGCTGCTGCAGGTGCTGGCTGGGCTCAGGGCGGAGCCTGCGTCTGGAGGCTGGGGGAGGGATGGCCCAGCCAGGAGCCCAGCACAAGCAGAGTCTGGGACATAGGCTGGGGAGTCTGGGGAGCTGGCTTGGTCTTCAGCCTGGCAAGGTCTGGTCTCTAGCATCCTTTCGTTGGCTTCACTGCCTGTCTCCACAGGGAGGGAGCTTTTATCAATGTAATCACAAGCAAGGACCAGATGAAACTTGTGAGGCCACACAAGAAAGGGAAAGGGGGACACGACAACAGAATTAATTAATTGTTACAGGCTCTGGATTAATTCTGAAGTTACTCATGTGATAGACCTCTTGGGAAGAAAGCCACTAGAAGAGTCATGCATACATTTACAGCAATGCCTCATTTCCCGCCCTGAGCCATGGCTCCCCAGCTGTGGGCTTAGGGGGCTATACCTTAAGTATCCTAAAGGGGAGAGGCCATGGCATAATATTTTTAAAAATAATAAAGCCGGCCTGGCATGGTGGCTCAGGTGCCTGTAATCCCAGCACTTTGGGAGGCCAAGGCAGGTGGATCACTTGAGGTCAGGAGTTCAAGACCAGCCTGGGCAACATGGTGAAACCCCATCTCTTCTAAAAATACAAAAATTAGTTGGGTATGGTGGAGCGTGCCTGTAATCCCAGCTACTTGGGAGGCTAAGGTGGGAGGATCACTTGAACCCAGGAGGTGGAGGTTGCAGTGAGCCAAGATTGTGCCACTGCACTCCAGCCTGGGCGAAAGAGGGAGACGCCATCTCAAATACTACTAATAAAGCCATTTATTGAGGGCTTACCACTTTGACAAGTGCCTTCAACGTACTATCTCATGTAATCCTCATAACCCTGTGGGTTGTTTGGTTGTCCTGTAGGCACTGGAACCCGCAGGACGCCCGTGGCTGCTGACTCCCATGCTGCAATCCCACTGGTGCCATGTATCCTTGACATATATCGGAGTACACGGTAGGTGCTTAACCAATGTTTGCCCTTCTGACTCTAAGTGGAACATGTCTAATCCCTGCAAGCTCCTAAAAAACTGTCTTGCCTCTTTGGTCTCTGTGCCCCCACGCCCTGTCTTCCTGATCTCTTTAGCTAGAGTGACTCCAGGCCTCACTGCCTGGGGCTAGGTACAGGAGCCCTGGAGTCTATACTCAGACCCTCCTGCAGCCATGCCTGGCACACTGCATGGCCTCTGTGGCCTAACTGCTGTTATGGAAGCTGCTGCAAGTGTCCAGAGTCAGCCCCAGTGCCAAGGGCTGCTGGCTTGATCTGGGGACTCCTGGGGTAGGTGGTGGTGGAGGAGGAGGAGGAAGGCTGATGCTCCCCATCTGTTATTGAATTTGCTTAAGGCAGTGGTTCTTAATGGGTGTGCTCGAGTGACATTTGGCAGTGTCTGGAGGCATTTTTGGTTATTCCAACCGAGGGTACCACCAACTTCTAGTGAGTAGAGGCCAGGGAGGCTGCTACAGTGCAAGGAGAGCCCACCACAAAGGATGGACTGACCTGAGCGCCTGCAGTGAGGACGCTGAGAAGCCCCGGCCCGGAGCAGCTCGGGGGGTCTCAGCTTGCCATTGAGAGGCTTGGCTTCAGAGTAGAAATCTTGAAAGATGTGTCTGAGTTGCCCAGAAGGAAACCACTCCCCTGGATTTGGAAGTATGGTGTTGCTGAGCTCGAGATAACTACCGCCTGCTCCCACAAGTATGGGGGACATCCCGGCATACCCAGCAGCAGTGGCCCATGGTGAGTACTCAGTACATTGTGCAGGGATGGACAGGCCTCTCCCCCTGCTGTGGGGTGCTGGCAGGAGCCCAGAAAGATGCAAATGAGTGCCCAGCCCAGTGTTGACAACCCCTTTCTCCAAATCCCTGAGGCCTCGCAGCAGGACTCCTGAGAGACAGAGGGAGGTCAAGCTCCGAATCTCACCTTCCCAGCAGGGTGCACTGTCCTGATCTTACGTTGGTTTTCTGGCTGAGTCTCCCCAGGGGCACAGCCTTCCAGACACCCTGCAGCTCACAGATGCTCGTGTTCCTCTCACAGATACATCAAGCCACAACCCATGGGGATCCCAACCCACTGTCCTTTAACCTAGTAGGGGACTAGAGTGCACAAAGCTCAGAACTTTCTCTTTTTTTTTTGAGACGGAGTCTCGCTCTGTCTGTCCCCCAGGCTGGAGTGCAGTGGTGCGATCTCAGCTCACGGCAAGCTCTGCCTCCCGGGTTCACGCCATTCTCCTGCCTCAGCCTCCTGAGTAGCTTGGACTACAGGCGCCCGCCACCGCGCCCGGCTAATTTTTTTTGTATTTTTAGTAGAGACGGGGTTTCACCGTGTTAGCGAGGATGGTCTCGATCTCCTGACCTCGTGACCCATCCACCTTGGCCTCCCAAAGTGCTGGGACTACAGACGTGAGCCACCACGCGCGGCCGCCCAGAACTTTCTCTGAGTACCTCAGCTGGCAGGCAGTGACCCAGAGAGGTTGTAGTCCGGGTCATCCCCAAACCCACACCCTGTGCAGGCTGGGCCACACTCACCCCACCGATGACAGGGGAGTACCCAGGCTTGTCTTAAAGCCCTCCCAGGAGGGAGGGGAGGCTCCATTACCCATGCCACTGTCAGCAGCCGTTTCTTAGGACTGCCTTTGACCCTCCCAGGAAGGAGCTAAAGAACAAGTGGCTGCTGTGCTTGTAAAGCCTTCATACGCAAGAGTCATGAGCCAAGAGGGCCCGGGCCGGACAGGCAGCCCCAGAGCACTCCCCACCTTCCTTCTCTGACTCACTCTCCATCATGCCTGGGGGTGACTCACCCTCTCTCTATCAGTCTCCTCCTCTGCCAAATGGGAAAAGAGGTTACTGTCACTATCAACAGGATGCTGGAGGGCCTGGAAGAAGCAAAAAGGTGCGCTCCACTCTGCCTGCCAAGAAATGTCACCACGGGGGCTCCCTTCACCCTTTCCTTTCTCACAAGAAAAATGTGCGTCTGAAGCAGTCACACATGCCACAAGTCGGCCTCCTGCTGCCCCTGGACTAGGCAAATCCAGCTTTTCCTATGGCCACACACTTGGGAACAAATACTGACAGAAATGGGAAACAACACAACAGCCACAGAGAAAAGAAGGAAAGGAAGGGAGGGAAGGAGGAGGCGAGCCACCCTCCTTAGAGAAGAGGTTACCGTGCACATTTCTGCCGCCTTAGGCGGAAGCAGTCCAGGGAGCCTCTTTGCCAGTCCTCCAAGGGGAAGGCTAGGCAAGGCCTGTGTCCCTACACCCACTCCCCAGTGGACACCTGCAGGCCAGGCTCCTGACTTACCTTGCTCTGTGGTGGAGGGCCTGGCTTGCTGCTGCTTGGAGGGGCTGTGGCAGCAGTGGACAGGAACATGCTTCGGAATAGCCTGCGCTTCAGGCTGCTCTCCCGGGTCTTAGGGCTAGGGCTGCCTTCCCCACCTGGCCTGCCTGTGGCTGAGCCCACCAGGCAGGACTGTGGCCGGGCCTCCTCAGAGCCATGCTTGGCAGCCTTCATTCCATGCCTATTGGTGCCCGTGGGGGGCGAGGCTCCTGGTGGGGAGCTCTGCAGGCAGGCACCCAGCTGCAGACAGCGCTGCGAGGCACCCTGAAACTCGGCGGGGCCCAGGGACTGTGCCTTTGCAGCCAGCCCATTGGGCAGGACCCGTGGGCTCTGTGGCTCGGGCCACGGCATCTGCTTGTGGCCTGCTGGTGTGCCCCCGTTGCAGCTGAGGTAGAGGCCGTGGGGGTCAGTGCGCTCAGACTGGGGGCTCTGGAGGTACATGTCTGGGTCGGTGGCCCAGTGCTCATCCCCCAGCAGCCCCAGGGACTGTGCCCGCCGCCGGCTGGTGGGGCTGCGGCCACGCAGGGTGTTGGAGCTGATGACTGACAACTTCTGGATGTCGTTGAGCAGCCCCGAGATGTAGCCATCCACAGGCATCGCGCTGCCCCGCACCACTGTCTGTAGGGGGAAGAGAAAAGAGTGTGTGGGAGCTGCCCAATTGTGGCAGGGAGGGGTGGCTGGGAGATCAGGGTCAGAGAATGTCCCTGGGGGCCCTGGGGAGGACCACCTAAGGACCTTCCCTGCTGTGTCATCCACCCATTAATTTTTCCATAATTTATCAGGGCCCACCGTGGGTCCCGCCTGTGCTGGATGCAGGGATGCGGGGAGAAGGCCCAGCGTCAGCAGAGCAGATGGTGAGTGCCATGGGGCTGCATCCAGCATGCCCAGGGGTGTGGTCGGCTGGGCCAGGGAGCTGGAGCTCAGGGGGCGGGGCTCCATTCTCTAGCTCCACGGGTGGCTGGGAGAGATGTGCCCAGCCCTCTGAGGAAGAGACACCAGGCCGGGGGCTCCTCCACACACACTGGCTTCGCAGCCTCCAAACCCTGATAGGGCCCCTGACCCCACCTTCTACCAGGCTCTTGGGTCTACTAGTCGTGACCCTCACAACTAAAATTCTCCTGGTCTGGGAGAGCCCTCAGTCCCTATGGGGCTGCAGGTCCAAATATTGAATGGGACACGTCCTAAAAGACTATTCGTTGTCATCTGAAATACAAATGCAATTGAGCATCTCACATTTTCATGTGCTGAATCTGGCAACCCCACCACCCTGCAGAGAGGGTCTCCCCAGCCTCCTTCGCCCTGGCTTACCCAGGGAGAGAATGGCAGGCTGACAGGCAGGGAGTTAAAACAGCTGATTAACTGATAGCTGTGAAGTAGGTGGTTCCTCCAGGGGCCTTTCTGAGGTTTAGCCAGGCATGGTTGTCTGAGTACTGGGAGAGGCTGAACCTCATCCCTGCCGGCCCCTCTTACCTTCATGGGCTGGAGCTGCACCCGTGTGATTCGCGAAGGGTCCACCACGGGCTTGGGGCGCCGCAGTGTGTCCAGGATGTTCTGCCATTGTGGGGGGAGGCCCACAAACTTGCCTTCTTTGGGGTCGAAGGAGGTGTGGACACGGTGCTGGAAGTTCTGTGGCGCTGAGATCTCAGGGCGTTTCTTCTTTTTCTTGCGGAACATGGTGCCTGTAAGTGCAGAGTAAGGTTGAGCTCCCTCCCGGGAAAGAGGGGTGGCTGCAGCAGGGCCTGGGGCACCAGGTTCAGGGCTCCCTCCCCTCCCCCAGCACAGCTCCCCTAGAAGCCTAGGGCTTCCCTCCACCTCCATCTCTGCTTCCTCAGGGAAATGGCTGGCTCCCAGCAGAACAGTCCCAGAAACAACAAACGTGCCATAAATAAGCCAGTGCAGACTATAAACAAGGAAAAGAGGTGTCTTCTTGCCTGTGCCAAGTCCCCTATGGAGCAGGCAGACTCTGGGGGTGTGTTTTTATAAAATCCAAAGCCCATTACAAGTATCATTCCACTGTCTGTCAACGAATTTTAAAAATGGGGAAAGAGGGAGGAAAGTTAGCAAGCTTGTTTTATGAAACGAGTATGACCTTGATTCTTAAAACCAGATAAGGAGAGTGCAAGAAAAGGAAAATTTGACTCAATATCATTTAGGAACGTAACTATGAAAATCTTAAAACTATCGAATTGAATCCAACAGTATATTAAAGTTATTTTTTTGTTGGCTTTTTTTTTTTATTACAACTCAGCTTTGTCCCAGGATGGTTGAACCTGTTAATATGATACGTTAATAAAAAGCCAACCAGCTGATCACAGACATGCTGCCCGGTGTGGGACTATTATGTATCAGGGAGCCCCCAAAGGGCCTTCATGGTTACCATGTGCTTTACCTCAATTCCAGAAAGGCCCTGAGCCAAGAGGATAGCCTGGGGTGGGTGAGGGGCAGCTAACTTAGGGGTAAAGCTCTCCAGAGAAGGCAGAGAGCACCACCTCCCCTTGACACTCTTCTCTCTGGTATTGGAGCTCTATGTAAAACATCACCTGGGCCGGGCATGGTGGTTCATGCCTGTAATCCTAGTACTCTGGGAGGCCGAGGCGGGTGGATCACCTGAGGTCAGGAGTTTGAGACCAGCTTGGCCAACATGGTGAAAACCTGTCTTGACTAAAAATACAAAGAAATTAGCCGGGCCTGGTGGCACGTGCCTGTAGTCCCGGATACCCATGGGGTTGAGGGAGGAGAATCGCTTGAACCCAGGAGGCTGAGGCTGCAGTGAGCTGAGATTGCCCCACTGCACTCCAGCCTGGGCAACAGAATGAGACTCTGTCTCAAAAAACAAACAATAAAACACTTAACCTGCAATCAAGCCTGTGTCCCGTGCCTTGCTGATTCTGGCTTTGCCTAAGGTCGTGCTGAGCTGCATACACAGAAGTGACACAGGCTTGCAATGGATAGCATGGGTAGATCTGAGAGTGGGGAACTGGGGGCCTGGGAAGGGGAGGGACACTTCCAAAGGGTTGCTCTAGTTTCGCCTTCAGGGGATCCCGGACCTGGGATCACATGTTGATGGCAGACAGGGCCAGGGCTGCCTCTTGAATGCTTTTGGATCTGAAGAGGCTCAGAACAGCTCACTGGGTTCTTATGTATCTGAAAAGGTCACTTCCAGGCTTCAAGAAACTGAAACATGATTCTTGAACTGAAAGCTTGGATTACTCATCCGCCCGAAGATCTGGAGTGCAGGGCCGTCATGTTCTCTTTTGGCTCTTGCTATGGAAACAGCATTTTCCTAGTCATTTTGGCAGGTTCTGAAGGAGGTCGCAGATCTGGGAGGCAGCTGGCAGAAAGGCAGGGACCCTGGACAGCCAGTGGTTCCCCACTAGGAATTCACCATGCGTGACTCAATCAGAGCCCACGTCACATCTCAATGTCAGCCATGCTTCTGGGTCTTGAGGTTCGGGATCCACCGAACACCCCCTAGAGGTAGAGCCACATGTACAGGACCCTTACAGACCAAGCCCTTTGGAATAAAACAACCTGTGTGAGTTGCAGATGAGTTGTAGGGAGTCTCCCACTAATAATTTGGAGAGATTTTGAACAAATAACTGAAATGATCTGAGCCAGGGGGGTTAATGAAAGACAGCTCATAGGGTTTAGGGTGTGTGAAGTAAGCAGAGTCCCCATACATGACGGTTGTTTCTCTTGTGATGTCACCTCTCTTTGAATCCCTGTCTTGAAGCTCAGGCCCTCCAGACACTGGCACTTGGGCAGATACAAGTCTGGGAGTAACACCAAACCACTTTCTGCTCAGACTTACCAGTCAAAGGGGTCATGCCTGATGTCAGGGGTCTGGGACCTGGGGACCTCGCCATATATACATCATGGTTTGGTAAAATTTGTCCTCCTCCTTTTGGCCTTTGCCTTTTTTGTTGTTGTTTGTTGTTGTTGTTGTTGTTTTTGAGAAGGAGTCTTGCCGCCCTGTCGCCCAGACTGGAGTGTAGTGGCACCATCTGGGCTCACTGCAACCTCCACCTCCCGGGTTCAAGTGATTCTCTTGCCTCAGCCTCCTGAATAGCTGAGATTACAGGCACCCACCAACATACCCGGCTAATTTTTGTATTTTTAGTAGAGACGGGATTTCACCATGTTGGCCAGGCTGGTCTCGAACTTCTGACTTCAAATGATCCACCTGCCTTGGTCTCCCAAAGTGCTGGGATTACAGCCTTTGCCTTTTGCTACAGAAGAGTCTTTATTCAGCAGGTCTATTCCCCCAGTCCCTTGGATAGACCTGCTATCCCTGGATTAGTTGAGCTGCCTGTTTCGCCCTCCTCCCTAGCTCTGTGAAATCTTCTGGAGGTGCAGGGACACAGACTGCAGCTGAAGAAGAGCTGGTGAATCCGCCCCCCACCACCCACCCCAGAACAGCCCTCTCCCCAACTCCCCTGCCCCACCCAAGCGCTCAGCTTTTGCTGTGGGGATGCACAGGGAGAGCATCTTTAGCAAATGGTCTCTGACTCTGGGAGCCTCTCTTGAGTCCATTCTAATAGTGAGCCATTCCGGAACAAGTTCTTCCCAGAGGCAGCAGGGAGGCTGGAGAAGAAAGAAGGACAGCCCAGAGGGTGTCCCAGGGCCAGGAGTGGTGATGGTGAGGGTGGGAGTTGGCAGAAGCAATCAGCTGAGCTCAGGCTTTGGGGGCTAGGGAGTAGAGCTTTAGAAACCAGAGGCCATCACTTAGGTCTGGAAAATCAACCAATCAACCACCTAAAGGGAGGCAGCTAGGACTCATCTGAAATGTGGTGAGGCCAACACTGTGTGGGACAACATAACTGTGTAAGTAGAAAATGCGGGAGAATCTACATAAAACTGGGATTAAGGGAGTGAATTTAGAAGGTCCCTGATTCAAGGTCAATATATATATATATATTTTTTGAGATGGAGTCTCGCTGTCTTGCCCGGGCTGGAGTGCAGTGGTGTGATCTCAGCTCACTGCAATCTCTGCCTCCCGGGTTCAAGTGATTCTCCTGCCTTAGCCTACTGAGTAGCTGGGACTACAGGCGCACGCCATCACGCCCAGCTAATTTTTGTATTTTTAGTAGAGATGGGGTTTCACCATGTTGGCCAGGATGGTCTCGATCTCTTGACTTCATGATCCACCCGCCTCAGCCTCCCAAAGTGCTGGGATTACAGGCATGAGCCACCGTGCCCAGGCTCAAGGTCAATATTTTAAAAAATCAACTGGATTTCTACATACCAGTAACAACATGAAATTTTTAAAAAGGGCCAGGCGCGGTGGCTCACGCCTGTAATCCCAGCACTTTGGGAGGCCGAGGTGGGCGAATCACGAGGTCAGGAGATAGAGATCATCCTGGCTAACACGGTGAAACCCCGTCTCTACTAAAACTACAAAACATTAGCCGGGTGTGGTGGTGGGCACCTGTAGTCCCAGCTACTCAGGAGGCTGAGGCAGGAGAATGGCGTGAACCTGGGAGGCGGAGCTTGCAGTGAGCTGAGATCAGGCCACTGCATTCCAGCCTGGGCGACAGAGCGAGACTCTGTCTCAAAAAAAAAAATGAAATTTTTAAAAAGATATCATTTTACATTAAAAATACAAAATATCTAGAATAAATCTAACAAAAAAATACAAAGTCCTTATATTGGAAAATACAAAACATTATTAAAGATATTAAAGAATGTTCATAGATGAGAAGGTTCAATACTGTAAAGATGTCAATTATTCCCAAGTTAACCTGCAGATTAATTTAAATCTCAAACAAAATCCCAGCATATTTCCTTTGGTAGAAATTGATGAACTGATTCTAAAATGTATACAGAAATATAAAGAACCAGGAATAGCCAAGACAATCTTAATGAACGAAGTTGGAGGATTGTACTAAATAGATATTAAGATTTATTAGAAAGCTACAATAATTAATTTAGTATGGAATTGGCAAATAGGCAATAGGCAAATAGGCAAAAATTGGCAAATTTAGTACGGAATTGACAAATAGACCAATGGAACAGAAGAGAGAATCCAAAAATAGACCCACTCTTATGAGGTCATTTGATTAATGACAAAGGTGACCCTGCAACATGCTGGGGGAATGGATGATGTTTTTAATAAATGTAGCTGAAGTAATTTGATATCTGCATGGAAAAAAAATAAACCCGGAAGAATGAGCTCATATCATACTCCAAAATTATGCAGACAGATCACAAACCTCAATGTGAAAGGTAAAATAATAAAGCTGGTGGGAGTGACGGCGGGTACCCGTAGCCTGACTCTCACCTCCCTCAGGTCTAGTGTGATCATTATGAGGGGCCCGATTTGGTGGTCTCTCCTGGATCCCACGACCTGCTGGGGCCTAAACCTGTCCACAGTCATGGGTCCCAGACACAAATTAAACTATCAAGGTTTACTTTGGCGAAAGTGGAATTCTTGATGATATAGATTAGGGGTAGGGGGTTTTTAAAGATTTTGCCAATGGTAATTTGTCAATGCAGTGTGAATACAATGGCTATTTGAAGGAAATACATCAACATATTAGTTGTCCCATTTACCTGGTGGGGCTACAGGTGATCTCCTTCTATTCTATCTTTCTACTCTTTTTCTAAGTTTTCCTTAAAGACGACGGATTGCTTCTCTAAAAAAAAACAATTTTTTTTTTTTTTTTTTTTTTTTGAGACAGCGTTTCACTCTGTTGCCCAGGCTGGAGTACAGTGGTGCGATCTTGGCTCACTGCAACCTCTGCCTTCCAGGTTCAAGTGATTCTCCTGCCTCAGCCTCCCAAGTAGCTGAGACTATAGGTGTGCACCACCACGTCCGGCTAATTTTTGTATTTTTAGTAGAGATAGGGTTTCACCATGTTGGCTGGGCTGATCTTGAACTCCTGACCTCAGGTGATCCACCCGCCTTCAGCCTCCCAAAGTGCTGGGATTACAGGCGTGAGCCACCGCGTCCGGCCAAAAACAAAATATTTTTAAATACAGAGAAGAGTGATCCATGGAGGCTGAGTGCCTAAGAGACGTTCATCCACCTGAACGGGACCAGTGTTGCCCCAGTCATCGCGAGTGAATCACCCAGGACAAAACATGCCCTGCCTCTCCCCAGCATCAGGCTGTGTCCTCAGAGCACTCCCACCCGGTCAGCCAGGGCCTCCGCTTGCCATTTCCAGGGCTCCTTTTCCCATCCATGTCTCCAAGGCCACTGGGCTGAGGGAGGTGGCTGCTGCACCAGCCATGGGGCCCCAAGGTTAAGTCAAACAGGCCATGCCAGCTGTTACTGTCGCCCCTCTAGCATCTCCATCTGCACGCAATTCATCTAGGGGAGGAGCTTTCCTCCAAGAAGACACCAGGAGGAGGAAGGAAGGGGACTCCCCCTCAGAGAGCCAGACCCTGCCGTTTCTCCTGCCCAGCTTGAAAGAAGTGATGTGAGCCTAAGACCCTGAAGTGGAAACAAGCAGAACGGGGTGGCCAGCTCGGGCACAGCCCCAGCCCCTCCTGGCTGACACTTCGCCTTAACACAGGGGAGGGAGGCCACACTGAAGATTCCACCTCAGGCTGGAAAGGCACTGCCGTGTGTGAGGACTGCTTTGAACTTTTCTCTTCTGGATGTCTGCAGGCATCTTCCTGCTGGCTAACGCATGACTGCATCGGGGGATGCCCAAGGCCTGGGAGGGAAGGGTCCAGCCCAAACCAGTTCAAGAAGGAAGCTCCCCTGCTGTGGGGCTTCCTCCAGCCGGAGCCTGGCCAGTGGGGACCGACGGTTCCTGGCACACACTTTCTGGAGGAAATGCTGCTACCCCCAGTAAACCTGAGGGCGGAGCTGGTGGACAGTTCAAGGAGCTATGTACCTGGGGTCACTGAGGGGCGGGACAGTGGTGTTGGAGGAGCAGCAATCTCAGACACAGAAAGGGAAGAAACTTTTCTTGAGCACCTATTATGTGCTAAGCCCCTTCCGAGGGTTAGCTCATTTAACCCTCACAGCAACCCTGAGAGAAGGAATTGTTATCCACAAATCCAGATGAGGCTCAAAGAGGTTCAATAGCTTGCCTGAGGCCACAGAACCAGGAAATGACTGAGTTGAGGTTTGAACCCAGATCTGATTCCAGAGCCCCTGCTCCGTCCACCATGCTTACCCCGGACTGAGTCAGCTGTGGTTCTTCTCCCTCTCTGGAGGTCTTTATGAACAGAAACGGGCAAGATGTGCGTGAGGTATGTAGGACAGGGCTGGCCCCTCCAGGGAAGAAGCCTGCTGAATTCTTTCCTGGGCTGACCTGTGAGTCAGAGGCCAGGGGGCCTGGGGCTGTCCTAACTTGCAGGCTGACCCTTATCTTGCAAGGAACCAGGTGTTTTTCCACTCAGCAAGGGGTGAGTAAAATGTTTCCAAGAGGTCATGGTGGGGGCTGTGATGGTCAGGGCCTGGCATCTAGGAAAAGCTACAGAAACAGCAGGCGTGTGTTCTGTCCAGCACAGGATGCATCCACAGCCCCTCTGTAGGGGCTCAGCCTGAAGCCAGGCGACCCACAGGCTTGGCTTGAGGAGGGGGTGAGTAAGTTTTGTGGCGGATGCTACTGTTCCACAGAGACAAGGGGATTCCCAGAGCATGGCACTGAGGCTTGGCTGGTCTAGTGTCCACAGATGAGAAAAGCAGCTGCACTGTGGGTGGGCCACCCTCCTCAACGTCTCCTCCCTGGAGAGGAGACATCCATGGGCCAGGCCCTGGGATGCCAGGGCCACCAGAGCCATCAGGGCCCCACAGATGCAGGGTGGCACTACAGAGGATGCCTGCCGTTAAACCTCAAGCCAGAGCATGGGCATTCAAATGAGCATTGCTGTGCGAGACAGACCACTTGGGAATGTACCTGCCTGTTTCAAACATGCTCTGGCATTTCCAGAACTCCTCTTTGGGAACTGCCTTTGGAGACGTTATGAGCCCACCTCAGCTGTCCTCCTAACCCGTCACCCCGCTTTTCACCAGAAGTGGTGGTATCCCACGTGGTCACCCACCTGACCCTCCAGACCTGGCCTAGAGTGAGTTTGGGCTGTTTGCGCATACTGAGTCCCTTTCAAGGAAAGGACACAGCCCACCGAAGGGATTCACAAGAACGCGCTGAGGCTGGGAAGCTGGCTTCCAGAAAGTGAGTCTAAAGGGGTTTGCAGCCACCCGGAGGGGTCAGCGTTGGGCTGGCTGTGTAAGCGCTGGGATTGCTGGGAAGCTGTTAGAAATGAAGCTGGTGGAATTCCCTGCCATTTGCGGGCGACTGGGAAGAGAGGAGGCCGCTGCCTAGTGGGCCAGCTCCTGGGTTGCTCAAGGTGCCAGGGGGTGAGAGGGGGGCGGCAGGCCCAGGCTTTCTCACAGTGAGGCTCAGGGTCTGCTTACCAGGGCTCAAGTCCTGGGCCACAAGCCCGAGTGCTGGCTCAGCGTGGACCTTGGGCTTGGTGTTCCTAAGTCCCGGCTTGTGACCTTGGCCTACTCGCCTTACGTAGGCCTCGACATTTTTGTAGATGACAAGGGATGGATTAATTCACCTCTGCCAGCTTCTCCAGGCACAGTGAGGGGGAGCATCTGTTCCTGCTCACGGAGGAGCTTTGGATATTTCTCACGGTCGTCACTCAGGAAGAGCCTAGCATAAGACGGAAGTAGCAGGCTCTGGGCTGAGCATTTCACACATGTGATCTCCTCGCCACAAGCCTGTGAGGTAGCACTAGTACTGTCTCCATTATGCAGAGAAGGAGAGACTAAGTGACTCATTCAAGCCGAGAGGCAAAGAAGGGGCAGACACGAGTCTGACCCAGGACCTGATGTGAACTTGGCTGCAGTGGCCATCTGCTCCTACCACCACCCTCTGTTATTCTCAGGCCCATCCAAGACACTCTGGGGAAGGGCCTATCCTAGAATCACAGCCCCAAGACAGAGGTGAGCCCCGAGTGCTACAAAACTTAGGAAAGCACTCTACTACCATCACCAACCTGTCAGAGTGGCCTCCAGAGGACCCTGTCACCTCCAGGGCTGGGCCCTGACATGCTGAGACCTGCAGCAGGGTTTCTTGACCTCTTTGTAACCCCCTTTGGGAACTGTCATCCCACACACATTCTGACAGGTGACAGGCCTCACCTGACCCCTTGGCTGAGAATTACCGCGAACAGAAGACAGCCTTTCACTGGAATATTCTCATTGGCCAGAAGGATTTTTCTCAAACTTTACTTTCAGAAGTTTGTTTCAAAAAAAAAATTTTTTTTTAGAGACAGAGTCTCACTCAGTCGCCCAGGCTGAAATGCAGTGGCGCGATCAGAGCTTACTGCAGCCTCGAACGTCTGGCCTCAACCCACCCTCCCACCTCAGTCGCTTGAGTGGTCAGGACTAGAGGAGCATACCACCGTGCCCAGCTGGGAAATTATAGTATTCCTTTATTCAGAAAGTATCTATTATGGACCTACTCTACTCCAGGCTCTGGGGACCATGGTAAACGAGAGGAAATCCTCACTCCTGTGTGGTTTAGTTTGCTTCTTCCAAACAGGTGTTGCTCTAGGCCAACCTTCTGCAGCCAGAAGAGATGGTAGTGCAGGATCTGTGGCACTCCTGACGGGGTCTGACCTTCCCCTTGGCCCAAAGTTCAGTCCCTCTGGCATTCCCAACAGGAGGCTGCCCGCACTCTGCTAGAACTCATTCAGCGATGAAAAGCTCCCCCTGCAGCCCCTGCCTTCTGTCCCCTCTGTCCCCTCGCTGATCCTTGTGTGGAGCTGAACTCTGTCTCACCTCAGCCTCTACTGGGGTCCGAGTCTGCCATCTGCTCCTCTTCACGTGACTTGAGAGTCAGGAGAGGTGGCACCCCAGCACCCTATCCTGGCTCCCAAAATACACGGGGGAAGGAAATTTCATCTGCTTTTCTGCTCAGCTGTCACCTGCGGGGGAGGAGGGTCCTAGACGCAGGTTGTGGCCCTCATGTGGATGCCCACAAGATTCAAACAACCTGCTCAGGGTCAGTGTGCTGAAGTGCGGAGAGGCCCTGGGAGGATGAGCAGGACCCTGAGGCTCTGCTGTCCCACTTGAGGGACCCAGACAGATGCAGCATGGGCCAGGGCAGACAGCATGACATGCAACCTGCCAAAATGTTTGGGCTCTCTGCCTTTGTCACTATTCCCATACCACTGGCCCCAGTGAATCCCCAGGGGAGAGATAATGGGCTGCTGTTTAAAAGAATACAGTAATACAGCTCATTCAGTCACTTGTGTCAACAGGCGTGAGCCACCGCGCCCGGCCTACCCTAGATTCTCAACAGCCTCTGCACACAGAGGTCTGAGTCCTTAGCATAGGGTCCTCAATGCCTAGCTAGGACCCTATGCTAAGCATTGGAACCTCTGGCATTGGAACCCTATGCTAAGCAGAAGGAACCTCTGGCATCCCTAATCACAAGATTGCCTTTTTTTCTACAGCTCTTAACTTTCCAGACCTCTATTTCACCTCCTTAACACTCACAACTTTACACTCACAACACCATTGTGAGTTGGGCTGAACCTGCTTTCCTGGGCCCATTTTAAAGACAGCAGGGAGCTGGAGAGAGAAGGAGGAGGCAAGAAAAGAAAGGTATGCTTATAAAGTGCCCACCACATGGATAGACTGTGCTAGGTGCTTTTTATTAGTACATCTAATGGCTAATTGTAGCTACTGCGAGCTCTGTTTTACAGATGAAGAAACTGAGGCTCAGAGAGAAGTAATTGTCCAAGACAGTAAGTGTGGAGCTGGGATTCAAAGTCAGATCTCTCCGACTCCAAACTCCAGGCTCATCCACAATGCCCAGTGCCCAGAGAAGTCAAGTGACCTGCTCTGGATCACACAGCTATGCAGAACAGAGATGGGACTGGAAGCTCAAGCCAGAGGCTCCCTCTATCCCAGGCAACAGTTGAGGTTCCAGGGTCACCCATGAACACATGAACATGTGTGATGTGCAGGGGGCGCTGCTGTTTCTGATGCCCAAGCCAGATCCTCTTCCAGGAATGGCCCCTTCCCTGGGTCACCACGAGGTCCAGAGACCCTGAATTAGGGTCTCTCACTACTCGCCCTCCAAGGACCCCTACCTTTACTTTATTCCTATTGCTTTGCTCTAATACCCTCTGACAATAGCTTGCCAAACAGCCAGACTGCCCTCAAAGCTCTCCAGGATGGGAGAACTTGGAGTGGCTTAGCCCTTCCCAACATAGCAGCTGGAGGCTGATGAGGCAGTTACTCCCCACAACCGCCTAATGAGGAGGAAGGCATTCGCATTCCCATTTTACAGATGAGGCCATTTATAAGTTTGTAGAGAAGTGAAGCAACTTGTCTAAGGAGTCAAAGGCAAAGTCTGGATAGATTCAAACCCCACTCTCTTCGGTTCCAAATGTGTCTTCGGCCACTGTCCTATATACTATGGAGGAGAATTCATGGCACTGCAGGCTGAACCTCACCTTGCATGGAACCAGGCGTTTTCTTATCCAATGCGGCAACCTATGCCACACCGGCCACCAAAAACGAGCATGGACACAGACCTGAGCCCCTCTGCCCCCTTCACCCAGAAAAACAAGTCAGAAAAGCCCCCAAAAAACCACCAGAATGGGGCAAGATACAGAAAACGCAACCTACACCCTGGGAGCTCTTCATGGCTTAGCCTCCAGTGCTCCCAGCAGCACCTACACTCCAGATCGGATGCCACCTGAGCAGGTCTGGAGATCTGGGGAATGAGCGGTGGGCTGGGATGTGTGGAGCGGCAGCTTCACCTGTAACTCCTGCGGGAGTCTCCCACGGCTGCCTCCCACCCTGCCCTGCACAGCCACTGGGCCTGCCACCACCCTTCCTGTTTGGGAACCTCTTCCCCGGCATGAATTCCCTGCACTCTGCCGCGGTGACACCCTCACCCAGGACAGGCATCAGACCTGAAGATGGGCCCGGGGGCAGGGCGGGCCATTTGAGGTCTTGACGTCTACCAGCCTACCGTGGGGCCATGGGGCAAAGTGGTGTAAGTGACTTAACATGCACCCACTAAGGATCGAGAGACGGCACCTGGAAGGGACCACCTCCGCTGCCTAGCAGTACCAGGAAGGAGCCAGCCCAGGAGGGCCACCTGCCTGCCCACTGTCCCTCCCTGCCTGCTCTTCAAAATGGGTGCAGAAGGCTCTAGGGCCGGGGGCCGCTCGCTCACTCACCTTCCGGCGCCTTCCGCCTCTTCCTCGCGACTCCTCACCCGCACTGGGCCTCTCTCTTAGGCGCTGAGGAGAGGGAAGACCTGGGACCTTGCTGGGCCAGTCCTCCGCAGGCCTGCGCGGAAACAGATCAGAAATGCATTATGGCAAATGTAGCAAGTGTTCCCGCGGGTGTTGCGACTGGCTGACGTCCAGGCGCTGGGAACCGCTCCGCGCCCGCCTCCCGACTGAACTCCTGGCTCAGGTGCAAGAGGCGGCAGGCTCCTTGCGGGGCTTACGGGGAGAAGGGGACGTTGGGCGCAGCACCGCTTCCGGGGCGGCCCCTCTCCAGCCACACTCCGACCCGGCGCGGCCACCCGGCCCCAGCTCGCAGGCCCCACTGCTGCGCCCTCTCGGGGACGCGAATGCCCCGCGCCGGGCGGGCGCCCGCGGAGGGAGGTCCCGCTCCAGGGACGCGGAGCTCCAGATGCCTGCGCCCAAGGCCCCTCGCCTGGCGCCGGCTGGTCCCGAACTTCGGGGCATGGGCACCCAGGAAGGGGGCTGCGCGTGTTGGGAGGCCCGTCCTCTCGCCGCGAACCTCCGGGGCAGCCGGGGAACCCACCTGCGGAGCGGGAAGCCCAGGAACGCTCGAAGAGGTCGTGGGAGCCGGGCCCGCCCTCCGCGGGAGGGACCTCGGCGCGGGAACGCCGAGGAGGGGCCGCGCTTACACGTTGGTGCAGCGCCGGCTTCACCTGACCGCGATTTTGATTTCAGGGTGTGGCCTCAGGTAGGACGCGGCGGCGAACCCAGAGCGCGGGAGAAGTTGCCAAGTGTCGCTGGGGCCTTGGCCAGGAGCCCCTCTGCCCGAGGGGCGCCGTGCTGCTCAACTCTTTCTCTCCACCTGCTTGGCCCCAGTTCCCGCCCGCCCTTCGCCTCCGGGCCCTGGCCTGGCCACAGCCGCGGGGACCTGCCTGCGGCTCCACGGCCCAGTGGCCGCCTCGCGGAGACCCGACCTGGAGAATCAGCTGAGCGCCGGCTGTGTGTAATCACCTCGTTCACTGGCATCGCAGATGCACGCTCCAGAGCCGCGGGCCGACTCTCCCGGACCTGAGCGGGCCGCGTGTGCCCACCCACACATCCTGGAGAGCCCACGCGGGAGTCGGAAAACCTGTCACCTTGGATGATCTGTCCCATGTGGACAGGGCCCCAAGACTGTGCTGGGGTAGCCCCTTGCGCAGGCAGGAAAGCGGGATTTAAGGGATTCCAGTTCCCTTGTCAGCCCTTGCGCAGTCCTGAGTCCTGAGGACTTTCTAGCCTGAGAGTCCTAGGGCAGGAGACCCGCACCCCCAGAGCGGCTAGGGCCTGTTTCGGAGCCCCTCCGCCTGTGATTTTGTCCCAGAGTCGGCATCCTCTGCTTGTCCTCAGCAGTCCCTGCCTAAGATCAGAATGGCCATTCCAAGGGGCTCACTCCTGGCTGCCCCTGTGCCATGTTTCTTTTGGGGTACAGGGTGTTTTCTATACTGGGGGAAGGGACAGGAATCACTCATCTCTTCCCCAGATAAAGAAGTGAGAAGACCTTTGCTCTCCTTGTCTTGGGCCCCCAGAGAAAGGCTGTGTTCTGGCTGAGTGCTGAGGAAGTTCTGGCTTGGAAACTCAGTACATGTGGACTCCAAATGGCTGCCGTCAAGTGGTGGCTGGGTGACTGCCAGTGTCACAGAGCGGGGACCAAGGACAGTGCAGGGATTTTAAAAATCATTGTTGGGCACCTCAGACTTCAATGATTAACTGAGGTCACTATGGCCACTTATTTTTGTTCACTGATTCTTTAGACGCATCAATCTACTCACGGCTCAATCTTTTGCATTATAGGCTGTATTGGTTTCACACAATTTACTCTAAGGCGCCCACCTAATAGAGCTCAGGCAACCCGTGGGAACCTGACAGTCCCAAACAGGTCTGTACCCTGTGTGGCTGCACCACAAGCCCAATGCCCTCGGCTTTCCTAGGGAAAGCATGGTGCCAGGTGCAGATGCTGGCCCTCTGTGCTGTGGGACAGTGGTGTGGGAGCCAGCCAGCTAACCATACCCTGCTGCCATCCCCAACATCCCCAACACATATTTATATTTAGTTTCTGTTCTCCTCCCCTTACTCTGTCGCCTCCTCCTCCTCCTCTTTGTGTCTTTCCCACGCGGATTCTTTCTCTTTCCTCTGAGTGGACAATACTGTAGGCCTGACCCGCTTAGACAAACTCTGACCTCCTGTGGTCACCCAGGAAGCTGACTGCTAGGCCTTGGATGAGGGGGCAGTGGGAGGGGGACCAGGTGATACCAGAATGGCTCCCCCCACAGATTCGTTACCCAAGGACATGGGTACACTGGTCGAATGCTGGCTGCAGAAGCAGAATGTGCTGCGTGGAGGTGGCAGAGATTGGTTGCTGAGGATTTGAAATGAACCATGAACCAAAGCTAGAATGAAAGCATTATATTGTCTAACCTAGAATCGACACCCTAAATTATTTTTACTGATTCATGAATGCATATGTGAATTATTTTCTTTGACTACAAATGCCTTATATACCCAAATCACAGCTCCAAGCAGTACTTTTGAACAGAACTACAATAAAGTATGAATGTTAGATTATTACCAGAAATGAACTGGTATTCAATTTGGTTTGAATCCAGGCTTAGGTACCCTAGAATGGCGACTAGCCAAGTCCCATCCTCACCCTATAGAGAATAACTCTAGGAAACCCTGGGTTCCTCCCACCCCTTGGGAGCTACAGTGGGTTTGGGGCCTTGAGAGAGGCAGAAGGTCAAGTTAGACTGACCAAGGAGGTAATGAGTCCCCCATCACTGGAGGTATTCAAGAATAACCGTCAGTTGGGTAGGCCAGAGAACTGGATACAAGACTAGACTAGGGAATCCCTCAGGTCCATCACAACGCCAGTTTTCTGCACTTCCAGTCTCGTCTACATGAGGTTCAGCTGCACCGGGTTGCACGATCCGCCCCGTTGCCACCCCTCTCCCCACACATTGAGACAGCTGGGGATACACACTGAATCATCCATTCAGGGTAGGTCCTGAGTGATTAATTCCTGTGTGTGACTCTCCCCCTTCTCTATTCTCCTCTGATCCGTGCCCAGCTCAGCCCTGCCCAGGAGGAAAGGGCAGAACAACAGCACAGGAAGTGTCAGGAGCAGTCTGGGGACAGTGTCTCCTGCAGCATCCATGTGCCACCCTCTGGCCTTGTTCCCAGGTTGCCGTGCTGAGCACAGGGGGCTCCAGGCACATCCTCCTTTGAGGAGCCTTGGCTGCTGGCACAGACCTTCTGGTTGAAGGAATTGTCCAGGCACTCCCATTCTACAAATTGGGTAGGATCTCTGGAAGAGACACCCAAAACAGACATTTCACAGGGGGACATGGCTCTTGGAGTGGTGCCATCTCAGAGGCATTGGCAGGCCAGTATGGTCTGGGAGGGCAGCAAGGTGGGCACATCGGGTGGGGCAGGCACTTCCCGGTTATCCCTCAGCCTGTGGCTGTCGGGGCCTGTTGTAACATCTGAGTGCCAACAGCCAGGGCTGAGTGCTCGGGCTAGGGCCAAAGAGGAAAGATAGGGATCAGCTTGTGGTTTAGAAAGACAAACACATTATCCCTTCCCTGCATCTTTCTGCTCCATGACTTGAAAAGTTTTCTGGGGATGAGGAAGGCGACTAACAAGCTCTTTTACTCCGTTCAGACTCCTTCCTCTGGGCGACTCAGCCCTCCCCTAATAATAGAAATAGTAATGGCTGCCAATGATGGCATGCTTCCCGTGGGCCAGGCCCCGTACAAAGCTATGTACCTGTGCTACCTCCCTTAGTCTTCACAAGAACCCTGGGATGGAAGTCCTGTACAATTATTATTCGCATTTTACAAATGAGGAAACTGAGGCTCGGAGTGGTTAAAGAACAGATGAAGGTCTCATAATTACTGCTATAGACTGAATGTTTGTGTCCCCCCAAGATTCATCTGTTGAAACCTATGTCCCCCAAGATTCATCTGTTGAAACCTAATCACTAATATGAGGGTATTAGGAGGCGGGGTTGTTGGCAGGTGATTAAGTCACGAAAGCAGAGCCCTCATGAATGGGATTCATGCCTTTATGAAAGAGGCCCCCAGAGAGATCCCTGGCCCTTTCCATCATGTGAGGTTATAGCAAAAAGACAGCCAGCTCTGAACCTGGAAGCAGGCCCTCACCAGACACCGGATCTGCCAGCACCTTGCTCTTGGGCTTCTCAGCTTCCAGAACTGTGAGAAATAAATTTCTGTTGTTTATAAGCCACCAGTCCATAGTATTTTGTTATCCAGTCCAGAAAGACTAAGTAAGCCAGTTACTGAGGGGAGGAGCTGGAATTTGAACGGAAGTGTATCCGACCCCAAAGCTGGTTCTCTCAACTCTGCTGCTTAGAGGCTGCTGGTGCCATGGAATGTTTGAACGGGCAGTGGGGAGAGACCAACTCAGACCTTAATATAAGGCATTTGTGTTTTAAAAAAATCACTGCCCAGGCAGGCTGTCACGTGAGACACAAGAGGGCTGGGGTGCGGGTAGGAGGACCGTCCCTTCCTATTTCTGTGTAACACGCGAGGACCCCCACATGGCACTGGGTGTGAGGGGCAGAGGGGCCCTCAGGTTCCCCCACTCTGTCACTGAGTTCCCTGCTAGGAATCAGGTGCTAGGCTTTCCTGGCCACAAGCCAGCACCCTGCCTGAAGTTCCTGCATCCCACATCTGCCCTTCACAGACCCAGATGGCCCAGTCGCCTCAGGCCCTCAAGCAGGACCTGCCGGGGAGGTGGGGGCACGTGTGCTGGATGCTTGGCAGGAGGAGCCCTGTGGAGCTGGGGCTCCTAGAGGGGTCGCTGCCCACTCACCCTGGAGCCCGAAGCCTGGGAGAGAGGCACTCTTGGGAGAAAATCCCTTCCTCCCCCTCTCCTCCAGGCTGTCCAGCACCTGCTTCTTCCTGCTCCTCACCCTGATGGGACCACCCATCTCTCTCTGCTGATGGGACCAAGAGGGAGGTGCAAACCTCTGAACCTCCGAGCATCTGGAAGTGTGAGCCGAGGGAGCTGACACTGCCAGGCCCTTGGGGTCCCCAGGCAGGAGGGAAGTTGACGGAGTCTAGCTGCAGAGCCATGGAGTCCTGCGGACGGGAGCCCTCTTGCCTCGCAAGACTTACAGCATGTCTCTGGCCTCAGTTTCCTGATGCATGTAATGGAAAGAGTACCTCCCGCCCTGGGGAAGGTGGTGGAATAATGAAGTCTAGAGCATTGGGGTACAGGGCTATGGAGGAGCAGCACCCCCAAACGGGGTGAAAGGTTCTTAACCCTCAGCCCTCACAGCTGCAGAAGGGACCAAGGAGAAAGCTCCCCTCCCCGACCCTGGGCATGCACACTGGAGCTTGGTTTGATGTGCCATGGAGTAGAATCCCAGGATTCGTCCAGAAAACAAGGCTACCACTTGCTACTAAATCAACCCAACAGGTCTGTTCACCCCGGGTTCCGGAAAGAGAGCCCAGCGCCAGGGGGTAGCACTGTCTAGGGCCTGGTTAGGTGTTTTGGAAAAGTCCATGGGTCCCCGCCCGGCTGCTGTACAGATGTGCCCTGCTGATACCCTGGGCCTCAGCAGAACCTCGAGCCTCTCTCTCTCTGCCTGCCTTTCCCTCAGGTTCTGCATCTGTACTAGGCTTCCTGTGCCAACGAGAATATATAAAACCATCCTCCCCAAACACAAGCTGACACTGGGGGCTAAACCTGCCTGACAGTCCCAAGGAGCCTGGTGACCTGGGAGGAGCTCCTCAGATGCAGGGACCATTGCAGGCTGCGGCGCCCGTCCCAGGTGCATCCTGGGCTACCCTGGGAAGGGCTGGGGAACAGCAAGAGCCAGATCTGTGGTAAGGACACTCATTTTAGAGACGTGATGGATTCATTTAATATCTTTTCGCTACAATTGCTTTGCAGTGCCTGCTCTTAATGGCCTCCAAAGTTCCATCCAAATATCTTTTGCTGGCAGTTTAGCTCTCTGGCTGGCATTTTTGCTGGCAGAACTAACAGCTGGATGCCTCCTTGAATGGGAAACTTTCATTGTCTTGTCTTCTCTCTTCTGAGTTTCCAGTGACTGCCCCAGGTCTGAGGCTGGAGCAGGGCTCTGACTGTGACACCCCTGCGTGGAGCCCAGTGGCTGACTTTCAGGAAGGACAGGTGAGTGTGGGGGAGTGGAGGCCTGTGCCTGACTAGGTGAGGGCCCAGGCCCAAGCTCCAAGGAAGAAAAGGGGATGTGAGGAAGCAGGGTATTTGTTGCCTGAGGCCCACCTCCAACACTTTGGGCAGAACACCTTAGCTCCAGATGCACAAAACTCACAGGCTCTGGGCTGTGCAGCCCCCTGGGAACACTAACTAGCTGGCCTCAGAGTCTGTGGACCTCTGCATGTGCCCTGGGTCAGAAGGCATGACCTGTCTAACTGCCACATGGCGTGTCTGTGCCATGCTGCCATCCTTCTCAGGGTCCTCTCTTCCCTAGCATTCTGGCACACACCGGACAGAACCCCTTGACTGCTGCAGGGGTGGTTGGCCTGCTGGGACATGTATTTGAACGCTGACATAGCAGGGTTCTGGTAACACCACTGCCACACCCTCGTCAGTGGCTGGTACAACAGCCTCTGCTAGGATGATGGACCTCATCATCCATGAGGCAGCCCCTCCTCCTGTCC